>NC_000014.9:37187470-37490500 GCF_000001405.40 Homo sapiens
TAGCTCACTGCAACCTCGAATTCCCAGGCTTGTACTGATCCTCCCCTCTCCGGCTCCCAAGCAGCTGGGACTACAGATATGAGCCACCATGCCTGGCTTTTTTTTTTTTTTTTTCTTATAGAGACATGGTCTCACTATGTTGCCCAGACTGGTCTCCAATTCCTGGGTTCAAGTGATCCTCCTAACTTGGCCTTCCAAAACGATTGGATTACAGGCATGAGCCACTGTGTCCAGCCTCACCTTTCTTTAAAGCTAAAGCTGCTTTAAAAAAAAAAAAAAAGCCTATTGGAGTCGCTTTCAAGATGGCCGAAGAGGAACAGATCTGGTCTGCAGGTTTGAGCGAGATTGACACAGAAGATGGGTGATTTCTGCATTTCCAACTGAGGTACCTGGTTCATCTCATTGGGACTGGTTGGACAGTGGGTGCATCCCACAGAGGGTTAACCAAAGGAGGATGGGGCATCGTCTCACCTGGGAAGTGCAAGGGGTTGGGGGATTTCCCTTTCCTAGCCAAGGGAAGCTGTGAGTGACTGTACCTGGAGGAATGGTACACTTCTGCCCAAATACTGTGCTTTTCCCATGGTCTTTGCAACTGGCAGACCAGAAGATTCCCTCCCATGCCTGGCTTAGTGGGTCCCACACCCACGGAACCCTGCTTGCTGCTAGTGCAGCAGTCTGAGACAGACCTGGGATGCTGGATCTTGGTGGGGGTAGGGATGTCCACCATTGCTGAGGCTTGAGTAGGCAGTTCTATGCTCACAGTGTAAACAAAGCGGCAGGGAAGCTTGAACTGGGTGGAGCCCACTGCAGCTCAGCAAGGCCTACTGCCTCTCTAGATTCCACCTCTGGGGGCAGGACATATCTGAACAAAAGGCAGCAGAGAGCTTCTGCAGACTTAAACGTCCCTGCCTGACAGCTCTGAAGAGAGCAGTGGTTCTCCCAGCATGGTGTTTGAGCTCTGAAAACGGACAGACTGCCTCCTCAAGTGGGTCCCTGACCCGCATGTAGCTTGACTGGGAGACACCTCCCAGTAGGGGCCGACAGACACCTCATACAGACGGGTGCCCCTCTGGGACGAAGCTTCCAGAGGAAGGATCAGACAGCAATATTTGCTATTCTGCAGCCTCTGCTGTGATACCCAGGCAAACAGGGTCTTGAGTGGATCTTGCTGAGTAGGCCAAGCCTCAGCAAACCCCAACAGACCTGCAGCTGAGGGGCCTGTCTGTTAGAAGGAAAACTAACAAACAGAAAGGAATAGCATCAACATCAACAAAAAGGACACCCACACCAAAACCCCATCTGTAGGTCACCAACATGAAAGACCAAAGGTAGACAAAACCACAAAGATGGGGAGAAACCAGAGCAGAAAGTCTGAAAATTCCAAAAACCAGAACACCTCTTCTCCTCCAAAGGATCACAACTCCTCGACAGCAAGGAACACAAACCGGATGGAGAATGAGTTTCATGAGTTGACAGAAGCAGGCTTCAGAAGGTCAGTAATAACAAACTTCTCTGAGCTAAAGGAGCATGTTCTAACCCATCACAAGGAAGCTAAAAACCTTGAAAAAAGGTTAGATGAATGACTAACTAGAATAATCAGTGTAGAGAAGAGCTTAAATGACCTGATGGACTGAAAACCACAGTATGAGAACTTTGTGAAGCATACAGAAGCTTCAATAACCAATTCGATCAAGCAGAAGAAAGGATATCAGTGATTGAAGATCAAATGAATGAAATGAAGCTAGATGAGAAGTTTAGAGAAAAAAGAGTGAAAAGAAATGAACAAAGCCTCCAAGAAATATGGGACTATGTGAAAAGACCAAATCTACGTTTGATTGGTGTACCTGAAAATGACGAGAAGAGTGGAACCAAGTTAGAAGACACTCTTCAGGATATTATCCAGGAGAACTTCCCCAACCTAGCAAGGCAGGCCAACATTCAAATTCAGGAAATACAGAGAATGCCACAAAGATACTCCTCGAGAAGAGCAATCCCAAGACACATAATCATCAGATTCACCAAGGTTGAAATGAAGGAAAAAAAGTTAAGGGCAGCCAGAGAAAAAGGTCAGGTTACCCACAAAGGGAAGCCCATCAGACTAACAGCAGATCTCTCGGCAGAAACCCTACAAGCCAAAAGAGAGTGGGGACCAATACAATATTCAACATTCTTAAAGAAAAGAATTTTCAACCCAGAGTTTCATATCCAGCCAAACTAAGCTTCATAAGTGAAGGAGAAATAAAATCCTTTACAGACAAGCAAATGCTGAGAGATTTTGTTACCACCAAGCCTGCCTTACAAGAGCTCCTGAAGGAAGCACTAAACATGGAAAGGAACAATCGGTACCAGCCACAGCAAAAACATGCCAAGCTGTAAAGACCATCGATGCTAAGAAGAAACTGCATCAATTAATGGGTGAAATAACCAGCTAACATCATAACAACAGGATCAAATTCACACATAACAATATTAACCTTAAATATAAATGGGCTAAATACCCCAATTAAAAGACACAGACTGGCAAATTGGATAAACAGTCAAGACCCATTGGTGTGCTGTATTCAGGAGACCCATCTCATGTCCAAAGACACATATAGGCTCAAAATAAAGGGATGGAGGAAGACCTACCAAGTAAATGGAAAGAAAAAAAAAAAAAGCAGGGGTTGCAGTCCTGGTCTCTGATAAAACAGACTTTAAACCAAAAAAGATCAAAAGGGACAAGGCCATTACATAACGGTAAAGTGATCAATTCAACAACAAGAGCTAACTATCCTAAATATATATACACCCAAAACAGGAGCACCCAAATTCATAAAGCAAGTTCTTAGAGATCTAAAAAGAGACTTAGACTCCCACACAATAATAATGGGAGACTTTAACAACCCACCGTCAATGTTAGACAGATCAAGGAGACAGAAAATTAACAAGGATATCCAGGACTTGAACTCAGCTCTGGGCCAAGCAGACCTAGTAGACATCTACAGAACTCTCCATCCCAAATCAACACAATATACATTCTTCTCAGCACCACATCACACTTATTCTAAAATTGACAACATAAGTGGAACTAAAACACTCCTCAGCAAATGTAAAAGAACAGCAATCACAACAAACTGTCTCTCAGACCACAGTGCAATCAAATTAGAACTCAGGATTAAGAAACTCACTCAAAACCGCACAACTACATGAAAACTGAACAACCTGCTCCTGAATGACTACTGGGTAAATAACGAAATAAAGGTAGAAATAAAGATGTTCTTTGAAACCAATGAGAACAAAGACACAACATACCAGAATCCCTGGGACACATTTAAAGCAGTGAGTAGATGGAAATGTATAGCACTAAATGCCCACAAGAAAGCAGGAAAGATCTAAAGTTTATACCCCGGCATCACAATTAAAAGAACTAGAGAAGCAAGAGAAAACAAATTCAAAAGCTACCAGAAGACAAGAAATAACTAAGATCAGAGCAGAACTGAAGGAGATAGAGACACACACAAACACAAAAAAACCCTTCAAAAAAATCGATGAATTCAAGAGCTGGTTTTTTTGAAAAGATCAACAAAATTGATAGACTGCTAGCAAGATTAATAAAGAAAAAAAGAGAGAAGAATCAAATAGACACAATAAAAAAATCATAAAGGTGATATCAGCACCGATTCCACAGAAATACAAACTACCATCAGAAAATACTCTAAACACCTCTATGCTAATAAACTAGAAAATCTAGAAGAAATGGGTAAATTCCTGGACACATACACCCTCCCAAGACTAAACCAGGAAGAAGTTGAATCTCTGAATAGACCAATAACAGGCTCTGAAATTGAGGCAATAATTAATAGCCTACCAACCAAAAAAAGTCCAGGACCAGATGGAATCACAGCTGAATTCTACCAGTGGTACAAAGAGGAGCTGGTACCATTCCTTCTGAAACTATTCCAATCAATAGAAAAAGAGGGAATCCTCCCTAACTCATTTTATGAGGCCAGAATCATCCTGATACCAAAAGCCTGGCAGAGACACAACAAAAAAAGAGAATTTTAGGCCAATATCCATGATGAACATCTATGTGAAAATCCTCAATAAAATATTGGCAAACTGAATCCAGCAGCACATCAAAAAGCTTATCCACCACGATCAAGTGGGCTTCATCCCTGGGATGGAAGGCTGGTTCAACATATGCAAATCAATAAATGTAATCCATCACATAAACAGAACCAAAGACAAAAACCACATGATTATCTCAATAGATGCAGAAAAGGCCTCTGACAAAATTCAACCAGCCCTTCATGGTAAAAACCCTCAATAAACTAGGTATTGATGGAACGTATCTCAAAATAATAAGAGCTATTTATGACAGACCCACAGCCAATATCATACTGAACGGGCAAAAACTGGAAGCATTCCCTTTGAAAACAGGCACAAGACAGGGATGCCCTCTCTCACCACTCCTATTCAACATAGTGTTGGAAGTTCTGGCCAGGGAAATCAGGCAAGAGAAAGAAATAAAGGATATTGAATTAGGAAAAGAGGAAGTCAAATTGTCTCTGTTTGCAGATGACATGATTATATATTTAGAAAACCCCATCATCTCAGCCCAAAATCTCCTTAAGCTGATAAGCAACTTCAGGAAAGTCTCAGGATACAAAATCAATGTTCAAAAATCACAAGCATTCCTACACACCAAGAACAGACAAACAGAGAGCCAAATCATGAGTGAACGCTCATTCAGGATTACTACAAAGAGAATAAAATACCAAGGAATCCAACTTACAAGGGATGTCAAGGACTCCTTCAAGGAGAACTACAAACCACTGCTCAACGAAATAAAAGAGGACACAAACAATGGAAGAACATTCCGTGTTCATGAATAGGAAGAATCAATATTGTGAAAATGGCCATACTGCCCAACGTAGTTGATAGATTCAATGCTATCCCCATCAAGCGACCACTGACTTTCTTTACAGAATTGGAAAAATCTACTTTAAATTTTATATGTAACCAAAAAAGAGCCCGCATAGCCAAGGCAATCCTAAGCAAAAAGAACAAAGCTGGAGGCATCATGCTACCTGACTTCAAACTATACTACGAGGCTACTGTAATGAAAATAGCATGGTACTGGTACCAAAACAGATATAGAGACCAGTGGAACAGAATAGAGGCCTCAGAAATAATACCACACATCTACAGCCATCTAGTCTTTGACAAACCTGACGAAAATCAGCAATGGGAAAAGGATTCCCTATTTAATAAATGGTGCTGGGAAAACTGGCTAGCCATATGTAGAATGCTGAAACTGGATCCCTTCCTTACACCTTATACAAAAATTAACTCAAGATGGATTAAAGACTTAAATGTAAGACCTAAAAGCATAAAAACCCTAGAAGAAAACCTAGGCATTACCATTCAGGACATAGGCATGGACAAATACTTCATGACTAAAACACCAAAAGCAATGGCAATGAAAGCCAAAATAGACATATGGGATCTAATTAAACTAAACAGCTTCTGCACAGCAAAAGAAACTATCATCAGAGTGAATAGGCAACCTACAGAATAGGAAAAATTTTTTTCAATCTATCCATCTGACAAATGGCTAATATCCAGAATCTACAAAGAACTTAAACACATTTACAAGAAAAAAACTAACAACCCCCTCAAAAAGTTGGCAAAGGATATGAAGAGACACTTCTCAAAATAAGACATTTATGCAGCCAACAGACATATGAAAAAATGCTCATCATCACTGGTCATCAGAGAAATGCAAATCAAAACCACAATGAGATACCATCCCACACCAGTTAGAATGGTGATCATTAAAAAGTCAGGAAACAACAGATGCTGGAGAGGATGTGGAGAAATAGGAATGCTTTCACACTGTTGGTGGGAGTGTAAATTAGCTCAACCATTGTGGAAGACAGTGTGGGCGATTCCTCAAGGACCTAGAACTAGAAATACCATTTGACCCAGCAATCTCATTACTGGGTATATACCCAAAGGATTATAAATCATGCTACTATAAAGACACATGCACAAGTATGTTTATTGCGGTACTATTCACAATAGCAAAGACTTGGAACCAACCCAAATGTCCATCAATGATAGACCAGATTAAGAAACTGTGGCACATGTACACCATGGAAAACTATGCAGTCATAAAAAATGATGAGTTCATGTCCTTTGTAGGGACATGGATGAAGCTGGAAACCATCGTTCTCAGCAAAATATCACAAGGACAGAAAACCAAACACCACATGTTTTCACTCATAAGTGGGAATTGAACAATGAGAATACATGGACGCAGGGAGGGGAATATCACACACCCGGGCCTGTTGGGTGGGGGGGGGCTGGGGGAGGGATAGCATTAGGAGAAATACCTAATATTAATGACAAGTTGATGGGTGCAGCAAACCAACATGGCACATGTATACCGATGTAACCAATCTGTACGTTGTGCACATGTACCCTAGAACTTAAAGTGTATGAAAAAAGCCTATTAAAAAATGAATCATGATCCTTTAGACAGGTAGTAGCTAAAGGATCCTCATATCCTTTAAAAGGATTACTGTAGTCAAGCAAAGTGCTATGAGACTGACTTGAAAATTTAAAAAATAGCTTTATCCATCATATCTATGTTCATTAATCTCATGTCTAGCCCAGTCTAGAATGCTTCCTTGCATATGACTGCTGGAAAGCTACTCTAAGATGCTTCCCTAGCAATTCAAACTCATTCTATCAAAACTGAACTTACTTATTCACCAATTTCTTTAATACCATCAACACTTTCCTCTTTCTCAACTAGTTATTTACCAGATTTTGCAAACTATTTCCTACTTCTTCAAGCTACCCTTTTCCATCTATCGTGCTTTACCACATACATTTTATTATTTATTTATTTATTTATTTATTTTTTGAGACAGGGTCTAACTCTGTCACCCAGGCTAGAGTGCAGTGGTACAATCTCAGCTCACTGCAACCTCCACCTCCTGGTTCAAGTGATTCTCATGCTTCAGCTTCCTGAGTAGCTGGGATTACAGACATGTGCCACCATGCCTGGCTATTTTTTGTATTTTTAGTAGAGACGGTGGGGGGAGGTCCCACCATGTTGGATAGGGTGGTCTCCAACTCCTAGCCTCAAGTGATCCACCCACCTCAGCCTCCCAAAGTGCTGGGGTTACAGGCATGAGCCACAGAGCCCAGCCTTTTTATCGTTTTTCAATTAGATTAACTAGTCTTGCAAACTTGAGAATTTTGATTCTGAAACGTATTTCTAAATTGATGAATGAAAGTGTAAATCTAATCTCATCACTCCTGTTTTAACTTTCAAAATTCATTGACTATAGAATCAAGTCCAAGGTACTTAATTAGGAGATCATTTATATTGCCTGGCATGGTGACTCATGCATGTAATCCGAGCACTTTGGGAGGCCAAAGTGGGAGGACTGCTTGAGGCCAGGACTTTGATACCAGCCCCAGCAACATAGTGAGTCCCCAACTCTATTTTTAAAAAAGACCTTTCATAATCTCTCCAACTTCATTTCCCACCACTTTCCATGTTAAATTTTATACTGTGATATTAAATTGCTTATAGCTCCTTACAGTATCTCACTCCCATATTGATTCCTTTATAAGGAATTCTGTTTTCTCTGCACCTCCACCCTCACCTCTTCACCTTGCTAAGTCTTATTCATACTACAGGAGGCATTATCTCCTTCAGATTTTCCTGACTCTGTCTTCCTCATCCCCTGAACTCCCCTCTCCCAAAGCCATTTCTCAGTTTACACAGTGTGATGGTTAATTTTGTCAACTTGGCTGGGCCATGGTGCACAGATATTTGGTGAAACGTTATCCTGGATGCTTCTGTGAAGGTGTTTTTTTGATGAGATTACCATTTAAATCACCAGACTTTGAATACAACAGATTACATTCCATGTATGTCCAACTACAATTCTTTTCTGAGGCTTGCCCGCCTCTTCCCTCAGATTTTGGACTCACTAAAAGTCCACAACTGCATGAGCCATTTCCTTACAATAAATCACTGTCCCTCTCTCTATGTAGTCTCTGTGTATACACACATATCCTGTTTGTTCTGTTTCTCTGGAGAACCCTGATTAATACATATGGTATTCTCAGCTACTTGTGTGCCTAATTGTTATTCATTATTTTATTTGCAGAACTGATCAGTGTGTGACACACTGCAGAAGCCTAATATTTATAGACTTGAGAATATTAATGATCTGACATTAACAGACTTGATAATATTAATAATATGACATTCTTTTTCTCCCTGTAACGAAAGAGTGGTTCATTTTCTTCTTCTCATCTTCATCCATATTTCTGTAAAAGTCCAGCTTGTATGAGGTATGAGGACATAGACAATATCTTTGATAATCATTTTGAGAAAAGAAAAAAGCTCTAATTTATCTCTTTCATTTCTTATAGACAGGCAACTGTTAGAACAATAGAAAATGAAGAAATGGATATGTTGGTTATGGTGGTGGTGGAGGGGAGTAGGGGAAAACTTACCTGTTGTGGTATCAAAAGTTTAGGGAAAGAACATTAATGAGTTACTTCAGGTATGTTAGGGAAAAAGGAAAAAGAATAGGGAGAATTAGTCCTAATGTTTGAACTCACTGCATAAAACAGAGAGAGAGAGAGAGAAAATCAGCTTACTAAAAGGAAAGAAAATATGAGGTTTCTCTTTATGCCAGAGACTGTAAGCACCCAGATAATGGGCTTTAAAAAAAGGAGGAAATGAACTTTACTCAATGAAAAATATTATAATTTTTCTCTAAATTTATTCTACTAATTCATTACATGGTTTGAATGTTCTCATTGTGGTAGTCACTATCCTGTTTTATTTATTATTTCCTAGCCAGGAAAATCAACTTTTTCCTTTGTTTTACACATAATTTGATTTGGCCCTAAGCCTTTGCACAAGCTATATACTTCCTGATTGGAGTATTTGCTCTGATAAACTGTACACTCTTTGTTTTTGTCTCATAGATTTTTATGGTACTTTATGTTCATAAATATGATTCAAATCCTGACTGAAGTAAAGCAAAAAAGAAAAAAGCATTTCAAAGCTGAATCTGTAACAAACTTCTTGAGAACACTGTTCATTACAGCATACATAACGAAAATTTGGTGAATATTATAACCTCTGTTGTTCCAAGTTAATCTACGTCCAACTTTTCCATTTTGTTAGTTTTCACAGCGTCATGCTCTGTCCCCCAGGCTGGGGTGCAGTGGCGCCAGCCATCGTAGCTTATTTCAGTCTCCACCTCTGGGGCTCAAGCGATTCTCCCACCTCATCCTCCCTAGTAGCTGGGACTACGGGTATGCACCATCATGCCCAGCTAATTTTTTTGATTTTTAATAAAGTCAAGGTCTCGCCATGTTGTCCAGGCTGGTCTCGAACTCCTGGGCTCAAGCGATCCCACTGCCTCAGCCTTCCAAAGTGTTGGGACTACAGGCGTAAGCCACCGCGCCCGGCCTTTTTCAGTTTTTTAAACTCTCTTTTGTACACTTACTAAAGGATAAGTTCCTTTCATTAACTTTAACCACAAATTTAGGAACCCGTCAGCACCTCATATTATGCCTATTCTCTGGGGTGTATTAAAAAATATTATTGCTTATTACTCAGCACCCAGAAGAGTACCTGGCACATGGTATGTGGTCACTAAGTATTTGGTGTCTGAAGGAATCATGAGTAACAGGAGTTAAAGTGACATTTATAAAACCAATTCTGAACTATGGAACAAAAAACCCAAATTTAAATTACTAGCAGTTAATTATACCATTCTTAGTTCACGGAGGTAGGCCAATTGAAAACTTTGGACATTTTTAAATTCTGTAAGGTTTAACATTTTTTCTTAGAGGATTCACATATCGTAATCTCATCCAGCACTTCAGTCAAAAAAAAAAAAAAAAAAAAAAGTCACCAGCTCCAAGGTTTTAGTGTGAAACGTTCTTTGGCCAGGATCTAGATAGTACTTTTGCTCACTCAACCGGAGCCCGATCTGGTGCCATTTTCACTTGACCGCCGCTTCGAAACACGTCCCTCCCACCTCTCATCCCAAACCACACACAAAGAAGGAAAGCACAATTTCGACAGGTCTTGGGAAAACTCGACGAGGCCAAGTATGAGGCCACAAGACACCGTTTTTAGTTCCGCGTTCTCCCTCTTCTAATCCTATTAGGTTTTGTCCAGACAACGTTTTGCTCTTTCAGAAGAGAAAGAGCGTTCTGCGCTCGTCGTCTTGGATTCGACAACCATAAGCATCCCGTTAGGGCAACCACCGCAGCAGACTAAGTTCGACTACTTTCTCTCCAAACTCCTCCCGGGCCTTCTTCCCAAGCTCTCTCTTTCTCCTGGAGGCCCCGCCTCGCGGCCCGGCAGCGCGGCACGCGCATGCCCGGTGCTCGCCGCTTGCGCTCTCCCCTGCGGCGCGCCGCCGCCCCGTAGGCCCCACGCGCCGCCCCGCTCCTCCGCCGGATCGTCTGTGGGTGAGTCTCGAGCCAGGAGGCTCTGAGCCAGTGGCGATTGGCTGACGCGGTGGCTGCGCACTCGGCCTGAGAAACTCGGCAAGCGCGCAGTGTCGACTCCCCGGTCTATGCCAGGCGCATCTCAGGTAAACGGTTGGGCAGGGAGGTTTGGGCGACGGAGAATGATAGTGGTGGGCACAGATCAGCCCTGGAGTTTTCGGCCGCAGACTTTTCCTTGGAGAAGGAGAAGGGGCCCCGCGGAATCTGTACTTAGTGAATGCTGACCCCGCGTGGCCGGGAGTGATGGGGCTCTCTCGAAGGTCAGTGTCGTGGGGTCCTCAGGTGGCAGACAGCTCTTTCTGGGTATGGTTTTGGTATTGTCTCCAGTTTCCTAATACTGGACCTGAGCAGCTGAGCATTTATTCAAGGGTGTATTTTTTTTGTTTTTTTCCCCTTAAGTCGCGGTTAGTCAGAAGGTTCCAGTCCTCGCTCAACCTCTGATCGACTCTGTGCCCATGAGAGAGTCGTTTTATATTTCATTTCTCACACGTGGAAGTGTGGGCGAAGAATGAGGGGCTTCTTTAAGCGCGCTAAGCCATGCTGTAAAAAGATACTGTTAGAATTTTTTTTTTTCTTTTTTGATTCACAATGTCCCTGGACCTGGTGCAACGTTTGGGAAGCATTTTAAGCTCTATGGATGGAGGGAACAAGACAGCCGCATTATTAGACAAGGATGGTAGAAAGGAACAACTTTCCACAAACACACGCGTTTGGAAAAGCTCCTTTGAGCATTTTATGCAGGTTAAATCACAGTGGTAGTAGATAGAAATAAGCCAAAACAAAGGGCCAAACAAAACTACATTTCAAGGAGGTGTTCTTTTCTTCCCCAGATAACTTGAATATACTATCACAAATTATTGGCGTTTCAAAGTTTTTCCTTGTGATCTGGTATGGAGTTCATCTAAAATGACAATTACATAATCATTCTATGCAATCGTATGCCAATAAAATTAATTAAAACAGTTTAATTTTTAATGTGAGGAATAGGAATCAAGACATGTCATTGATGGGAGGTAATGATGGCAATCAGCAAAATGAATGGGAGATGTATACAATTTTCCTTCAAAGGAGTAGAGTTTATAGAGATATTTTTATTGCGTTAATATTTAAAGTATAAAGACATACAGAAAAGTGCATGAATCGTAAGTGTACAGCTCGGTGAATTTTCACAAAGTGTAAATACCCATGTATCCAGTATCTAGATCAGGAAAGAGCATTATTGCATCCCGGAAGCCCCACTTCATGGTTCCAAAGGTAATCATTATCTGGACTTCCAACATTATCAATGAATTTCACCTATTATTTACTTTATATAAATGGAGTAATATGGTATTTAGTCCTTAGTTTCTGATTTTTGCTCAATATTTTATTTGTGAGATTTATTCAAGTTATGTAGCAGTTTGTTATTCTCATGCTGTATGTATAGTATTTCTAGTTTTTGGCTATTACCAATAGGGCTGCTATAAAGATTTTTAGAAATATTTTGATGAAATTATGTATACTTTTTTTTTTCTTCTTTTTTTTGAGATGGAGTCTCGCTCTGCCGCCAAGGCTGGAGTGCAGTGGCGCGATCTCGGCTTACTGCAACCTCCGCCTCCCGGGATCAAGCAATTCTCCTGTCTCAGCCTCCCGAGTAGCTGGGACTACAGGTGCCTACCACCACGCCTGGCTAAGTTTTGTATTTTTAGTAAAGACGGGGTTTCACCTTGTTGGTCAGGCTGGTCTCAAACTCCTGACCTCAGCTGATCCACCTGCCTCAGCATCCCAGAGTGCTGGGATTACAGGTGTGAACCATCGCGCCTGGCCATATGTACATTTTTATTGCGTATATGCCTACTAGAAAATTACTGTGTTACAGGATAGGCAGATGTGTGTTTGTGGTATACACTACTGAAAAGTTTTTCATATTGTGTCAATTTATACTTCAGTGGCAGCTTGAGAATTCTGGTTCCTCCAAATGCTTGCAACATTTCACACTGTCTTTTTCATTTTAGCCATTCTAGTAGGAATATAGTGACATAACATTGGGGTTTTCCCATAATTTCCCTAATGACTGATGGTATTGAACACATATTCATGTGTTTACTGGCATTTGGATATCCTCTATTTCTGTAAGGGACCAGACAATAAGTGTAGGCAGCCCTCGCTTTGTAGAGTTTCAGCTAACCAAGTAATGTGTGAAGCTCGGACTACCTGTATTTTAGGTTGTACAGGCTGTACAGTCTCTGTTACACATTCTTTTCTGTTTTTTTCCTCTTTACTTTGTTCCCAACCCTTTAAATATGTAAAAACAATTCTTAGCTCATGGGTTATACAAAAACAGTTGTTAAAAGATAACTTTAGGCACATGGAAATTTTAGAGTTTATATGAGCATTCAGCAATTTCATAAATTGGGTATCACCAGACCACAAGTTATTCAAGACTCCACCAAGAGGGTGTGAGGGGAAAACTTTTATAAGGTGTTTATGGAAACAGAAAATATTTGATTGGTAACAGTGGAATGTCTCTAGTTAGAAGTTGTTTGGTGGTTTCTGATTGATTAAACTCAAGTTTAGTTTTACTGTTTACATTGAGTTGGGTTTTGGTTTGTTTACATAGGAACCCAAAGTGCTGGAGCTGTCTCAACCTAATGGTTTCCCAGTTAGTTTTTTTTTTTTTTTTTTTTTTTAACACAGTCCTCTGGCTGGATTTGAGTTGTGGGCCATAGCGTACTAACCCCTGCTCTATTGAAAAATGTTTGTTCAATTTTTTGCCAATTGGTTGGATGTGAAATCAGTAACTGAGATGGGCTATATTAGAGAAATATAGATCCATAATACTATATCTATCTATGTGTGTGTGTGTGTGTGTGTGTGTGTGTGTGTGTGTGTGTGTGTGTGTATTTTTTTTTTTTTTTTTTTTGAGACAAGGTGTACCTCTGTCACCCAGGCTGGAGTGCAGTGGGGTGATCTCGGTTCACTGCAGCCTCTGCCTCCTGGGCTGAAGTGATCCTCTCACCTCGGCTTCCCAAGTAGCTAGGGTTACAGGCACACACCAACATGCCCAGGCTAATTTTAATATTTTTTTGTGGAGATGGGGTTTTGCCATGTTGCCCAGGCTGGTTTTAAACTCCTGAGCTCAAGTGATCCTCCTTCCCCAGCCTCCCTAAATGCTGGGATTACAGGCACAAGCCACCACACCTGGCCAGTATTGTAAAGCAGCATGTGTTATAGTGTTTTGGTGTTGGATTTCAGATCTCTAAACATACTTTATTTGGTTTACCAGTTTTACCTTAAGACTAATTAGAGGCCAGTTTGATTCTTGTCTGAATTGTTTTTACTTCTCCCACTTTCTTCTCACCCTGTAAATCTGAAGAACAAAAGACAGGTAAGAAGTGAGAAAAGAAAGAAGAGACAGTCTTTCTTTGATATTATTTAAAAGGCTAGGAAAGAAAAGGATGAATGTCTAGACAGTTCTGGATATTTTGAGTAAAAATATGTAAAAATATATAATATAGTTATTGTAATATTTTAAGGTGCATTTTGTCCTTTGAGCTGTTCCATCTTGGGTTTTCTGACATTTTTATCTAGTGATTGAGTACACTCATGATATAGGACGTAATAGCCATTGACTTGGGCCGTGAAGCTCAACTGTGACACCTCTTCCCAGGATGGAGGCCCTTTCTTCCTTAAATGTCTCTTTGGGCTGCCCAGTTCATCTTTTACTCTTGGCCCCCTGCCTTTTGCTCAGTATTGCCCAAAATTTTACTTTAATACCATTCAGCCCACCATCCATGTTAACATTTTTAGCTAACACTTTCTAGGTATTTGTTGTTGTTCTTGTTGTTGCTTTTAGAAACAGGATCTTGCTCTGTCACTCAGGCTGGAGTACAGTGGTGCAATCATAGCTCACTGTAACCTTGACCTGGGGTCAAGCTGTCTTCCCTGCTGCAACCTCCCAAGTAGATAGGACTGCAGGTGCTCAACATCACACCTAGCTATTTTGTTTTCTGTTTTTGTTGAGACAGAGTCTACCTTTGTTGTCCGGTCTAGTATCCAACCCCTGGCCTCAGGTCCTCCTGCCTCGACCTCCCAAAGTGCCAGGATTACAGGCATTAGCCACTGCACCAGCCCATTTCTTGTTTTTAAGTAATTTATAGAAGTGAATTTAGTGCACATTTAGATATATGCTAATACTAATGAAGGGTGTGAGGGTAATTTCATCAGTGTGATCCTTCTTTGATATGTATAATTGTTTTTTTTAGTCTTACTTGATTGTTATGCAGATAGATTTAAGAGGGGCCTCACCTTCCACTATCAATTCATTGCAGTTAAGTAAGCTTTTCTCATATAGAAATTCTGGATCCAGTACATACTGCATTTCATTACACACACACACACACACACACAAACACACACACAATGACTAATGTAAATACCTTCCTGCTTTATAAGTCCCACACAAAGCAATTGTGTTCATATGCGTGTTTTTCATGGCACTCCTTGAATCAGCTTGGAGTCACTACAAATTATTATGGGTAATAAAGGGCATGTGCCAGTAGGAGGGATTCTCAGACAAGGGAGTCCCCTCCCTCCAGGGCTTCAGACTTCATAAGGGAGCAAATAGGGAATTTATGTGGCACAAATATTTAATTTGTACGATCATCCTTAGGTGATGCTTTCATATTAGTAAGGATGTATTTGTGAGTCCAATTGTAGTCATTAGCTTCTGACCGTACCTTCTCCCCTGCATATTGCCTGCACTACATTGCCATTGTTGACTTCTGGGACAATTTTCCAGGATTTCATTACTAACAAACCTTGCCTTTTCTGGTTGCAGTTTTTAGATACTTTATTTAGGTTACATTTAATCTTGTTTACCATATTTAGGGTGACTGTGTGTTCAAGGTGAATGTATTTGTCTATTGCTTATTTGTTGCTTTTATAATTTATTTCCAGCAAATCTTATTACTAGTACGTCCAGCTACCTGGGACTGGGGATGGGCAGATGACTCACTTCCACTTGCAACTTCACGTACCATCTAGAGATGGCTTTAGGGTTGATGAGAGAAAAAGAGATAATGCACAAGATTAATCAATTGTAGCTGCTTTTGTCAGCATTGTATTATTATTCTCTCTATTGAATTTATTAGATTTTGAGACTATCATAAAGAGAAGATAGAACTGTTTTAGAGCATTAATTACAAAAACAGTTTACTATAGTGGAAAGAGCACTGGGCATAAGAGCAAAATAAGTGTGGCTCACTACCTGTTTGTTTTAACTTTTCCTGGAACTCAGCTTTCTTTTGTGAAATGAGGCCTTTTGATGAAGTATCTCTAATCTCTGGTAATCTTTTTCAAAAGACTGCCAAGAGACCGTAGGGGTCATTTAGGCTACCTTCTCAGTTTAGTCACATAGTTACTAGAACCTATTTTTGTTCTGGTTTTTATTCCAGTTGCTTTTTCCATTATACTACCTGTGATAGGGAGCCTTCTAAAATGACCTTGGTATTCACTCTTGTGTAGTTCCTTCCTCTTGAGGGTGAACTAGACCTAGAGGCTCACTTCTACTAGAATATGGCAAAAATGGTGTGATGTCACTTCTCAGATTAGATTACAAAATCTATGACTTCCCTTTTTGCTGGCACTCTGTTGCTCACTCACCTTGAGGAAGTCAGCTGTCATGTTGTGAACTGACCTGTGAAAAGGCCCACCTGTCAAGGAACTGAAGGGGACCTCCAGCCAGTAAGGAACTGAGGTTCTCAGTCTAAAAAACCTCAGGCATTTGTTTATTTATTTATTTGAGATGAAGTCTCACTCTGCCGCCCAGGCTGGAAAGCAGTGGTGCGATCTTGGCTCACTGCAACCTCCGCCTCCCGGGTTCAAGCAATTCTCCTGCCTCAGCCTCCCAAGTAGCTGGGACTGCAGGCACATGCCACCACGCCCAGCTAATTTTTTATATTTTTAGTAGCGACAGGGTTTCACCACGTTAGCCAGGATGGTCTTGATCTCCTGACCACGTGGTCCGCCCACCTTGGCCTCTCAAAGTGCTGGGATTACAGACGTGAGCCACTGCGCCCAGCCCCCTCAGGGATATTAATCCTGCCAACGACCACCGAGAGAGTTTGGAAGCAGATCCTCTCCCTGTTGAACATTGAGATGACTGCACCCCTGGCTGACACTTCGATTCCAGCCTTTTGAGAGACCCTGGGCTGGAGGACTTAGCCAAGCAACACTCAATTTCTGATTTTTAGCAACTGTGAGATTGCAAATGTGTATTGTTTTAAGCTGTTGAATTTGGGTTTAATGTGTTAAGTAGTGAGATTGCAAATGTGTATTGTTTTAAGCTGTTGAATTTGGGTTTAATGTGTTAAGTAGTGATATAGTTTGCCTGTGTCCCCACGCAAATCTCATCTTGAATTGTAGCTGCCATAATTCCTTCATGTTGTGGGAGGGATCCAGTGGGAGATAATTGAATCATGGGTGGTTTCTCTCATACCGTTCTCATGGTAGTGAATAAGTCCATGAGATGTGATGGTTTTATAAGGGGAAACCCCTTTTGCTTGGCTTTCATTCTTTTTTGCTGCCGCCATGTGAGATGTGCCTTTCACCTTTCACGATGATTGTGAGGCCTCCCAAGCCACGTGGAACTGCGAGCCCATTAAACCTCTTTCTTTTGTAAATTGCCTGGTCTCAAGTATGTCTTTATTAGCAGCGTGAAAACGGACTAACACAGTAAACAGACTAACACAGTAAATGGACTAATACAGTAGAGTGGGGTGCTGCTGAAAAGATACCTGAAAATGTGGAAGTGACTTTGAAACTGGGTAACAAGCAGAGGCTGGAATAGTTTGGAGGGCTCAGAAGAAGACAGGAAAATGTGGGAAAGTTTGGAACTTCCTGGAGACTTATTGAATGGCTTTGCCCAAAATGCTGATAGTGATATGGACAATAAAATCTAGGCTGAGGTGGTCTCAGATAGAAATGAGGAACTTGTTGAGAACTGTAGCAAAAGCAAAGAGACTGGCGGCATTTTGCTCCTGCCCCAGAGATTTGTCGAACTTTGAACTTGAGAGAGATGATTTAAGATATCTGATGGAATAAGTTTTTTGTTTTTTTTTTTGAGACGGAGTTTTGCTTTTATTGTCCAGGCTGGGGTGCAGTGACACGATCTCAGTTCACTGCAACCTCCACCTCTGGGTTCAAGTGATTCTCCTGCTTCAGCCTCCTGAGTAGCTGGGATTACAGGCATGCACTACCACGCCCAGCTAATTTTTTGTATTTTTAGTAGAGACAGGATTTCATCATGTTGGCCAGGCTGGTCTGGAACTCCTGACCTCAGGTGATCCACCCACCTCGGCCTCCCAAAGTGCAGGGATTACAGGTATAAGCCACTGCACCCAGCCAGTGGAAGAAATTTTTAAGCAACAAAGCTTTCAAGAGGTGACATGGCTGCTGTTAAAACACATTCAGTTTTTTTTTTTTAATACCTTAAGTTCTAGGGTACATGTACACAAAGTGCAGGTTTGATACATAGGTATATACATGTGCCATGTTGGTTTGCTGCATCCATCAACTCATCATTTACATTGGGTGTTTCTCCAAATGCTGTCCCCCGCCAGCTCCCCATCCCCCAACAGGCCCTGGTGTGTGATGTTGCCTACCCTGTGTCCAAGTGATCTCATTGTTCAGTTCCCACCTATGAGTGAGAACTTGCGGTGTTTGGTTTTCTGTCCTTGTGATAGTTTGCTCAGAATGATGGTTTCCAGCTTCATCCATGTCCCTGCAAAGGACATGATCTCATGCTTTTTTATGGCTGCATAGTATTCCATGGTGTAAATGTGCCACATTGTCTTAATCCAGTCTGTCATTGTTGGACATTTGGGTTGATTCCAAGTCTTTGCTGTTGTGAATAGTACCATATAAACATACATGTGCCTGAAACACATTCGGTTTTATAAGGGAAGCAGAGCATAAAAGTTCAGAAAATTTGCAGCCTGACCCTGCAATTGAAAAGAAAAACCCATTTTCTGAGGAGAAATTCAAGCCAGCTGCAGAAATTTGCCTAAGTAACAAGGAGCCAAATGTTCATCCCCAAGACAATGGGGAAAATGTCCCCAGGGTATGTCAGAGGTCTTCATGGCAGCCCCTCCCATCATAGGCCCAAAGGCCTAGGAGGAAAAAATGGTTTCATGGACCAAGCTTAGGGTCCCCATGCTATGTCCAAGGACTTGGTACCCTGTGTCCCAGACACGCCAGCCTTGGCTGAAAGGGGCCAATGTAGAGCTCAGGCCATGGCTTCAGAGTGCGCAGGCCCGAAGCCTTGGAAGCTTCCATGTGATGTTGAGCCTGTGAGTGCACCGAAGTCAAGAACTGGGGTTTGCAAATCTTCGCCTAGATTTAAGAGGATATATGGAAATGCCTGGATATCCAGGCAGAAGTTTGCTACAGGGATGGGGCCCTCATGGAGAACTTCTGGTAGGGCAGTGCATAAGGGAAATGTGGGATTGGATCCCCCACACAAAGTCCCTACTGGAGCACTGCCTAGTGGAACTGTGAGAAGGGGGCCACCATCCTCCAGACCCCAGAATGGTAGATCCACTGACAGCTTGCACCATGCTCCTGGAAAAGCCTCAGACACTCAACACTGATACGTGAAAGCAGCTGGGAGGGAGGCTGTACCCTGCAAAGCCACAGGGGCAGAGCTGCCCAAGATGTAGGAACCCACCTCTTGCATCAGTGTGACCTGCATGTGAGACATGGAGTCAAAGGAGATAATTTTGGAGCCTTAAGATTTGACTGTCCTGCTGGATTTTGGACTTGCATTGGGCCTATGGCCCCTTCATTTTGGCCAATTTCTCCCATTTGGAATGGCTGTATTTACCCAATGCCTGTACCCCCATTGTATCTAGGAACTAACTTGCTTTTGATTTTGCAGGCTCACAGGTGGAAAAGACTTGCCTTGTCTTGGATGAGACTTAGGGCTGTGGACTTTTGAGTTAATGCTGAAATGAGTTAAGACTTTGGGGGATTGTTGGGAAGACATGATTGGTTTTGAAATGTTAGGACATGAGATTTGGGAGGAACCAGGGGCGGAATGATATGGTTTGGCTGTATTCCCACTCAAATCTCATCTTGAATTGTAGCTCCCGTAATTCCCTCATGTGGTGGAAGGGACCCAGTGGGAGATACTTGAATCATGGGGGCAGTTCCCCCATACTGTTCTCCTGGTAGTGAATAAGTCCAGGTGAGTTCTGATGGTTTTATAGAACCCTTTCGCTTGGCTTTCATTCTCTCCTGCCACCACCATGTGAAATGTGCCTTTTACCTTCCATGATGATTGTGAGGCCTCTCGATCCATGTGGAACTGTGAGTCTATTAAACCTCTTTCTTTTGCAAATTGCCTAGTCTTGGGTATGTTTTCATCAGCAGTGTGAAAACAGACTAATATAGGTAGCAATAGACAACTACACTATTCATTAATATCAGAAAAGCTTTAATCTGTTTTTATCAGTTTAAACTTATTTGAGGATATGATATTATTATTATTATTATTATTATTTTTTGAGATGGAGTCTCTCTCTGTTGCTCAGGCTGGAGTGCAGTGGCACGATCTTGGCTCACTGCAACCTCTGCCTCCCAGGTTCATGCGATTCTTGTGCTTCAGCCTCCCGAGTAGCTGGGATTACAGGCACGTGCCATCATGCCTGGCTAATTTTTGTATTTTTAGTAGAGATGGGGTTTTACCACATTGGCCAGGCTGGTCTTGAACTCCTGACCTCAGGTGATCTACCCACCTCAGCCCCCCAAAGTGCTGGGATTACAGGTGTGAGCCACCATGCCAGGCTGAGGGCATGCTATTTTTATATCTTGAAAAACCAATTATTAACAGTTTTAACTATAAATCCCATACTTGTTTTTGGTTATAATTTAATTGCTAGGTGTTTGTTTTATTTCTAAGCTGGCAACGTAAAGAAATTATAACTTTGAAGGATTGATTTGGTGTTTTTTTATAGTAGATGACCAATAAGACATGTTTACCTTAGATCTGCTTTAGGCTGTTGGCATGAGCATCTCTGATTCAGATATTGGCTGCATTGAAAGCATTTTTAATTTAGATTTTATACTGTTTTGGATGCATATAGTCAGGTAATCTATTCTTGTTATGAATTTGCAGTTCTGTGTTAGGATGGTTTGATTATGTATAAATAGTACTTGGAGAATGACTTTCAATATGTGTGGTTTTATAAGTTTCGGAAGCTGCTTGAGTACAAGAAGAATCGTTTTACTGGAATCCTTAATGCTGTATATTATTTTATTGTCTATTGAAGCATACCAGTTTCCTAGCTTCATAGTTTTGAGGATTTTACTGCTGAGTAACAAGTTTTGGAAAGCAGAAAAAATAAATGAAAATATAAATAAATAATATAGAGAAATTAACTTTTAGAAAACATAGATCAATTAATGTAGATAGTATAGATCAATTAACTTTTAGAAAACATAGCAAGTAATACATGAAAAGTATATAAAACATACATGGACAGTTTAATGAATGAATAAAAAGTGAGCACCCATGTAGCCACCATCAAAATATTGTTGTTTTTTAATTTTTTTGAGACAGGGTCTCACTATGTCACCCAGGCTACAGTGCAGTGGCACAGTCTTGGCTCACTGCAACCTCTGCCCCCTGGGTTCAAGTGATTCTCCTGCCTCAGCCTCCTGCGTAGCTGGGATTACAGGTGCATTCCACCATGCCCGGCTAATTTTTGTATTAGTAGAGATGGGGATTCACCATGTTGGCCAGGCTGGTCTCAAACTCCTGTTGTCAAGTGATCTTCCCACCTCAGCCTCCCAAAGTGGTGGGATTACAGGCATGAGCCACTGTGCCTGGCCTTGTCACTCTACTTCTGGCGTTATCATTATGCAAAATCATAGTGCAGTGATCAAAACCAGAACACTAATATTGTGGTTTCACTGAGTAATTCACTAAATATTGCATAAATTTGAATAAGTTGAATAAAATTACAAAATATAATTTAATTAATAATACTACTTATTAAACTGTAAACTTTATCTACATATCACTAGATTTTCTGTAAATGTTCTTTTCCTATTCTAGGAACTAATCCAGAGCTGATGTTATATTTAGTTGTTATGTTTCCAGTGTCTTTTCCTATTTGTGACTTCTTTCTATTTTGATATAGCTATGTCAGCTTTCTTTTGATTAATCTGTGCATAGATTTGGATTTTTAAAAATCCAGTGGGACATCTCTGTCTTCCAGTTGGAGCATTTGGCAATTGTGTCATTTCATCCCTTTGTATTTTTTATTATTGCCTTTTTTCTTAACCTTTTGTTATTTTAGAAATTATATAACATAAGGCTGGGCATGGTGGCTCACCCATGTAATCCCAGCACTTTG
The DNA here is from genome assembly GCF_000001405.40 of Homo sapiens. Lineage (NCBI taxonomy): Eukaryota > Metazoa > Chordata > Mammalia > Primates > Hominidae > Homo > Homo sapiens. Next base: position 37,209,418 of record NC_000014.9, read on the forward strand.
GGAGGCCGAGGCAGGAGGATCACCTGAGGTCAGGAGATTGAGACCAGCCTGGCCAACATGGTGAAACCCCGTCTCTACTAAAAAATACAAAAATTACCTGGGCATGGTGGCGCTCGCCTGTAATCCCAGCTACTCAGTAGACTGAGGCAGGAGAATCGCTTGAACCCAGGAGGCGGAGGTTGCAGTGAGCTGAGATCACGTCACTGTACTCCATCCTGGGTGACAGAGCAAGACTCCATCTCAAAACAGAAAAGAAAAGAAATTAGATAATATATACACATGGTTTTCGTTTATTTGCTTATTTGAGACAGAGTTTCACTCTGTTGCCCAGGCTGGAGTACAGTGGTGCAAACATGGCTCACTGCAGCCTTGACCTCCTGGGCTCAAGCAATCCTCCCACCTCAGCCTCCCAGGTAGCTGGGACTACAAGTGTGCCACCACACCTGGCTAATTTTTAACTTTTTTTTTTTTTTGGTAGACATGAGGTCCCCCTGTGTTGCCCAGACTAGTCTTAAACTCTGCTCCTTAAGCGATCCTCCCACCTTGGACTCTCAAAGTACTGATTACTGGTGTGAGCCACTGCACCCTGCCAGATGGATATGCTCTATTATTTTGTAGCTTCCCTCTTTAATTTAATAATATCTTGTATGTATGTGTTTTTGAAAAACGCTCAAACTGTGTTTCCCTCTTCTCTCACAGCACACTAATCAATGTGGAAGATTTCTGTGACTAAATGTCAGGGAGTTTTTCCCCACCAACAAGCAGTGGACACCAACTGGATATCCCCCAATTCAATTCTGACACTGTGTACTTGGAGATAGTGTCAGAACCCACAGGTTGGGTGCCCACTCCCCAAGACTGCCCCATTGCCCCACTTTTTTTTTTAATGGCTCATCCCTTTTGACACCAGTCACAAGTTAGCGTTCCCATTACCTTCTCTTTAGTTTTGATTAAATTGCTGGAGCGGCTCACAGAACTCAGGGAAAGTCATTTAGTGGTTATTTATAAAGGATGTTTAATCGCCCATTGGGTTCTTCCTGTTCACTGCACAGTCAAAGCCAATTCACTGAGACTATGCTGTTGCAGTAGAGAGGTTTATCAATGCAGAACTAGCCAAGTAGATGGACTCGCGGGATTCCTCTAATCAGTCTCCTCGAAGGCTTGAAGATTAGGCGGGCAGGGGGCTAGAGAATGAGTTTTGCTGACACGTGATGAAATAGGGATATGGAGAATGTGTGTGCTGAATTGGCCTCTCAGTGGGGGCCACAGGACTGGTTGAGTCATCTAAAGGAGCAATAGGGAAAGTCACAAACCTTGTGACCTCTGGCCACATGATTGCTGACAGCAAGGGATTATAGAAAGGCAAGCGAGAGGGCAATGTCTGGTTATCATTTGACTACAGCTACATTGTAGCAGAATTTAGGTCTCTCCTATAATCCTAATTTTGTGGCCTTTCATTAGTTTTACAAAAGTGGTGTTGGTACCTGAATAAGTAGGGTTTCATTTTAGGCAGGTAGTATTATCATCCCTGCTTCAAAATTAAACTATAAACTAAATTTCTCCTATGATTATCTTGGCCTACACCGAGGAAAGGTGAGTACAGCCAGCCTGAGAAGCTAGAAGCAAGATGGAGTCAGCCATGCTTGATTTCCTTCACTGTCATAATCTTTGCAAAGGCAGTTTCAGATGTTACAAAGGATAAAGATGAAAACAAGCATAGGAGATGAGGAGGCAGAGCAAGATGATGGAATAGAAAGCTCCACTGCCCACCCCCCCACCCCCCAGACAAGGACACCAAGTTAACTATCTACACAGAAAAAAAACACTTTCACGAGAGCCAAAAATCAAGTGAGCACACATAGTACCTGGTTTTAACTTCATATTGCTGAAAGAGGTACTGAAGAGATCGAAAAACAATCCTAAGTCACTGCCACTGCTTCCCCACTCCCAGCAGGGGTGGCATAGTGCAGAGAGTTTCTCTGGGAACTGGGGGAGAGAAAACACAACAATTGTGAAACATTGAACTCAGTACTGTCCTGTTAGGGCAGAAAGGAAAAGCAGACCAGACTCAGCTGATGCCCACCCACGGAGGGAACATTTAAAGCAGCCCTAGCCGGAGGGGAATTGCTGATCCCAGTGGTCCAAATCTGAGTGCCTTCAAACCTTGCCACTGAGGTCTGCAGCACTCTATGTCTCCATATAAACTTGAAAGGTAGTCTAGGCCATAAGGACTGCAACTCTTAGGAGAGTTCTAGTGCTAAACTAGGCCCAGAAACAGTGGACTGTGGTTGGGGGGCATGTGACATACTGAGACACCAGCTGGGGCAACCAATGGAGTGCTGGCATCACCCCTCACCTAACCCCAGGCTGCGTAGCTCCCAGTTCCAAAAGAGACCCTTTCCTTCTGCTTGAGGAGAGGGACGAGTGGGGAGGACTTTATCTTGCATCGAGGATATCAGCTCAGCCACAGCAGAATAGGGCACCAGTCAGAGTTGTGAGCCCCACTCCACGTCCTAGCTCCCAGATGACATTTGTAAACACACCCAGGGCCAGAAGGGAACTCACTGCCTTGAAGGAAAGGACCCATTTCTGGCAGCATTCATCACTTGTTAACTGAAGAGCCCTTGGGCCCTGCATAATCAACAGTGATACCCAGGTACTACATCAAGGGTGTTGGGTGAGCCTCTGAGATTTGCTGGCTTTAGGTAAGACTCAGCACATTACCAGCTGTGATGGCTATGACGCAAAACTCTTTCTGTCTGAGAAAAGTAGTTGGAAAAGTAAAGAGGATGGACTTTGTTTTGTACCTTAGATACCAGCATTGCCACCGGTGGGTAGAACACTAAGTGGGCTCTTGGAGTCCCTGATTCCAGAACTTGACTCTTGGATGACATTTCTGGACCTGCTCTGGGCCAGAGAGGAGACCACTTCCCTTAAGGGTGAGTCACAACCCAGAAAGCATTCATGACAAGCTAACTTAAGAGAACTTGGGCTGTAAGGGAAGATTGACGGTAGTCTGGTGGTACTCCTCATGGCCTGGGGTGGCAGTGGCTACGGGGTAAGGCGCCTCTGCCTTTGGAAAGGGGAGGGAAGGACTGAGTCTTGTGCTTTGAGTTCCAGCTCACTCATAGTACAATAGAACACCTGGTAGACTTGCCGCATTTTTTACTCTACTCCCTGACTCTTGTATGGCACTTCAGGACCCACCTGGGGCCTGGGGGACCTCACCACCCTGAAGGGAAGGACATAGGCCTGGCTTGCTTTGCCTCCTGCTGACTGTAGAGTTCAAGGGTCTTGAGCGAACGTAGGCTGTAGCCAGGGAGTTACTACAGCAGGCTTTGGGCGAGATCTAATGCTGTGCTGGCTTCAGGTCAGACCCTACATAGTCATAGTGGTGGTGGCCACAGGGATACTTATGTCACTTTACCCCCAGATTTACGTGTCATAGAACAGAGAGAGAGAGATTCTGTGTGTTTGGGAGAAAGTAAGGGAAGAGAATAAGAATCTCTGCCTGGTATTTCAGAGAATTCTTCCAGATCTTGTCCAAGATTATCAAGGTTGTACCTATGTGAGTCTGCAAGAACCACAGCATTACTAGTCTTGGGGTTCCCTCTAAAGCAGATATAGCTTAGGTCACACCTGAGTCCTTTCAGATGTCTGGAAAGCCTTCCCAAGAAGGACAGCTACAATAAACCCAGACAGTGAAGACTACAATAAATACCTAACTCTTCAATGCCCAGATACCAAAGAAAATATACATGTACACTATTCAGGAAGACATGACCTCATCAAATAAACTAAGTAAGGAAGCAGAGACCAATCCTGGAGAAACAGAGATATGAGACCTTTCAGACAGAGAATTCAAAATAGCTGTGTTGAGGCCACTCAAAGAAATTCAAGATAACACAGTGAAGGAATTTGAATTCTGTCAGATACATTTAACAAAGATATGGAAATAATTAAGGAGAGTCAAGCAGAAATTCTAGAGCTGAAAATGCAATTGACATACTGAAGAATGCATCTAAGTCGTTTAATAGCAGAAGTTGTCAAGTAGGAGAAAGTTAGTGATCTTGAAGACAGGATATTTGAAAATACACAGTCAGAAAAGACAAAAGAAAAAAGAATAAAAAAACAATGAAGCATGCCTACAGGATCCAGAAAATAGCCTCAAAGGGCAAATCTAAGAGGTATTGGCCTTAAAGAGGAAGTGGAGAAAGAGATAGGGGCAGAAAGTTTATTCAAAGGGATAATAATGGAGAAATTCCCAAACCTAAAGAGAGATATCAATATTTAAGTACAAGAAAGTTATAGAACACCAAGCAGATTTAACCCAAAGAAGACTATTTCAAGGCATTTGATAATGAAACTCCCAAAGGTCAGTGATAAAGAATGGATCCTAAAAGTATCAAGAGAATAGAAATAACATACAATGGTGCTTCGTTGTGGCTGGCAGCAGACTTTTCAGTTGAAACCTTATAGGTCAGGAGTTAGTGTCATGACATATTTAAAGTGCTGGAGGGCAAAAAAAACATTATACCCTAGGATAGTATATCTGGCAAAAATATCCTTCAAACATGAAAGAGAAATAAAGGCTTTCCCAGACAAACAAAAACTGAGACATTTTATTAATGCCAGACCTGTTCTACTAGAAGTGCTAAAGGGAGTACTTTAATTAGAATGAAAAGGATATTAATGAGTAATAAATAATTGCCTGAAGGTACAAAACTCACTTGTAATAGTAGACAGAAAACCACAGAATACTATGGCACGGTAACTGTGGTGTGTAAACGACTCTCATTCTCAGTAGAAAGAATAAATGATAAACCAACAAAAAAGTAGTAACTTCAGCAACTTTTCAAGACATAGTACCATAAGATGTAAATAGAAACAACAAAAAGCTAAAAATCAGGTAGATGAAGTTAAGGCATAGAGTTTTTATTAGTTTTCTTTTTGCTTGTTTGTTAATGAGAATAGTGTTGTTTTCAGATTAAAATAATGGGTTATAGATAGTATTTGCAAGCCTCATTGTGGGCGGCAAGCCACCCAGGTGCTGAGGCAAGAGACCGAGGACACGAGCTGTTCCAGTATAATAAAGAAAAAACATAAAATAAGAACATTTATACTAGATATAGATCATAGATATGATTATATATGACTATCATTAATCATTAGTTTGTAGCAATTACTCTTTATTCCAATATTATAATAATTCTTGCTCTACAATTATAACCTGGGAAAAGCCAGGCCATACAGAGATAAGAGCTGAAGGGACATGGTGAGAAGTGACCAGAAGATAATAGTGTGAGCCCTCTGTCACGCCTGGACAGGGCTACTAGAGGCCTCCTTGGTCTAGCAGTAATGCCAGTGTCTGGAAAGACACCCATTACCAAGCGGACCGTGGTCTAGCGGTAGCATCAGTGCCAAGGAAAAACACCTGCTACTTAGCAGACTGGGAAAGGGAGTCTCCCTTTCCCTCGGGGAGTTTAGAGAAGACTACTCCACCATCTCTTGTGGAGGGCCTGACATCAGTCAGGCCCACCCGCAGTTATCCGGCGGCCTAACCATCTCCCTGTGATGCTGTGCTTCAGTGGTCATGCTCCTGGTCTGCTTTCATGTTCCATCCTGTACACCTGGCTCTGCCTTCTAGATAGCAGTAGCAAAATTAGTGAAAGTGCTAAAAGTCTCTGATATGCAGAAATAATGGCGTAAGCTGTCTTCTCTCTCTCTCTCTGTCCGCCTTGGCTGCCCAACAGGGAAGGGCCCCCTGTCCAATGGACACGTGACCAATGTGACCTTACCTATCATTGGAGATGGCTCACACTCCTTACCCTGCCCCCTTGTCTTGTATCCAATAAATAACAGCGCAGCCTGGGATTTGGAGCCACTACTGGTCTCTGTGTCTTGGTGGTAGTGGTCTCCTGGGCCCAGCTGTCTTTTCTTTTATCTCTTTGTCTTGTGTCTTTTTTTCTACAATCTTTTGTCTCCGCACACGGGGAGAAAAACCCACTGACCCTCTGGGGCTGGTCGCTACAGCTCATGGTAACCTCAAACCCAAAAACATAAAATGGATACACAAAAAAATAAAAAGCAAGAAACTGGATGACATCACCAATGAAAATCACTTTCACTAGAGGAAGACAGGATGGAAATAAAGAAGGAAGAGAATATTGTAAAACAACCAGAGAACAAATAAAGTAGGTGGAGTAAGTTTTTACTCATCAATAACAATGTTGAATATAAATGGACTAAACTCTCCAGTCAGAAGACATAGCATGGCTGAATTGATGAAAAAACAAGACCTGTTAATCTGTTGCCTACAAGAAACACACTTCACCTATGAAGACACACAGACAGAAAATAAAGGGATCGGCCAGATGTGATGGCTCACGCCTGTAATCCAAGCATGTTGGGAGGCTAAGGCAGGCAGATCACCTGAGGTCAGGAGTTCGAGAGCAGCCTGGCCGATGTGGTGAAACCCTGTCTCTAATAAAAATACAAAAATTAGCCAGGCATGGTGGCAGGCACCTGCAACCCCAGCTACCCAGCTGAGGCAGAAGAATCACTTGAACTGGCAGGCAGAGGTTTCAGTAAGCCAAGATCATGCCATTGCACTCCAGCCTGGGTGACAGAGCAAACCTCCATCTCAAAAAAAAAAAAAAAAAGAAAGAAAAGAAAGGGATGGAAAGAGCTATTCTATACCAACAGAAACCAGAAAGGAGCTAGTTATATCAGGCAAAATAGATTTCAAGACAAAAACTATGAAAAGAGACAATGTCACTATATAATGAAAAAGGGGTCAATTCAGCAAGAGGATATAACAATTTAAAATATATATGCACCCAACACTGGAGCACTCAGATATATACAGCAAATATTAGAGATAAAGAGAGAGAGATAGGCTTCAATACAGTAATAGCTGGAGACTTCAACATCCCACTTTCAGTATTGAACATATTTTCCAGACAGAAAATCAACTTGGAAACATCAAACTTCGTTTGCATTATAGACCAAATTGACCTAATAGATAGTTACAGAACATTTAAGTGAAGAGCTACAGAATACACATTCTTTTCCTTAGCACATGCATCATTCTCATGGATAGACCATATGTTAGTTCACAAAACAAGTCTTCAGACATTCAGAGAAATTGAAATAATATTAAGCATCCTTTCTGACCACAATGTAATAAAACTAGAAATTAATAACAAGATGAATTTTGGAAACTGGACAAATACTTGGAAATTAAACAGTATACTCCTGAATAACCAGCTGGTCAATGAAGAAATGAAGAAGAAAATTGAAAAATTTCTTGAAACAAATGATAATGGAAACACAACATAACAAAACCTATGGGATACAGCCAAAGCAGTACTAAGAGGGAATTTTATAACTATAGGTGCCTACATTAAAAAAGAGGAAATACTTCAAATGAACAATCTAACATTGCTTTTAAAGAACTGTGAAAGCAAGAGCAAACCAAATCCAACATTACTAGAGGAAAAGAATAAAGATCTGAATAGAAATAAATGAAATTTTAATAAAAAATACAAACAACCAATAAAACAATATGGCTTTTTGAAAAGTTAAACAAAGTTGACAAAACTTTAGTCAGACTAAGAAAAAAGAGAGGATCCAAATCAGAAATGAAAATGAGACATTACAACTGATACTGCAGAAATTCTAAGGATCATTAATGAGCAACCATATACCAATAAATTGGAAAATGTAAGAGAAATGGGCAAATTTTGAGATACCTACAACCTACAATGTTTGAACCAGGAAGAAATTCAAAACCTGAACAGGCTAGTAATAAGTAATGAGATTGAAGCCATAATAAAAAGTCTCCCAGTGATGAAAAGCCCAAGACCTGATGGCTTTACTGCTGAATTCTAACAAACATTTGAAGATAAACTTAATACCAATCCCACTCAAATTATTCTGAAAAATAGAGGAGGAGGGAATATTCCAAACATTCTCTGAGGTCGTAATTACCCTGATACCAAAACCAGACAAAGACACATCAAAAAAAGAAAGCCACAGTCCAATCTCTCTGATGGATATTGATGCAAACATTCTCAACAAAATACTAAAACCGAGTTCAGCAATCCATTTGAAAGATCATTCATTATGACCAAGTGGGATTTTCCCTGGGATACAGTGATGGCTCAACATACACAAATCAATCAATGTGTACATCATATGAGCAGAACGAAGGATAAAAACCATACAATCATTTCAATTGACGCTGAAAAGATTTGATAAAATTCAGCTTCCCTTCTTGGTAAAAACCCTCACAAAGCTGGATATAGAAGGAACATACCTCAACATAATAAAAGCCAGATATGACTGACCCACAGTTAATATCATACTGAATGGGGAAAAACTGAAATTCTTTCCTCTGAAATCTGGAACATGATAAGGATGCCCACTTTCACCACTGTTATTCAACATAGTACTGTAAGTCCTAGTTAGAGGTCTTCCTTCTTTTTAAAAATATGCTCTTAGTACTATGGATTTACTTTTAAGCATTGATCTAGCTACATCTCACATTTAAAAAAATTATCTAGTTCAAAATGTTGTGTTTCCATTTTTATCTCGTTCAGAAGTTTCCCTTTTAGCTTCCTTTTTAGAACGATGGGTTATTTGGGATTGTTTAAGGATTTTTCAGCTTATCTTTCTGTTACTGATTTCTAGTTTCTTTCTTTTCTATTTTTAGTTATTGTGGTAAGATAACATAATTTTCATGATTTCATCTTTTTTTAATTATTATTATTATTTTTTGAGACAAAGTCTCACTCTGTTGCCCAGGCTGGAGTGCAGTGGCACAATCTCAGCTCACTTCAGCCTCCACCTCCCAGATTCAAGCAATTCTCACGTCTCAGCCTCCCGAGTAGCTGGGATTACAAGTGTGCACCAAAATGCCTGGCTCATTTTTGTATTTTTTTTTTTTAATAGAGGTGGGGTTTCACCATGTTGGCCAGGCTGATCTGGAACTCCTGACCTCAAGTGATCTTCCTGTCTTGGCCTCCCAAAGTGCTGGGATCACAGACGTGAGCCACTGCGCCTGGCCGATTTTATCTCTTATAAGTGTGTTGAGGTCTGTTTGATGGCCCAGAATAGGGTCTATTTTGGTAAATGCATCATGTGCACTTGAAAATATTGTGTATTCTGCCATTGTTGGATGGGGTTTTTAAATAAATGTTAAGTGAAATGGATTAATGTTTAAGAAAAACAGAGGCTGTGTGTGATGGCTCACACCCAGAATCTTAGCACTTTTGAGAGGCTGAGTTAGGCAGATCACTTGAGCCCAGGAATTCAAGACCAGCATAGGCAACATGAAGAGACTCCGTCTCTATAAAAAAATAGAAAAATTAGCCTGGTGTGGTAGTCCCAGCTAGTCAGGAGGCTGAGGTGGGAGTATTGGTTGAGCCCAGGAATTTGAGGCTGCAGTGAGCCATAATTGCACCACTGCACTCCAGCCTGGGCAACAGAGTGAGACCCTATTTCAAAAAAAAAAAAAAAAAAGAAAAAAGAAAACCAGAGCTAGGTAATATTAATAGTAAAGGTGGTAAAAGCAGATGTTACTTAGGAACTAATGCAATAGGGGAAAAGAAACCTCAATATAGAAGTGGGTTGGGTTCCCATGAGCATAGGCAAATGGGACTTTACAGCTAAGGAGCAGGGAGGGGGTCAGTGGATGGAAAGTTACTAACAGGAATCATCAGGGTTAGAGAAGATTGTGGTTAAACCAACTTGACAGGATTCTTGCTGAAGTCAGGCTACAGTGATCAAAGATGGAGGATTCTCAGTAAACTGACTTAGCAGAATTCTTGCTAAAACTGGATGATGCAGAGACAGACACAGAAACCCAAAAGGTTGAGGGCTAGTATAGTAAAGGGTTCAAAGGAGCCTCATTAAAGTTTGGTCAAGGCAAGATCCTTTTTATTTATTTTTTATGTTTTTGAGACAGGATTTTGCTTTGTCACACAGGCTAGAGTACAGTATACTGGTGTGATCACTGTTCACTGCAGCCTCAACCTGGGATCAAGTGATCCTCCCACCTCAGCCTACAGAGTAGCTGGGACCACAGGCGTGTGCCACCATGCCTGCCTAAAATTTTTTTAATGTTTTGTAGGAACGAGGTCTCACTATATTGCCCAGACTGGTCTCGAACTCCTGGGCTCAAACAGTCCCCCTGCGTTGGCCTCCCAAAGTGATGGAATTACAGGTGTGAATCACTGCATCTGACTATGGCAAGGATCTCTGTCACTGAGGTATTAAGTCTTCTGTATCCCTACTGATTTTCTGAGCATGTATTCTGATGACTGAGAGAGGTGTGATGAAATTTCCGACTATAATTATGGATTTGTCTTTCTCTTTTCACCAGTTTTTACCTCAGGTACTTTGATGCTGTTTTGTTAAATGCTTACATATTTAGGGTTGCTTATGTTTAGCTAGTAAGTTGAAACTTTTAATGTACTTATTTAGTTTGAGTAATATCTTTGTTTTATATTGTCTGATATGAATATAGCCACCCCTGCTTTCTTTTGATTAGTATTTGCATGCTTTTTTCATTGTGCTCTATTATCCTAAATAAGACATCGTTAGGAAAGGGTAGTTTTTGGAATGTTTTTACTTTGTGTGCCTTTTGTTATTTTAAATAACATTTTGATTTTAGAATGTATCATTTTATCAAATGTGACCTAAGATCCTTTAATTTTATTTTAAGGTATGAGGATATAAGTGTTCGTCACATAATTAGAAAAACTTTTGTATTATTACGTTACATTCTTGGAGGGAATCTGAAAGGTAATTTCCTGTGGATATTTTTTTGAATTTGAATGCTGAAATGCTGTTTTGCATCGTCTCAAACATGTACATATAATCTAAAAAAAAATTTAAACATCGAAATTCCTTCTTTTTAATGAATTATTTTTTGAAGTATGACAAACTTCTTCTTTAAGCAGCATGTCTTGAAAGTAATTAGTACTTTAATACTTTTATTATCTTTTAAGTTTAATGTAAATTGAAGCCACTTCCTTAATTTATGTCAAACAGCTTATTGCCAGCATGGGAGTGCAGATATTGTGTGTTATAGCTTATGATATCCCAAAGTAGAACATTTTATTCAGTGGCATGAGCTGGCACCATGGGCTAGATTATTCTAATTCATTTGGGTAAGTGAACTGCAGCTTAGAAAGTTCATGTACAAAAATGCACTGTCACAATTTCCTTTTGATTCTTTATAAGTAAGAAACTGGTTTTAGGATTTCAGCATCTTAATTTCTATTGTCTTTATTTCATGCAGGTAATTAATTTTCATCTTATTTTAAATTAAAATCTACCTACATGTCTCTATTTGTTTATTTGCTTATTAATAGAGAGTCTCCCTCTGTCCCCCGGGCTGGAGTGCAGTGGCATGATCATAGCTTACTGCAGCCTCGAACTCCTTGTCTGAAGCAATCCTCCCACCTCAGCCTCCTCAGTAGCTAGGAATACAGGTGTGCACCACCACGCCCAGCTAATTGTTTTAAAAAAGTTTTTTCATAGAGATGGGGTCTTGCTGTGTTGCCTAAGCCGTACCGACACATATTTAGATGCCTATGCTTTGTTTGTTAATTTTTTTTTTTTTAGAATTAAAATCTCATTTGAAAATATTTTGTCTCATGATTACTAACAGGTTGGTTCTGGAAGCTCAGGTTCTACATGTAAATGTACCTGCCTTAGTTCATCTTGTGTTGCTATAAGAGAATCTCACGGTTTGGGTAACTGATCATGAGCAGAAACTTATTTGACTTATGGTTCTGGAGACTGGAAAGTCCAAGAGCATAGTGCTGGCATCTGGCAAGGGCCTTTGTGCTTGTCATCTCATGGCAACAGGTGGAAAGATGAGAACAAGAGCAGGCCCATTGAACAAAACTACTCTTGTGATAATGTTATTAATCCATTCATGAGGGTGGAACCCTCATGACCTAATCACCTTTTAACAGTCCCACCTGTTAATACTGTCACGTGGTGTGTTAGTCCGTTCTCACATTGCTATAAAGAGGTACCTGAGACTGGATAATTTATGAAGAAAAGAGGTTTAATTGACTCACAGTTCCAAAGGCTGTACAGGAAGCATGGCTGGGGAGACTTCAGGAAACCAACAGTTATGGTAGAAGGTGAAGGGGAAGCAGGCACATCTTCACATTGTGGAGCAAGAGAGAGAGAGAGGAAAGGGTGAAGTGCTATACACTTTAAAACAACCAGATCTCGTGAGAACTCTCTCTCATGAGAACAGCAAATGGGAAGTCTGCTTCCATGAACTAATTACCTTCCACAAGGACCCTCCTCCAACACTGAGGATTACAGTTGCACGTAAGATTTGGGTGGTGATACAGAACCAAACCATATCACATGGCAGTTGAATTTGAATATGAGTTTTGGAGGGGACATTCAAACCATGGCATTTTGCTCCTCATTCCACAAAACTCATGTTCTTCTCATAAACAGCAGCCCCAAAAGTTGTTCCAGCATAAACTCAAAAGTCCAAACTCCAGTCTTATTGAAATCAAATAGAAAAATAAATAAATAAATAAATAAATAAACAAACAAATCAGATACAGTTGAAACTCAAGGTGCTATCATCCCAAGACAGATTCCTCTCCCACTGTGAGTCTGTGAAATTAACAAGCTATATGCTTTTTAAATACAAGTGGCAAAGGTATAGGAGAGACATTACTGTTACAAAACAGAGAAATAGATAAGAAGAAAGGGATAACTGGTCCCAATTAAGTCCAAAACCTAACAGCGAAAACATTGCTTTTTTTTTTTTTTTGAGATTGGGTCTCGCTCTGTCTCCCAGGTGGCTGGAGTGCGGTGGCACAATCACAACTCACTGCAGCCTGGACCTCCTGGGCTCAAGTGATCCTCCCACCTCAGCCTCCTGAGTAGCTGGGACTACAGGCATGCATCAACACACCTGGCTTTTTTTTTTTTTTTTTAACTTATTATAGAGGTTATAGCTCTCTATGTTGCCCAGATTGGTTGAAAGTAACCATGCAGCTCCTTCAGTATTTTGCTTAGAAATTTCTTCTGCCAGATATCTTAGTGCATTGAGCTTAAATTCTGCCTTCCATAAAGCCTTTTGGGCATGGACATAATTAAACCAAGTTCTTTGCAACTTTATAACAAGGATTGCCTTTACTCAAGTTTCCAATACCTTGTTCTTCATTTCTATCTGAGACCTCATCAGAATAGCCTTTACTGTCCATATTTCTACCAAGATTCTAATCATGATCTCTTAAGTTATTTGTAAGAAGTTTCAAACTTGGCCTACAGCTCATCTTCTGAGCCCTTAACAGAATTGTCCTAAGCTTTCCATTTATGTCAATCTAAGCTTTTTCTAGCCTGTTCCTCCAAATATTTCCAGCCTCTACCCATTACCTAGTTCCAAAACTACGTTCAGATATTCAGATATTTGTTATATAGCAACAGCCCTACTCCTTGGTATTGTGCTACTATAACAAATACCACAGGCTGGGTAATTTATAAAGAGAGGGTCTTCATCTATGGTGGAAGGTAGAAGGTGGAAAGGCAAGCAAGGGTGAAAGTGAGACAGAGAGGGCCACACTTACTTTTTTTTCCCTTTGAGACAGAGTCTCGCTCTGTTGCCCAGGCTGGAGTGCAGTAATGTGATCTCAGCTTACCGCAAACTCCACCTCCTGGGTTCAAGCGATTCTCCTGCCTCAGTCTCCCAAGTAGCTGGGATTACAAGCATGCGCCACCACACCTGGCTGGTTTTTCTATTTTTTGTAGACCTGGGGTTTTACCATGTTGGCCGGGCTGGTCTTGAACTCCTGACCTTGAGAGATCCACCCACCTCGGCCTCCCAAAGTACTGGGATTACAGGCATGAGCCACCGTGCCTGGCCTGGTGTTTACTTAGTTTTGTGGTAGATATTAATATTTAATATTTAAAAATATAATATTTTGTTTATGGGTTTGGGTCTCCTATCCTGGTTGCTCTGTATAGACATATGAGGAGTTTCAAAAACTATACTGCCTCTACCACAATATTTTTCAGGATCCTCCTGGGTTTTTTGTTTGTTTGTTTGTTTTGAGATGGAGTGTCACTCTCATTGCCCAGGCTGGAGTGCAATGGCGCGATCTCGGCTCACTGCAACCTCTGTCTCCTGGGTTCAAGCGATTTTCCTGCCTCAGCCTGCCAAGTAGCTGGGATTACAGGCATGTACCACCACGCCCGGCTAATTTTTTGTATTTTTAGTAGAGATGGGGTTTCACCATGGCCAGGCTGGTCTTGAACTCCTGACCTCAGGAGATCTGCCCACCTCGGTCCCCCAGAGTGCTGGGATTACAGGCGTGAGCCGCCCTGCCTGGCCCCTCCTGGGTGTTTTTTACAAAGTTAAATTTATTAAATTTAAAGGGCTGTCTTTGAAATTATGTACTGCTAAAATGTTCTTTAATTTAGGAGAGGCTGGTTTTTACAGATGGTAACTGCTCCTTCTTTTTAAAGTCCTTCCTTTATGAAAAATACAAACTTGGCAACAGTTTTATTTTGGAGATTTTACTAGGTTGTGAAATCTAGCATTTTGATGACCATTTATCTCCTCAGTTCCCTAAAGCAGGAAAAATAAGTGACTTCTCAAAGGTTACAGTGTTAATAAATGGCAGCACCTGTATCTAAATATTTATTTTATGATTCTACATGAATCATCTCTGAACTGGTTATAGGAAGTGACTGAGTGAAAGAGAACTCTGTTTAGAAAGTGTTTTACCAGGCAGGTGTGGTGGCTCATGTCTGTAATCCCGGCACTTTGCGAGGCTGAGGTGGGAGGATTGCTTGAACCCAGCAGTTTGAGACCAGCCTGGGCAACATAGCAAGACCCCATCTTTACCAAAAATTTAAAAAGTAGTTGGGTGTATTAGTCCACTTTCATGCTGCTGATAAAGACATACCCATGACCAGGCAATTTACAAAAGAAAGAGGTTTAGTGAACTCACAGTTCCATGAGGATGGAGAGGCCTCACAATCGTGGTGGAAGGTGAAAGGCACATCTCACATGGTGGCAGACAAGGGAAGACAGTGAGAGCCAAGTGAAAGGGATTTCCCCTTATAGAACCATCAGATCTTGTGAGACTTATTCACTACAACTGGAACAGTATGGGGGAAACCACCCCCATGATTCAATTATCTCCCATTGAGTCCCTCCTACAACATGAGGGAATTATGGGAGTTATAATCCAAGATGACATTTGGGTGGGGACACATCCAAACCATATCGTTCCACCCCGGCCCCTCCCAAATCTCATGTTCTCACATTTCAAAACCAAGCATGCCTTCTCAACAGTCCCCCAAAGCCTTAACTCATTTCATCATTAACTCAAATGTCCACAGTCCAAAGCCTTAACTGTTACAAGGAAAGTCCCTTCTGCCTATGAGCCTGTAAAATCGAAAGCAAATTAGTTATTTTCTAGATATAAAGGGGGTATAGGCATTGGGCAAATACAGCTATTCCAAAGGGGAGAAATTGGCCAAAACAAAGGAGCTACAGGCCCCATGCAAGCCCAAAATCCAGTGGGGCAGTCAAATATTAAAGTTCCAGAATGATCTCCTTTGACTCCATGTCTCACATCCAGGTCACGCTGATGCAAGAGGTGGGTTCCCATGGTCTTGGGCAGCTCTGCCCTTGTGTTCTTGCAGGGTACAGCCTCCCTCCCAGCTGCTTTCACAGGCTGGCATTGAGTGTCTGCAGCTTTTCCAGGCACATGGTGCAAGCTGTCAGTACTTACACCATTTTAGGGTCTAGAAGATGGTGGCCCTTTTCTCACAGCTCCACAAGGTGGTGCCCCAGTAGGAACTTTGTGTGGGGGCTCTGACCCCACATTTCCCTTCTGCACTGCCCTAGCAGAGGTTCTCCATGAGGGCCCCACCCTGCCGCAAACTTCTGCCTGGACATCCAGGCATTTCCGTACATCCTCTGAAATCTAGGCAGAGGTTCCCAAACCCCAATACTTGACTTCTATGCACTTGCAGGCTCAACACCACATGGAAGCTGCCAAGGTTTGAGGCTTGCACCCTCTGAAGCCATGGCCTGAGCTCTATGGTGGCCCCTTTCAGCCATGGCTGGAGCAACTGGGACACAGGGCACCAAGTCCCTAGGCTGCACACAGCACAGGACCCCTGTGGCTGACCCACTTTTTCCTCATAGGCCTCCGGGTCTGCAGTGGGAGCAGCTGCTGTGAAGACCTCTGACATACCCTGGAGACATTTTCCCCATTGTCTTGGGGATTAATATTTGGCTCCTCATTACTTATGCAAATTTATGCAGTCGGCTTGAATTTCTCCTCAGAAAATGGGATTTTCTTTTCTATCATGTGGTCAGGCGGCAAATTGTCTGAACTTTTATGCTCTGCTTCCCTTATAAAACTGAATGCCTTTAACAGCACCCAAGTCACCTCTCGAATGCTTTGCTGTTGAGAAATTTCTTCCGCCAGACACCCTAAATCATCTCTCTCAAGTTCAAAGTTCCACAAATCTCTAGGGAGTGGCAAAATGCCTCTAGCCTCTTGCTAAAACATAACAAGAGTCACCTTTATTCCAGTTCCCAACAAGTTTCTCATTTCCATCTGAGACCACCTAAGCCTGGACTTTATTGTCCATATTGCTGTCAGCATTTTGGGCAAAGCCATTCAACAAGTCTCTAGGAAGCTCAAAACTTTCCCACATTTTCCTGTCTTCTTCTGACCCCTGCAAACTGTTCCAACCCCTGAGTATTACCCAGTTCCAAAGTTGATTCCACATTTTTGGGTATCCACAGCAGCACCCCACTCTGCTGGTAGTAATTTGCTGTATTAGTCTGCTTTCATGCTGCTGATAAAGGCACACCCAAGACTGGGCAATTTACAAAAGAAAGAGGTTTAATGGATTCACAGTTCCATGTGGTGGACTCACAGTTCTACGTGGATGGAGAGGCCTCACAATCATGGTAGAAGATGAAAGGCACGTCTCACAAGGCAGCAGACAAGAGAAGACAGTGAGAGCCAAGCAATAGGGGTTCCCCCTTATAGAACCATCAGATCTCATGAGACTTATTCACTACCACGAGAACAGTATGGGGGAAACCACCCCCACGATTCGATTTTCTCCCACTGGGTCCCTCCCACAACATGAGGGAATTATCGGAGCTACAATTCAAGATGACTTTTGGGTGGGGACACAGCAAAACCATATCACTGGGTGTGGTGGTGCATGCATGCCTTTAGTCCCAGTAACTCAGGAGGCTGAGATGGGAGGATTGCTTGAGCCTGGGAGTTCAAGACTGCAGTGAGCCATGGTTGCACTACTGCACACCAGCCTGGGCAGTGGAGTGAGATCCTATTTCAAAAAAAAAGGGAAAGTGTTTTACCTTTCAGCTAACATGCTGGCTTAGGACTCCTTTCTGGGTAGTGTGAGAAATACTCCTTGGGAGTTTGGAGATAAGATTTTTGGCAGCTTCCTGATTATTAAGAATTCAGTGTCCAGTTAATTCTTGACTGTGATGCTGCCTCTTTTGAATTTGTTTTGTAAGAAGCTGAAAATGTCTCTGAATATATGAGGTGCTGTGAGAGCTAGGGAACTCATAAGGCATATGTATTAGTTTCCTACTGCTGCTGTAACAGCTGTAAAAAATCACTAATTGGGTGGCTTAAAACAACACAAATTTATTATCTTACGGTTCTGGAGGTCAGTAATGTGAAATAATTTTCACTGGGCTAAAATGAAAATGGCAGTAGGGCTGGGGATTTTTAGCATCTCTTAGGGAGAATCTATTTCTTGCCTTTTCCTGCTTCTTAGAGACTGCTTGCTGTTCAAATGAAATGGTGCATTTCCCCCAAAGAGGTGATCAATTAACACTGTATAGTCTATTCATGTATTCAATAATTTGAATTTTTTTAAGTGTAGTTAATTATTTAACCTATACAGAGTCATTGTATACTATCTCTCCTCATATCTGGGGTTTGGAAATGGTGGTGCAGCAGAACAGAGACACATCCAAGGTCTAAAACATGAAGTGTGTGGTGTGTGTGTTTGTGTGTGTGTATGTGTGTGTGTATTTTCACAAGTGGAAGTGGGGTGAGCTGGAGGTTATTGAGTCTCAGGCACCACAGAATCACTGTTGACATTTGTTGTTATTGCAACAAGGAACTCCTTTAGTCAGCATTGAGGGAAGTAGGCTGGCAATCTCTTTAAGTTGTGTACCAGGATAGGAGAGACTATCTTGCACTTATAACACCCAAATAATTTTTGGTGTTTCACTCATACAGAGTTTGGCTTAGAGATTAAAGCTCCTTCTATCTTGTGATGCCACCATCGCAAGGTTCTCAAGGTTGTTGTGGGAGAAGAGAAGGCTAAAGGAGCTCATAGAATGCCTTTAATGGTAAGTCCTGAAATTCGCTTGTATCACATCTGCCCACACTACTTTGTCTACAATTCAAGTGACCAAAATATAAATAAGGCTAGGAAATATGATTTTCCTGCACATTTAATAGGAACTGCTATGGTTATAATCCAACTAGGATGGGGATTTGGAAAGGGATAGAGTAGAAGAGGAAATGATGGTTAGATCTCATCTCTTTTCATTACTCCAGCAAGATTTTTACCCTGCCTTGACAGTACCATTTGGCACTTGCTGCTTGGGCTATTGCTGTGGATTTCTGTATTGGTGGGACAGACAATGATTGACCTAAGGCAACATCAGGGACTTAAGAACCATACACATTACACATTTTTCTCTCACCTATTCTTTCAGCATCACCAGTGTCTACCTTTCACCTGAGGTGGCCCCCAACCCTATTTCAAGACAGTTGACACAGATTTCTTGAAGTTTTTGGTTGGTTCCTCAGGTCAATGATTTCTTTCTTTTCTTTTTTTTTTTTTTTTTTTTTAGTAGTTCCAGGTGGATTTTGGGGAAGAGAACTGACAGCCTTTTGCAGTTCATTGTCTTAAGGGGAACTGGACACCTTCCTGACTTCTGATTAAAACATTTTTAGGACAAAAACTCCAACCTTACCTTACCTAAAAAACCGTTTAGTTTCTTGTCCTCGTAAATAGAACAAACAGTTTATTGCTAGGGTCTAGGGATGATGGTAGTGACATGATGGCACCATGACCCAGAGAATAGCAGAAAACTTTGTATTGGGTTACCTATGAAATGTAGTTCTTTCTTTAGGAAGCAAATTATCTTTCTTTCAACCACTGATACTATCTTTATCTTCTCTCTTCAGGTTGGGTTAAAGGTCTGAAACAATAATTAAAAAATCAACTTATCAAAAATACTTTGCTTCACATTTTTCGTGTGTAATTAGTGTTGCAAGGCACCCAAAAGAAGAAATACTGAAAACAATTTGTGGCCAGGCACAGTGGCTCATACTTGTAATCCCAGCACTTTGGGAGGACAAGGCGGGAGAATTGCTTGAGGCCAGGAGTTTGAGACCAGCCTTGTCAGCATAGTGAGACCCTGTCTCTAAATAAATGAATAGATTTGATTTGGTAAAATAAGTATCCTGACCAATAAAGAAAAGTTAATAGATTGAAAATGGTAAAGTTTCTAAAATAAGTCAACAATTTCATCAAACATCTTTACTGTATATAGCTTATTTAAACATATATATACTTTTCTAGGTATTGTGCAAAACAGGCACTAGAGACATGAATGAGTGCATTGTTAAATTTATAAATATTATTAAAAGATTAATTTGTGTGTGTATGTGTTTGAGACGGGGTCTCACTCTGTTGCCCAGGCTAGACTGCAGTGGTGTGATCTCAGCTCACTGTAACCTCCTCCCTGGCTCAAGTGATCTCTTACTGCAGCCCCCAAGTAGCTGGGACTACATGCGTGTGCTACCACACCCAGCTAGTATTTTTTGTAGAGACGAGATTTTGCCATATTGCTTATGCTGGTCTCAAACTCCTGGATTCAAGTGATCTATCTGCCTTTGGCCTCCTAGAGTGCTGGGATTACAGGTGTGAGCCACTGCACCCAGCCAAGCCCATTATTCATTTTTGCCACTAAGACTAAACTAACCAAAAAACAAAACAAAACCCAAAAAGCCCATTGGTTATATGAATTAACATTACAGAGTAGCAGACCAATTAACATTATTAAATTAAGTCAACAACATGAAGAGATATATACTTAAATTCCATATTGAGTTTATGCAGCGATGTAGAAATAAAACTATTAGGAGGAAAAATCTGTTACGGTCACTACTGATTATATACCTCTTTATGCTGGTGATTGATTTTAGGGGCTTTTATTAAATTAAATTTACATACTTTTTGTCATGATTCAAAAATGGGGTTTGACTCAAAGTTTAGTTACATTAAGGATTAAAATATTTTTACATTAAAACTATATATGTTACAAAAAGACTGCATGGTCTCATTTATATGTAGAATCTAAAAAAGTTGGATTTAGAAATAGGAAGATGATGGTTATCAGGGGCTAAAGGTTGGGGATGGGAGTGATTGGGGAGATGTTGGTCAAAGGAGACAAAATTTCGGTTTGACAGGAGGAATAAGTTCAAGAGAGCTATTGTAAAACATGGTGACTACAGTTAATAACAATGTATTATATTCTTAAAAATTGCTAAGAGAGTAGATTTTGTGTTTTCACCACAAAAAAGACATGTGAGATAATGCATATGTTAATTAGCTTGATGCACCCATTCCACAATGTATATTTCAAAACAACATGTTGTGCATAAATATGTACAATTGTGACTTGTCAAGATACATAAATATGCATTTAAAAATCATTATTAAGAGGTGAATTTTGATAATCTTAAACCTGCTCTAACAGGACTAAAAATTTTCACCGAATTTTTAAGAAATAAAAAAAGTTTTGCTATGTTATTTATTAATAGGAAAAGGTCAACAAAGTGTTGAGAAACGCTGCTTCTGCTTTTGTATATGTCTCTAGCTGTTTGTTATTGTGACCAGTGGAACTTTGAAGAGAGTTTTACAGTGATGCTTGCAGGGTGTTGCTCCATATCTCTATCTTGTGGAGTAGCTTTGTATATTTTATCATCTTCCTTAAAGGGACAGCGTGAATACTAAGTTTTTCCTTGGAGAAATCAGCTGCCACTTTTCTTTTTCCTATGGGAAAATTTTATAAGATGTTGAAGAAATCCCAAGTATTCATAAATATTACTTATCAAATGAGAAATTTTGGTCAGAATCTTGGTTAGGAAAAATGTGGGTAATTACATGTTATAGATGAAAAGCTGGGTTTTCTAAAAGTCAGTTTTGTTAGGTTTACTGCAAAATTAATAAAAAGGACTGATATATAAGCTTTGCAAAGTGAGTCTATTTCTCCAGTAGGTGGCGCTGTATACTAATGATATTGTGCTACTGCATGGCAAACAAGGGAATGCAGCCGATGAGATAATAATATTAAACTTAAGTAAACCAATATGTAGTACAATTCAATATTTTACCTATTCATTATGTAACTAGAGGCAAAATATAATTTTATTCCATATATCTCTATCTATCTATCTATATGTTATTTTCCGGTTATCTGTGGAGAATGTGTACAGTTGATTGGTGGAGTTAGTGAGTTTTTATTGGTCTGTCCTTACACTTTGAGTCAGTACTCTAATGACCAAGAAAATGTAAAAGATTTTATTAGTATTATTATTATTATTTTTGAGACAAGGTCTTGCTGTATCGCCCAGGCTGGAGTGCAGTGGTGTGATCACTGCAGCCTCAAACTCCTGGTTTCAAGCGATCCTCCCACCTTAGCCTCTGGAGTAATTAGGACTACAGGCACTCACCACCATGCCCAGCTAATGTTTTTATTTTTCATAGAGATGGATTCTCCCTGTGTTTCCCAGGCTGGTCTCAAACTCCTGGCCTCAAGCAGGACTCCTGCTTTGGCCTTCCAAAGTGCTGGGATTACAGGCATGAGCCACTGTGCCCAGCTAATATTTTCAATATACAGTTGAAATTATTTTAAATGGCTTGCACTCAATGATTTGCCAAAATAATGGAAGTTCTGCATTCCCACTGATATTAACATACTGACTGATTTCTATGGTGTGCTTGATACTAAGGCTAATAGATGAATGTCTTGTAGATACTTCTGCATTTACCAGTTGATTTCTCTACTTAAAAAGTAGTATCAGGTGTGTTTGTTCTCAAACCTGTTTATGCTAATTGTATCTGTGATCATAATTATATAATTATATTAAAGTAAGCTAATGGAAATTTCATTATAAAAAGCATTCTCTCTAGGAAAACTAAGATGAATGTTTTGGAACAATCAGTAAAGGTTAATCACTAAAAAAAAATTACTATCAAAGAGGTGTGAGAAAACTGAATAAAAGCCCTACAGGCCGGGAGTAGTGGCTCGCACCTGTTATCCTAGCACTTTAGGAGGCTGAGGTGGGAGCCTCGTTTGAGGCCAGGAGTTAAAGAACAGCCTGGGCAACATAGGGAGATCGTATCTCTACAAAAAATTTTACAAAAGTAGCCGGATATGGTGGTATGTGCCTGTAGTCTAAGCTACTCAGGAGGCTGAGGTGGGAGGATCACTTGAGCCCAGGAATTTGAGGCTGCAGTGAGCTATGACCACACCACTGCACTCCAGCCTGGATGACAGAGCCAAACACTGTCTCTAAAAAAAATTAAAATAAAAAATAAAAAATATTTTATTATTGTTTGGCATATAAATCATGCTTGACTTCTGCAGTGTACCTAATGTATACTGTTTTATAGTATACAATGTTATAAAGACACACTGTGAATACAAGTAATACCTAGAAAATAGAAGTTATAAAAGAAGTTACTAATTGAAGAATTATCACTCAGCTAATAAATTTTATACATCAGGGTTTATAAGGAGTTTTGGTTAAGGTATAGATCAGCTTAACTGTTTTCTTCACAGTGTACTCTCTGTCCCTTATTAGTATCTTGCTACACATGTTCAGTCATCTTTTTATAATTTGTCTCACATTTTTTCTCAATATTTTATATAAAAGGAGAAACATACTAGTATTCCAATGATCACCAGGACTTGAGCCATCCAATGGGAAAATGGAAATTGCAACTATATCTCTTCACAAGTCTTCTAATGTCATCTTACCCTTCTGACTATTCTTTTTCCTCTTCTGTCAACACATACTTGTACCTTTTAATATCCTCTTACCATTTTGACTATTATTTGTTCTTCTCTTTCAGCAATACTTGTACCTTTTTATAGTATTGATGGAGGCATTTACTTGCATGTGTCACTTTTCTAAGACCAAATTCACTTTTTTTCCTCAATTTTTCATAAGTATCATGTCAGTTGGGGCCTTTAAATCAGCCTGCCAACATATTTTCTAATTCTGGAGATCAAGCAAATTTGATTTTCATTTACTTCTTTTAATGAACCTGCAATCCCATTGCTATATCATGCTGCCAAGGCAGAAAGATTAAAATCTGGCCACTCTAAAATTCCCAGATTATACAGTGATTAAACTATTCAGTAGTCATCCTAAGTGAGTATATAAGTCTTCTCCAGTGTAGCTGAGGTGTATACTGTTTCATCAGCTTAGTGAGGCATCCACTCCATGCATGTATGGCTTCATCTTTTTAAATTGATGCCAGTCTTGACCAGTCTTTTGGAAGAGAGCACCCTCTAGTGTCACTATTTGGGGTAACACGTGTATTTTATTGTGATGAAATGCTACTGAAAACACCATTTGGGCTTGATTCAGTAATTCAATACTCCCTAAAATTTCCAGTCATTCTTTGATTGTTGGGGCCAGTGTTTGTAATACAGACACTACAAAGGTTAGGTTAACATCAGGTACTTGTGGCCTGAGTGCAATTTAAATATAAATTGGCCCCAAGAAGAAGTCAGTTGGCTGTATTTAACTTTCATATTTTTTCAGAAACCTTTAACTTTTTCAAAAAGTTTATTCTATATGTGGAGGCTTCAAAAAGTTTATGGAAAAATGGAATTAAAAGATAAAAAATATAAACTTTATTTCTCAACATAAGTGTCATCAAGTTCAGGACACTTTTGTTGGTAATGATACCAGCCATTTAGTCCATCCCTAAAGAACTGAGGGTCCTAGGAATTTAACCATGTCAGTGCGGTCATTTTTACATCATTAGCTGACGAAAAATGAATGCCTTTTACAGATTTTTTAAGATTAGGAAACACAAAGAAGTCAGAAGGAGCCAAATCAGGACTATAAGGTGAATACTTAATGATTTCCCATCAGAACTCTCACAAAATTGCCCTTGTTTGATGAGAGGAATGAGCAGGAGCATTGCTGTGGGGGAGGAGGCCTCTCTGGTGAAGCTTTTCTAGGCATTTTTCTGCTAAAGCTTTAGCTAACTTTCTCAAAACACTTTCATAATAAGCAGATGTTATCATTCTTTGGCCTTCTAGAAAGTCAACAATCAAAATGCCTCGAACATCTTAAAAAACTGTTGCCATGGCCTTTGCTCTTGACCAGTCCACTTTTGCTTTGACTGGACCACTTTCACTTTTTGGTAGCCATTGCTTTGGTTGGACTTGGTCTTCAGGATCATACTGGTATAAAACCATGTTTATCTCTGTTACAGTCTTCAAAGAAATGCTTCAGGATCTTGATCCTACTTATTTAAAATTTCCATTGAAAGCTCTGCTGTTGTCTGCAGCTGATCTGGGTACAATGGTTTTGGCACCCATCGGGTAGAAAGTTTGCTCAGGTTTATTCTTCAATCAGAATTGTGTAAGCTGATTCCATTGAGACGTCTGTGGTGTTAGTTATTGTTTCTGCTGTTAATCATTGGTCCTGTTCAGTTAGGGCATGGTCACGACAATTTTTTTTTTTCTTGAAAATAGAGGTGAACAATCTGCTGCAGTGAGCTTCATCTTCAATATTGTCTGGTCCCTTCTTTTTTTCTTTTCTTTTCTTTTCTTTTTTTTTTTTTCAGGTGGGATCTTGCTGTATTGCCCTGGCTGGCCTCGAACTCCTAGGCTCAAGTGATCCACCCACCTTGGCATCTCAACGTGCTGGTATTACAGGCATGAGCCACCATGCTTTGCCTTAATTTTTAATTTTTAAATTTTTTGTAGAGATGAGGTCTGGCTATGTTACCCAGGCAGCTCTTTAACTCCTGGCCTCAAGTAATTCTCCTGTCTTAGCCTCCCAGAGTGCTGGTATTACAGGCATGAGGCACCACACCTGGACCCAAACCTTTAATTTAATTCCTGACAGTTGCTTTTGTTAAAGTGTTAGCAAAGCCTAAAATATAGTAGGCTTCCATTCTAGTTACTACTCATTTATTGGTCCCTGCAGTACTGATAGAGGTCTAATGTGGTCCACTTAGCTGAATTCTTTTTTTTTTTTGAAACGGAGTCTCACTCTGTCACCCAGGCTGGAGTGTAGCGGCACGATCTCGACTCCATGCAAACTCCGCCTCATGGGTTCAGGCCATTCTCCTGCCTCAGCCTCCCGAGTAGCTGGGACTGCAGGCGCCCACCACCACGTACGGCTAATTTTTTTTTTTTTTTTTTTTTTGTATTTTTCATAGAGACAGGGTTTCACCGTGTTAGCCAGGATGGTCTTGATCTCCTGACCTTGTGATCCGCCTGCCTTGGCCTCCCAAAGTGCTGGGATTACAGGCGTGAGCCATTGTGCCCAGCCAGCTGAATTCTTAAAGCCTATGTTCCCAAACTTTTTTTCATGATGCCCTTAGTGTCTTAATATTTTTATGCTGCTTCTGAGCTATTGTTCTCTCTTGTTCCATACTGATTTTTGCATGCTACTTGCTTTTTATCCCAGTAAGTGCTGTAAATCCAGATTTGTAAAGATATGAATTCATTGAATACAATGTAGTGAGATCTAATGATCCAACAGTGAACCTTCTTGAACTAGTAGTTCACATAGTGTTCAACAGATGTCATTGCTTCTCTTGAAAATTTAAAATATTTAATCCCTCTGTGTTTGCTGCAGTGTTAGGGAATCCTTGACATACAGGTCAAGAACCATAGGTTTGAGCCCATCTTCAAGGAATTACTATTGACTTTGTATGGGTGTGTGGTATAGTTAGACTCTAATTCTTATAATAATAGTCCTCTAACTGTTAGAGGACTATTTATTAATCACAGGTAGGATTCATTCTTGTTTGTGTGTATGTGTATCATAAAATGTACATAACATAAATTTTACCGTCTTAAGTGGATAGTTCAGTGGCATTAAGTAGATTCACAATGTTGTAGAAACGTTACTGTTAGTAACTTCCAGAACTTTTCATCATCTCAAGCAGAAACTCTGTACCCATTAAGCAGTATCTCCATATTGCCCCTCCCCTGGCTCCTGATAACCTCTATTCTACTTTCTATCTCTATGAATCTGCCTATTCTAGGGACCTCATATAAGTGGAATCATAAAGTAGTTGTCCTTTTGTATCATTTTACGTTCCTACCAGCAATACACAAGGGTTCCAGTTTCTCCATGACCTTACCAATGCTTAGTATTTTCAATTTTTTTTTTTTTTTGAGACGAACTCTTGCTCTGTCACCTAGGCTAGAGTGCAGTGGCACGATCTCGGCTCACTGCAACCTCCGCCTCCCGGGTTCAAATGATTCTCCTGTCTCAGCCTCCTGAGTAGCTGGGATTACAGGCGCATGCCACCATGCCCAGCTAATTTTTGTATTTTAGTAGAGACAGGGTTTCACTGTGTTGCTTAGGCTGGTCTCGAACTCCTGAGCTCAGGCAATCCACCCACCTTGGCCTCCCAAACTGCTAGGATTACAGACACTAGGATTACGCGCCTGGCCTCAATTTTTTGATAATAGTCATCTTGCTGGGTATGAGTCATATGTCATTGTGGTTTTAACATAGATTTCTCTAATAGCTCATGATGTTGAGCATCTTTTCATGTGTGTATTAGCCATTTGTATGTCTTCTTTGGAGAAATGTCTAATCAAGCCCCCCTCCCACTTTTTTTGTCTATTGAAGGCTGTAGTAGTGTGTTTCTTTTGAGGCTTTTCTAAATTATTATTATTATTATTTTTGAGACCCTTGTCGCCCAGGCTGGAGTGCATTGGTGCAATCTCGGCTCACTGCAGCCTCTGCCTCCCGGGTTCAAGCGATTCTCCTGCCTCAGCCTCCTGAGTAGCTGGGACTACAGGCATGCCCCACCATGCTTGGCTAATTTTTTGTATTTTTAGTAGAGACGGGGTTTCTCTATGTTGGGCAGGCTGGTCTTGAACTCCTGACCTCAGGTGATCTATCTGCCTCGGCCTCCCAAAGTGCTGGGATCACAGGTGTGAGCTACCACGCCTGGCCTCCAAATTATTTGTGCACTCTGTTCCTTGTTGTGTGTGATCAGTGACAGCTGTTCCTTTAGCTCATGTTCAGCTAATGTGTTTATAGAGTTTTTCTTGAATGCCAAGGCCTCTTTCAGTCTTTGCAAATTGCTTTGTGCTGGGACACTCCTTTAGCCCTTAGTTAGGCTTAATCTGATCCAGGGGATCATCCTGAGGTGAAAGTTTAAGATCTCAGGTCTTTTCTGGGAATGCCTCTTGCCTGGGCATGTGCGGGCTTTCTAGATTCCCTGGTATACTTGGCTGCTTGTCATGTGGTCACGTGTTAATTTCCCAGAAAGTCTTGCTCCAGCTTCTCTTTCAGGCCATAGATGGTCTGTCATATGTCTTCCCCAGTCATTTCTTGGCCTGGGTCTCTGTGGATCTGTTGTCACTTTGCAGCCTGTACAAGCAGTACCTGCCACTTTTCCTACCTGAGTTCTGAGCTAGGTGAAACAGAGGAGTGCCTTGTGTCAGTCCTTAAATATCCCCTAGACAGGTCAGCACAGACATGCACAACAATTTGTCTATCAGATCTACTCTGCTCCCTCTAGTTAGAGGGAGGGAACTGCTTCAAGTACAAGACTCCCACTGCACCAGGTAGGGGATGGGGGAAGAGCAAGTGAATAAAGCCATAT
Organism: Homo sapiens; assembly: GCF_000001405.40. Classification (NCBI taxonomy): domain Eukaryota; kingdom Metazoa; phylum Chordata; class Mammalia; order Primates; family Hominidae; genus Homo; species Homo sapiens. The sequence goes on from NC_000014.9 coordinate 37,237,393, forward strand.
AATACTGTGCTATCATTTTGAAGATGACTTTTTCTTGATTTGATGTTTTTTTTTGGTTGCTGTAAACCTTTGACTATTTTCTATAGCTCCAGCCAGCAAAGTTGGTTCAGACAGTTTCTGCTTTGGTTTTTTAAAAAATTCTCTCTGGGATAACAAGAGCATACATTTTTCTAGTCCACTATTTTGCTAACATCTCCCCCTTTGACTTTTTAAAAAAAGTTTTATTGTTGTTGTTTGTAGAGGCTGGGTCTTGTGTTGCTCAGGCTGGTCTTCAACTCCTGACCTTAAATGATCATGCCACCTTGAAGTTTTGATCTTAAGTAGTTAACTTTTGCACCCAACTTGGTGGGTGGTTTGTGTCTGGCTAAGACACTGTGCAGGTGCTCAGAGATATGTGATTGCTGTTTAAGGAAGGAGAGAATCTGTGTAGTTGAACTCTAACCCTTGAGCCAGTTTGGTCTCCATATTCTCGTGGACTGCTTGGTTAAGTCCTGCTCACTGACTGTTATGGTTTGTTTTGGTATGTGAACATTTCCCTTTCTTCGTTTTGAGCTTGTTTTTTTTGAAATTTTGAAATTTTTTTCTTCTCTTAGACACAGAGTCTCAGTCTATTACCCAGGCTGGAGTACAATAGCGCGATCATAGCTCATTGTAACCTTGAACTCTTGGACTCAAGTGATCCTCCTTCCTTGGTCGCCAAAGCAGCTGAGAGTTACAGGCAAACACTATCTTCTCCCTTCTGTGAAATAATTATTCAATGAATTTTACAAGAAAGTAAATGCTGTATATTCTCTTTTATTTTGCAATACATGTTTTAACTGTTTGTTATAAACGATTGCAAACATACACAAAAATAGAGAAATAGAATCACAATGCCTATGTATGTATTACCCAAGTTTGACAGTTATCCTTCATGGTTTGTGTTAGTTAATCTTGTTTCATATATATCCCATATTCTACCTGTCCTGTGAATCCTGCTCTTTTCCCCCCAGCTCCCATTCTCACCCCAGGATAATACTTATTAGTGAAACAAACTTCCCTCAGGAGGCATATAATGTTTGTCTTTTTGTAATAGTTTTAATAGTTATGACAGGATAAATATTCAGTTTTGGTTTCCCTTCATTTTATTTGAATTTGAGAGAAGATTTTCTTAACTAATTAATAATATAAAATGTCAGGTTAGTCATACAGCCATTTTGCAGGTAGTAATCATGATTATGTTATATAAATCACCACATCATAGAGATGAAACTTTCTTGAAAGAAGTGCTATTCAGGGCCGGGTGCAGTGGCTCACGCCTGTAATCCCAACACTTCGGAAGGTGGACTCTGGTGATCGCTTGAGCCTAGGAGTTCAAGACCAGTCTGGGCAACACGGTGAAACCCCACTTCTACAAAAAAAAAAAAAAAAAATTAGATGGGTGTGACGGCTCATACCAGTGGTGCAGCTACTCAGGAGGCCAAGGCAGGGGTATTGCTTGAGCATGGGAGCTGGAGGTTGCAGTGAGCCAAGATCACATCACTGCTCTGCAGCCTGGGCAACAGAATGAGACCCAGTCTCAAAAAAAAAGTAATATATATATTTATTTTTTAATGAAAAATGAAAAGTCATCAGTGTCTTTTGGGAAGTCTTTCAAAAGTAGCATACATTGCTTAATTTTTTTTTTTTTTTTTTTGAGATGGAGTCTGACTCTGTTGCCCAGGCTGGAGTGCAGTGGCGCTCGGCTCACTGCAAACTCTGCCTCCCAGGTTCACACCTTTCTCCTGCCTCAGCCTCCTGAGCAGCTGGGACTACAGGTGCCCACCACCATGCCCAGCTAATTTTTTGTATTTTTAGTAGAGACGGAGTTTCACCATGTTAGCCAGGATGGTCTCGATCTCCTGACCTTGTGATCCACCCACCTCAGCCTCCCAAAGTGCTGGGATTACAGGCGTGAGCCACCGCGCCTGGCCTGCTTAATTTACTTAATACTTGGACAGAAACACTGTGCAACTGTATTAGTATTAATTTTATAGATAATATTTTTAGCTCAGTTGATTTGTCATTTTGAGATAGCTTTTAAAAAAATGTGTCTTCAGAAACAAATTTGTAGTTGAACATATATTTCTGGATCCTAAGAAACTATAATGTGGTAAAAAAAAGAGTACAACACTTACATAAAATTTATAGTTGAAATTATAATTTTAAGTTGCAGGAAGAATAAAACTAATTGTTTCTTCAAGGAAATTTGTATGTATAGTTCAGCTTGTTTTATTTTTTCTTTTCATAATGCATTTTTATCCCATGTTATGGAACATCTGTTTTGGGATCATATTTTTACTACATGCTTTTCATTAATGAAAACATTTATTAAGAATGACTCAAGAAATTAAATCAGCTTTTGTAGTTTCTCAGAAAAATTAATGGAGGAGGCTGTGACATTCTTGATAATGAACAAGAAATTGGAACTATAAGTCTAATTTATTTTACTATCTTTAAAATCTTCACTTCTAGTAATTGTATTCTATAACCTGTAAGCTGACTTTAATATTACAGTTTTTAAAAATGAAGTACGTAGGTTGCATGCAGCACTGTCCTTTGGGATTGATTACTACAGTAATTTTAGCAAATTACATAGATAAATATTGTATTTTTTGGTGTTTCTTTGAGACATGTCTTACTCTGTCGCCCAGGCTGGAGTGTAGTGTGCAATTATGGCTCAATTATAAAATTGTCATTACATGTTTAAAACTCAAAGTATGGCTTGTTATTAGGATATATTTATTCTTCCGTATATGCCTCTGTTTGTTAAGGTCTTCTTTGTTAGTATTTATTGTTAAACTACAGAAAATATGGAAAATCGCTAAATGGTTTTTGTTCAATTTGAGAAAAATCTGTTAGTAAGCATTATAATATATGATGAATTAAAGACCTAAATGATTATTTTTAACTTTATTTTTGAAAGACATTTTCTGATAGCTATTCTTTTGTTTGATTTCAAGTGGCTACTTATCACAGTTGTCATTATAGATAAATTTAGCTTACTCTAATACATTTTCAGCTTTGATTTGCCAGGAACTTCAGGTGGCTGTATGGAAATGTAAACCTTTGTATGAAGGAGTGTATCAGTGCGTCAGAACTTGGCACCCACAAGGATCTTAAGAAAACAGGCTATTTGTTCCTTGGAGAAACTATTCTGTAAGATGACTTTGTTTTTATATTCTGCTCTGTGCTAGATTAAGTGATTTAGTTTAGTTTTGCTTAGGGCAAAACGTTTCAGGATATTTTAGAAAATCCTGGTATGCGATTACCTTCTGAAAATAATACTAGTTTTACAATTTTGCTTTTTATCAGTAGGCTTTGCAGTGCCATATTCATTCTCAAAGTGTCATTTGCAGCTGGCACTAAAGACTACTGCAGTATTCAAAATAGTGTATTGTCTTACCCTCCAAATTTTGAAAATGTGGAAGCCATATATTTGAAGCACCAAGTATTAATTTCCTCTTAATTTGATGTCCTTTTATGGTTAGTTTTTAGAGAAACTACCAGTAGGTGACACACACACACATACACACACACACACACACACACACACACAGGTTTATTATAAGAATTGACCTATGTGATTGTGGAGGCTAACAAGTCCCAAGATCTGCAGTCAGAAAGCTGATGACCCTGGAGAGCCAGTAGCGCAATTCTGGTGCCAGTTCGAAGGCCTGAGATCTAGGAGAGCTGATGGTATATTTCCAGTTTAACGACTACTGAGCTTGAGCCCCAAAAGAGTGAATATTTCATAGTCTGAAGGCAGTAAAGGACTGATGTCCCAGCTGAAGGCAGTAAGGCAAAAGGAGATCCCTCTTGCTTTCTAGAGGTCAGTCTTTTTGTTCTATTCAGGACCTTGAATGATTAAATGGCCCACCTACATTAGGGAGGGCAGTCCACTTTCCCCAGTACACTGATTCAAATGTTAATCTCATCCAGAAACAACCTCACAGACACACCTAGAATAATGCTTGTAAATATCTGGCCAGCCCATGGCCTAGTCAGGTTGACACATAAAATTAGGCTAGGTTCAGTGACTCATGCCTATAATCCCAGCACTTTGGGAGGCCGAGGTGGGAGAATCGCTTGAGTCCAGAAGTTTGAGACCAGCCTGGGCAAGATAGTGAGGACTGGTCTCTATTACGGGTGCGGCAGGGTGTGGGGGTGAGGGGGTGGGGGTGGGGAGGTGGGCGGAAACCGTTACATTGACCTTCAATGATGGGATGTAATTAGTCTTTTTTCATGGTAATTTTTTGAACACTGAAGCATAAAGGGGAACTATCTGTGATAGACATAAAATGTAATAATACAAAACAATTTATTTTCATTATAAATTTTTTAAACTTTAGAACCCTGAATTTAGACTCCTGAATTCTGAGACAATTGTAAATAGTCCCTAACTGAACTAAGAAATGTGATTTTTAGAAACATTTGTTTAATTCTCAGAAACTCTTTCTTACATTTTGAACTTCTCTATTCCAAGACATTCTTGCCATATGTATTAGTTTATTTTGAACTTTTTAGTCTAGTTAATCCAAGCAAACACGCCAGCAAGCAAGCAGTCAATCAATCATAACAAAGTATAATTATAAAAGATTAATTAGGCAATAATAGTTTTTTCAAAGTTTCAAGGGTGTCATGAAGATCACTGTCTTTCTATTCATTTTGGGCCTCTCGGTGGTAATGTAATGTCCTTCAAGGTTTCCTATTAAATTCCATATTATTTGTAAATATTTAATTATTAAATTAGAAGTAATACATGCACCCAATTAAAAAACCAAATTATACCTATAAATATAAAATGAAATATAAATGTTTCTTTCCCTCATTCTCTCTGTCTCCCCACCCCAACTCATAGGCCCTTTCTTCAGACTAACCACTGGTAATAGTTTCTTATGTATACTTCTGTAAAAAAATAATGTGCCTATTCAAGCATGTATATATATGTGAGTATAATTTTTCTGTTTTTAATTTATCCATACTTTGTGCCTGTATTGTTTTGACCGAGGATATATTTGTATAGGAAATCTATTTGTCTTATTCACCATTTTATATCTAACTCCTATAATATTGTCTGGCTCATAGTATACACATAGTATATATAGATCTCTTGCATTTATGATATAAACCATATAGGTTTTCCATATGGTTGAGCCACATTTTATTTATACCAGTTCTCTATTGACGGACATTTATGTTAGTTCTAGTTTCTTGCTAGTCATGTCCCTCCACCTGTCCATCCACCTGTCTGTTCATCAAATGTTTACTGAGTCCATATTTTATGCCAGATACTCTTCTAAGGATAGAGAGATGGGGGAGAAAAATCAAGGGCCCTGTTTACATGTAAGTTACTGAGATATATCAAAAACAATGAAATAAAATCTAAACAGATCAGTTTCATGAAGGCAGTAGTGCAGGTAATGTGATGAGAAAAGAGTTTCTACTTTAGATGGGATGGCCAGGCAAAACCTTTATTAAGAGATGACTTTTGAGCAAGGCGTGCATAATGAGAGAAATGGCTTAGAGATCTAGAAGAGAGAATTCTAGGCATAGAGTATAATAGCAAGATAAAAGCTCTGAGGCAAGAATAAGCTTGGTGTGTTCGAAGAACAGAAAGAAGACCAGCATGACTGGAGCATAAGTATTTGTTCTTACAAATAAAAACTGCTGTAATGAATATCTTTGTACATAAAAATATCTTACATATTTTTGTAAATATTTTTAGTAATGGAACTGTGGGGTCAAATAATTTAAATATATGCCTTTTAAATTTGTATAGCTGTGGTACAGGGCCACTATTATCCCTTATCCTTTCTTCCTGAACCTCTTCTTGCTTTTCATAGCTCTGAGGAACTTGAGTTATCTGGAGCTTGGTAAGCAGTAGGCACACTGGGTGAAAGAGATTCTTTTGGGAAGAGAACGTGTCAGGGGCTATAAATGTTTGAGTCTTTTGTATAATAAGATGAAAATCCAATAGTAAGACATGTGCTTATATTGTGTTGTGTGATAAAATATTTGGCTCTCTGAAATAGCGTGCTTTCCTTTTTATGAAACTATTTTAATGCAGAAATTATCAACATTTCTCAAGCTAGAAAATACAAAATTCAGAGTTTTTCTAAAATTACAGTTGGATAAAATGAAGTATTGTAAATGATCTCTAGTTTGATACTTGGATTCAATTTACACAAATTTGTGATTAAGCTAAGAAAATATGAAAAATATGGCATAAACCAAAGTCAGCTGAAAACGTTTGCTAAAGTGTGGCTTTTGTGGAGGAAGGTAGGAAGAGCATCTCCTATTTAAAATGTTTTTTAAAATCCTGGATACTGTTACATTGGGGAATGAAATCCCATTTTTAAATGCTTCTCTGTCAAAAAGGCATTATTTAATTTTAAAGGGTAAATGTCAGAATTACTTACAATTTTTTAGGCAGATTAGAAATTTCAGACTGGTCAAAGAACAAATTTTGTTTCATGAAGTGTTTTAATGCTGAGTAAATAGGAGAGTCAAGTCACATTTGAGAGCATAGGGATATTTGTTTAAATTTTTTCAACCTTCTTTTTTTTGGTGAGTGCATGTAGGAAACTTTATCAGATATATTGAGATTCCTATGTACCTAGAGAGAGAGAAGGGTGTGCAGTTTGCTTAATTATTATTTATTTTTCTTTTCTTCCATGTAAGACTCACTTCCTTTTTTTTTTTTTTTTTTTTTTTTTTTTTTTTGTGAGACAGGGTCTCACTCTGTCACCAGGATGGAGTGCAGTGGCACAATCTTGACTCACTGCAGTCTCCGCCTCTCGGGTTCAAGCAATTCTCCTGCCTCAGCCTCCCGAGTAGCTGGGGACTACAGGTGCACACCACCAAGCCAGGCTAATTTTTTTTTATTTTTAGTAGAGACGGGGTTTCACCATGTTGGCCAGGATGGTCTTGATCGCCTGACCTTGTGATCCGCCAGCCTTGGCCTCCCAAAGTGCTGGGATTACAGGCGTGAGCCACCATGCCCCGCCACTTCCTTTTTTATATACTGAAAATTTTTCAGAATTAAAAATAGCTTGGAGGAATGAGGCTAGGAATTTATTATGGAGAATATTTTAACAGCTGCTCATATATCCTCTGTTGGTTATAGTAGAGTTTTTTTTTTTTAAATAGGTGATTTTTTCCATCACAACTTATAAACAAACTTTAGTTGCAAATTGATTTTACTTTGCTTCTTGAACCTGGTGTAGATTAGTAATAACGTAATCTTTATATGTTTTGTCTTTAATGTAATGTTAGCATTTGGATTAAGAAACCCAATTTATCTGATTGTCTACTGTAAAATCATCCCACTAGTTTTAATGTGAATATATAATTTTTGACTGAAAACAAATTCTTGATATCAAATCTTTAAGGTAAGGACAGAAATTAGTATTTTATTAGTCTTAATCCTTTGTCCTAAAAAAGAAGTATAAATATGTTGCATCTTTACAGAAATCTTCTCCTATTATATGTAGATATGTTTTAATTGTTTGAAACATTAAAACATCTAATTTTTGCTGAAGAATATGCAAATGTGCCACTAAATCTGTTTTTTAAGATTTTTCCAGTTTAATGTCTGAATCCAAATTCATAAAGAGTTGGAAAAATGAGATGTCTGAGCTATAGGATTCACAGGGATTTCATATGAAGCCTATTTAATCAGGATAACACTGTTATTAATATTCATAATGTCAGCTGGAACACAAATGACAGACTATGGGGCCTAAAAATTTTACTTGGTGAATTTATTAAAAGTAGCTTAAAAAATTAATGGAATTTAAGTAAAGTTGGTGAATATGAAAATCTTGTGTTAGCAGAAAAAAAATTCTCTATTAGAACTTTCCTTTAAGACCATTTTGCATTGATGTCTTTTGACAGATTTCATTGGTACTTAAAGAAGAAAGATGCATGAATGGTCATTTAAGAGGATTTAAACACATTGGCACATTAATTTTTACATGAATAATAAGTACTTTCCAAAAGCAATTAACTTACAGTGTACAAGATATGAATTGAAAAATAAGACTGTGACATCAAGGGCAAAGCAAATGTGCTGTACATTTTAAACTTAGTGACAGGACTTTTTAATATTTTGATTTATTTTATTTTTATGGTTTGTGCTGGTTATGACTTAGAATGTGGTTATTTTAATGCATTTAAAAGCAAATTTAAAGGACATTAATTTATTACTCTCTTCGTCTCCAAAAATATTGGTGTAGTGTTAAGCATTATCTTCTGCCAAGGACCATTTGCATTTTTTGAAGAAGTAAACATTTATTGTGCTAATTGCAATATTTTATCAGAGAAGATGTTCAAATTACAGAAAGGCAATGGGATGATACTGTTTGGGTTTAAGGCTACTAATACATATTTTTAACACAGGCTTTTTGGTTATAGCATAACTTAAGAGTATAATAAATAAGCTTCTGAAAGTTAGTTGTGAAAAGTTAAGGACCACTTGAGTAGTTAGTATATAAGTACATTTGTCCTGAATTTTAGCCTAAGAAGGTAAAATGTTGGGAATGACCTAAAACAGGATGCATTTTTGTGTAGTACTTGTTAGTCTTTACATTTTGAAATATGCCTATAATGACAGTTATGATAGTACTCAGGTTTTTGTTTTGGTTATTGAAGTTTATTAAAAAATTAATTTTAGATCATTATTTAAAGTCATAACAGTATTGAATATTTTGTTTTACATTTTCCATGCATATTTTACTACATATAAAAGCATAGTTTAGTTATTATCCATAACAGCCAAGTTACGCTTTGCCATTAAGAGAACAGAGGTGTTGACTGGCAGTCTCGTTGGGTACTAGAAGTTTCACTTGCAGTCTGCCATAAGCATTATTTTATTTCATTAAAAGTGTAGAAATCACCTATATGAAATAGATGTAGTTTGGGACTCAGAGCTTTATTGGACAAATCATTAATTATCTCAGTGTCCATAAATTATCATAATATAGGTATTAATTTAGATTTTTGTTATAAGTCATGGAATCAAATTGGTATATTGGTTATTTTGTCTAGAGGCTTTCTAAAACTTGGGTTTTGTGGAATTTTTTTGTTTGGCTCTGAGTTATTCCCTTAAATGCCCAGGAGAGGGCAGCATTTTACTACATCAGTCTTACAAAAGAATTTGCCCTGCTTAGACTGTCAATGTTTCTTGTAATTACTCCCAGTATATTTGTTGCTTGCTTATGAATTAACTTGCATTTATGGAACTAAATCATTCCAATCATTTAATTACACCTGAGGAGCTGAACTATAATTGCTTGCTTCCAACTAGGATCTGATATGGCTTGAGCAGTATTAATTTGGTGTTTACTTTTCTGAGTGCTAAAAGCATTAAAATGATTGTGCAATGGGATTACATTTTACTAATTGCTGGCATTCATTAGCTGGGTAAATGATGAGGAAGAGTGACTGTATATTGCAGAGGGATAAAATTATGGTTTTAAATAGTATATTACTAAGCACATTAAGGCCTGTAAGACATGTTTTAAAATACTCCAGAGGTTATTAAAGACTGTATTTTCTACATGTCTTGGTATATGAATCTCTTATTAAAATACTGCAATTATTATTAACCTTTTTGGGCAATATGTAGGGAAATGGCTTCATTGACTGGAACATATTTCTTTGATATTAATAACTTCCTATATTTTCAGCTAATCCAAAAGTAAATGAGAAACTTAGAAAAAGATTGCCAATTCCAAATCAACATATTTAGAGAAAATTGGAAAAGGAGAAGCTTACTACAGCTTTATTTGAGGACTTTTTAAAGAACGCTGGGTTCTATCTGTGAGGTAAATCTAATTTTATTCTCCTTAAAAGCATAAAAAAAAACTTGCATAGTGTTTTATCATGTTTACTACAAAAACAAATAAGAGAGAGGAGTATCATTAATTCCACAAGTTAGTGGTGGTCTTTATGTTTTTTAAAATTAGAGTAATATTCTTAAATTACTTTTATAAGTAAAATTTATTAAAGTAATCTATATGAATATATACACAGTAAATTCAAATCAGTAAATTTGAAATTTTTGGTATAAAATTTATGACAAATAAAGTAAAAATGTATTTTTCTTAAATGCTTAAAATTGTAGTTGAAGAAGATTTCAGTTAAATAAATTAAATGGTTCTCTACCCAAATCAGCATGAATGTCTAAAAAACTTAACCTGAACTGTATATACTAAAATACAAGTGTGAAGAAAAGAACCTTTTTCTGAGAAAAAGATTTAATTTCTCCTGTTGAAATTCTCAGTTAATTGTCCCATTGTAAATGTTTTAGAAAACCATTTATCCTGTAAATTCTCTGTTAAACAAAGGTAAGATTTAGGTGTGTTCTGATATATTGTTTTCAGTTTATTTATCTAGAGTTGGCTTTATTTTAGCTGCAAATCTTGGAGCAAAAACCAGAGACATTGCCAGAGCAAACAAGAACAGAAATACAAATGGAGAACTGGTCAAAAGGTAAGGACTTTTAAGGTATTAATACCAAGCCCCAGGTGTTGTTCTAGTTCAAGGCACTGAGTGAAGTGTGTTTGTTCTAACCAATATATTAGACAGAGGTAGACAAGTGCGCACACACACACACAAAACATGCACACAGAGACCCAGGGATTATGAAAGAGATACAAAGAAAGACACACAGAGAAAAGAGACATACACACAGAGAGAAAGGGACACACACATGCACACAGAGGAGACACAGAAAAGACATTGAGAGAGGGAGAAAAAAAAAGACACACCAGGAAATAGAAACACGCCTACATACAAAGAGACAGAGGAGACAGAATGACTGTGACAGAGATGTACAGAGCCACATTCAGAGAAAGAAAACACATAGAGAAGGAGATCCTCAGAGAAAGAGACACAGGAAGGAAGATACTTGAAGAGGGAAACACATAGAGGCACTGACACACACCTGGAGGCACACAGAAAGAGAAGCATACACAGAGACTCATAGAGAAAGAGAGATACCGCAGTAAGAGACTTGGTAAGAAAGAGACAGATGTATAGTGAGGGACAGAGAAAAAAAAGAGACACATTGAGAGTGATAGAGACACAGGCATGCGGACAGATACAGAGAAAGAGATGTACATACAGACAAGAGACACATATAGTGAAAGAGACAAGATATGGCTCTTTCAGACATATAGCGAAAGAGACAAGATACAGATATCTATATCTATATCTATATATATATCTCTCTCTCTCCTCACACAGAGAGAGAAATGCCAGAGTGAAAAAGAAAAATCCACCAGAGAAACAGACACACCTAAAGTAAGGAGAGAGAGTAGAGAGAATGAGAGACAGACATGTATATATGCAGACAGAGGAGAAAGACATAGATCAGAAGATACATACATTGAAAAATAAATTAAGACACATATATGAGACAGAGAAGAAGAGACTCACAGGTATGCACGTGTGGAGGAACACAGCCTGAGAGGCAGAGAACAGTCAGAGACAGATAGAATTGGAAAGACTGTCTGAAGACAGAGACAGACTGAGATATGGCCTGAAAAACAAATGGAAGGATGGATGGATGGATGGATGGATGGATGGATGGATGGATGGGTAGATGGATGGACGGACAGTCAGATAGATAAGAGCAGCAGACATAAGGGAGGGGGCAAGAGATATTTAAGATCTATTACAGTAAAATGTTGAAAATTTGGAATCCTTGGGAAATGATTCTTTCTGAATGTGATATTACATATATTTGAAAACTTAAACCTTTATGTACATCTTTTAAAATTTCCTCTTGTATTATAATTTAAAAAATAGGATTCTTATTAAAACACTGTGTGCATCTCTTCCTTTTTTGGTTCCCCTTCCCCCAACAGGGCTCCTGTTCAGCATAGTCCTGCCACATTTTTATCCTTTTTTGAAGGTTAAAGTCCATTTTTGAGGACCGTTCTATAATCATTGTACTGAATAAGTTAACAATTATACATTCTTTTGAGTTATAGAAAGATCTGAGTGCCTTTTTCTGATTTCTGGATTTTGTTTTTGATTTTTATACTGTTAACAAATTTTCTTGCTGTTTTTGCACCCACCATTAGTAATTTCTCTTTTTATTTGTCACTCTGGGCTGCTTATTATGAGTTTAGAATCCAGATAGCTGATGTAATTCTATATAAAACAATCATATATAATATCTGGGTAAGATAGTTCAAGGTTTTTTGTGCAAAGTTAATAGTGCGTATATTATGTGACACTTAATTTTGGTGTGCTCTATATATTCAAGTTGTGGATAAGAATGTATTGGTATGAAGTTAGGAACTAATTTGTTATAGCTGTGTTTATTCATTTATTCAAGTAAGTAAGCAGATACTCTTCTTTTAAAGAGCTCAAAAGCATTTTACTCAATTGATGTTAAAAAAAAACAAAAAGGAAGCAAATAATGATGCATCTGTTGTGTTTCTCATTCACACATCATATTGCTGTAAGAGTTATATTAAAATTAGAGACCAAACGATCTTTAAGGAGTCAAAGGAGTTATTTTTAATATATCTAAAGAGATAGAGACTGTAGAGGAAGTACTACTGATAAATGTCCAGTAATCAGGAAGGATGTCAAGGAAGGAGCTGATGAAGCTCTGGGATACTTATGAAAAGGAAAGTTTTATGGTTGAAGATACAGATGCATAGACAGTTTACAGTAGGCACAGTAAACTATATAGATGCATAGACAGTTTACAGCAGACATGACTGATACAGCATTAGGAAAATCTACATTTTTACAGGCATCTTTTTGACATTGGAAAGAGGAATAAGACATTCCCTTTTATAAGGATCCATTATTAAACATTATTAGGAAAAAGGTCAGATGCGGTGGCTTATGCCTGTAATCCCAGCACTTTGAGAGGCGAAGGCAGGTGGGTCACTTGAGGTCAGGAGTTCGAGGCCAGCCTGACCAACATGGTGAAATCCTGTCTCTACTAAAAATACACAAATTAGCTGGGTGTTTTGGGCACACCTGTAATCCCAGCTACTCGGTAGTCTGAGGCAGGAGAATCACTTGAACTCCAGTGGCGGAGGTTGTAGTGAGCAGAGATCATGCCATCACACTCCAGTCTGGGCAACAGAGGGAGACTGTCTCAATAAATTAAATAATATTAGGAAATAAAATTAAACATAAATATTTTAACTTTCAAGTCTTGGGATAACAGATATGTTTAAACAGTAAAATCTCACATCGTCATCTCCCTGATGGCAGGGTTCATGGGATTTATCTTAAATCACAAATTGCTTCAAAGCGCTATCTTACATAAATGTTCCTAGTCGGTTCCTTTGAATAGTTATTTTATTTAGTATAATTTTACTAATTTTAAAAGAAATTAAGTTAATTAAAACTTGTATTACACAGATATGCCTTTATTTCATCTTACAAATTTCATTTTAAAGAGTGCTGAAGTGACCATTTTTTTCCTAGCTTTACTGTAGAAACGCTTCTGAAATATTTTAAGTCAAAGAGTTGATAAGATTGATAATGTAACATATAGAACCATTTATGTTTTTCTTTGTTTTTGTCATTGTAGACATTTTGGAAAATGGAAAGCTGAGGTTGGTAGATGGGCTGGGTGATGACATCTACAAAATAAACCCAAGTTTTTTTTTATATGTATATTTTTTAAAGACAGAGTCTCACTCTGTCATCCTTGCTGGAGTGCAGTGGTATGATCATGGCCCACTGTAACCATGAATTACTGGGCTCAAGCAGTCCTCCTTCCTCAGCCTCCTGAGTAGCTTGGACTACAGGCATGAGTCACTGTATCTGGCTAATTTTTTTAAAAATGGTTTGTAGGGGTTGGGGGGTCTCACTATGTTGTCCAGGCTGTTCCCAAACTCCTAGCCTCGAGCAATTCTCCTGCCTCAGACTCCCAAAGCCCTGGGATGACAGGCGAAAACAACTGTATCTAGCCCCCAAGTTTCTTTAAGGAGTTAAAAAAACAGTCCTGAATGAATGTAGTTTGTAAGTTGATAAAAACAATGTGTGTGTGAATAAACATATATTGCCAGCAAAAAATGTGTTACCATCTTCAGGCCTTTTAAGGGGTAAGTGATGTTTTGCGTTTTTGTGAAAACTTCTATTTAAGGGTTCTCTTTTGAAAAAAAAAAAGGAAAAAATGAAATGTCATAATCAAAGGAGTTTATACCCTCTGAAATAATGAGTTGTTAAATTATTGTTGTTTAGCCCTTTTTTGTACTTACTTATATACATAACTATGTAAGAAAAAAGACATAGAGATCGTAAATCTTATATGAATAATTATTTGGAATACTGTTATAAATTCCTGATCATTTCTTAAATTAATGTTTATTTTTATTAGCAGATACATGGTTAAGTAGTTTTATAGCATACAACAATTCTTTGCAAATAGTTTACATATTTACAGGTAAATATGTCTGCCCTAAGTATACATACTTGCAATTTTGTAGGTAAAAATGAGATCTGGATACCAGTTAAATTTAGAAAATTGTGAAACTTATTTAAATTTAGAACCTTTAGGGGTCAGTGTTCCCTAAGAAAGGTTACAAAAGGTTACTGTGCCTACCAAAATTAAATATTAAATCTGCTATATTGTAAATATATATATATTTTTTACCAATTTAAGGTAAGAAATGATGAGAATTATACCTTGAAGAAGCTTTTGACCAAAACCTTTCAATTTAATGAGTTTGTTCAATATTGTTTTTAGGTTTATTATTTGGGGGGATCATCATATGTAATATATATTTTACACACAAGTAGTTATTTTTATTTATGTATTATCTAAATTTAGATATAGATTACATATTTTTAATTTATCTTTAAGCTTAAAACATGATCATGATTCTAAATCAGGAATCATTGTACTTATTTGAAATAAGGTGAAAAAGCACTTATAGAATGGCTGTGTAAATAGAATTCTTACATTTTTCAGTTTATTGGAGGCTAGTAAATATTTAACAATTTTTTATCCTACTGAATTTAAGTAAAAAACAGTTGTCTTCTTCCTTATTTTAGAATTGGACTGGCAAGTATCATTTGTATCCATGATTCTTACGGTTTTTCTATAAAACACAGTAACACAAATTTTTTTTAAATAAATGAAACTTAATGAAAGGTAACTTGCAAGTGGTTTGGTAGTTTCTTGTTGAGTCAGAATAATGTTTATTTGTCCTTGGCATTTTGAACCTGTGTGCCACCATCAACCTCTTGTATTATTGATTCATTTATCTTTCTCTCTGTTCACAAAGTACATATTCTGTTTTACCTTTTGTCTGTCTGCAATTCTGTAATTGAATTATAACTAAAACTATTCCATGATTTGCAGACAATTTGTAAGTGTAGACACTGAAGAACCACTGTAGGAAAACATAATTGATGCTTTTAAATGTTGTTGATCATTATGACTAAAATATGATTGTAGAATCTCATATCACTTTTATAAACTATTTTATGTTTAAGGCGGAGAAGAAGGAAATGACAAATTGCTTAGAATGGACATTCATTGCTACCAGCAAGATAAGCTGGTAGAAAAAAAGCTATTTCCTAGACATTATGATTATATACTCCTTGAAATTAAAGGTTTTGAAAATGTCTAGATAACTAATCATTCTGTATTAAATTACAGGACTTAAATTTTAATAATTGGCTTTCTAGTAAGTAATGGTATATTTTTCATGAAGAAGAAATATAGTTAGTGGTTTTAGCTTATTGCCTATATTTTAAAGTAGAAAGAAGACTGTGTTGGAAAACCAATACTTTTAATAATGTCAGTAAAATGTTATGGTGGAAAGAACACAGGTTTGGAGCTAAACATAAGTTTTAATTTTTAAATCTTTCACTTACTACCTACTTGGATTTGGGTACAAGTTTCATAAATCTTTGTAAGCTTGAGTTTTCTTTTATATGAAATAGAGAGATAATCTATTTAGGACCATTGCGAAGATGAGGAATGCTATATGTAAAGTCCCTACTACAATGTCTGAAACAGGAAATGAATTTATTTAATCTGTATTTCACATACCAGAGTAATTCTTTCCACCAGTGTGATGGTGGTAGGTTACAGATGCTAAAATAAATAAATAAATACATAAAATAAAAAAAATTAAAACAAAGGTGGTTGACAAATTTAGAGGACTTTTAAGTAAATCGTGGTGATTGTCTTTCTTATTCCTTCTAGCTATGGAAGGTACATTCTACTGAGTTTCAAAAGTATTATGAATCCTTAATAACAGTATTTGAAATGATTGTAATAGTATTTTAGGAAGTCTATTTTCTTCCAATACAATGTTCAGAATATCACTGGAACTTTAATTTTCAAAATGGTATGCTTATAGTTAGTATATTTGATAGACTATAGTATATAATTAATAATATTAATTTAGGATAAAATCTATTTTCGTCTGTATTGAAATTCCAGTTGCAATAAAAATCTCCAGATTAGTGGCATCACAGAGTATTTTTATGTGTCTTTTCCTTTTGGCAAGTATGGATTTAAGATTGCATTTAAAAAATTTTCCATGTGCCATTGGGGGTTAAAAGAAGAACATGTCTGAGATCTGATTAAATTTACTACTTATCTCCATAGGACCTAGCTTAATAGAGTGCTAGTAGCTTCTCACACATGACCATCTAGAATATTTGAGAGAGTGGTTTTAGGAATACTGGCAGCTGGCCAGCAAGGATTGATTCATTTCCTGAGGAGATGCTGAGGCTACTCTTAGAAGAATGATTGAGGTTATAGTCTTTTATTTTAAAAAATTTCCTTTAATATAAATAAGTTTATTAAATACGATTCTGGAATTCTTTATTTTTTAAGCTTGATGTGAATGATTCTGTTAATACTCTTGGACTGAGTAGAAAAATGGAATGAAAAAACAAAAAATGTTTACAAGGGCAACTTAGTTTTCTAACTGGTTATGACATTTGTTGTGAACCCTTTTAAGATTCATAATTTCTAATATGAATAGTTCATGTTGGTGAGTTTATGCCACAAATTATTTTTTAAATTATGTTTTGGCAGTTTAAAAAATAGAGTTTATCTTTCAGAACAGTTTTAGATTTACAGTAAAATTGAGTTGAAAGTACAGAGTGTTCCCATACATCCCTACCCCCACAAACACCCAACCTCTGTCTCTGCCTATTCTCTACCACAGTTGTACATTTGTTACAACCAGTGAACTAATCCATAAATTCTTAGTAGGGGGAAAATTCGTGAGCTAATAGGATTTCTTCTTTCTCTTTATTTCTTTCTCTTTTTTCTGTTTTTACTAATTTATAATGTTTTAAATCAGTTCACACTGTACTCTTCATGCAGAATTCTTACATCTTTGGTTCCTGCATTTTATACAAATGATCGTTTCTAGGAAGAATGAGCATGAAAAATGGTAAATTTCCCTTTTAATAGGACCTTTTCTCCCCCGTTTCTATTCTGTTGGTATGATCCTCTTTGTAGAACTTGTGAGTCTGTTTCTTTAGGTTAAGGAAATACAAACTCTACTTTAAATATGCAAATTCTTTCAAATTTATTTGTGGTCATGAAAACAAGATTTTTTTCTTTGAAATAGAAAACAATGACTTGATTTTGTCAAAAGATTTTTGCTTTGTTTTAAATTCTCCATGCTTAAGGTTCTGAACAAATCTTTGCTAAAAATCCTCATTTATTTCTGGTTATGGCCTTTCATGCCAGAACACCTCTTGTAACACATATTTACAACATGCAGCTTAACGTAATATTACTGAATCTTTAATTTTCTACACATGAGAATTTCAGCTTGTCATATTTCAGATGACTGTGTGGCCTCCGTAGTATGATTAATATAAAGGTCTGAGTGTGCATTGGCATTTTGTTGATTTAGGAGACCTGGATCAATATACATTGGTATGTAGACTGAATTGAAGGCCCTTTAGAAGGTTGGTCCAGGTTGACTATAGGGTAGGACTAATGTGACTTCCTGGACTTAAAGGTATTTTAAATACATTTTTAAAAAGTTTCTTAAATGATAAAATTATATATTTTATGTACATTTACTTAGTACTCTTTGGATGTAAATAAATTTGTAGTAGTAGAATAAAAATCTTTTGGAGGAGTTCACCAAATACTTCAACTTTTAGTGTTTTGGTTTTATTCGAATCAAAACAACCTGTCATGTAGGACGTTATTATCTTTTTGGGATAATTTCAGATACAGTTTTTCTTTGTGTTCTGCTTATTTTAGGGAATATGAAAAAACAAATTTAGAGCAAGTCAGGCTTCAAAATTTTGAAATTAAGTAGACTATAGTGTAAATGATTGAATTAAAAATATTCTTATCTGTAGCTTTTGGATGAAATTGATAATACTTTGCCATATGGTAAAATTGTGTTGAAAAGATGCAAACTAAAAAGTGATTATTTTCAAAAATTGTATTTAAACTTTTATATTTATCTTTTGACAGATTCTAGTTTTTACATATAACCATTTAGTACTATAATATTAGGATGCTGATGGGTGAACAATACAAACTGATGGATTTGTATTGATAAAATTATACTTGTGTAGAAACAATGTTTTTGCTACTCAATATTTTAAAAATTAACAATTAAATGCTCCTTTTAAATACAGTTTTGCTGTCTGTACCAAGATAATTTGATACACTGTAAAATTAACACAGTTAACAAACAATGTTCATTGATGTGAACAGTTTTAGTATAGAAATATAATCACATTCAAGCACAAGATACCATTATTTCTTTCTTTAATTAATGTTCTCCCCACTCCAGAAAATTCAAAATTTTCAGATTAATATTAATCCCTAGCAGATTAGGGTAGGTATGGTTCATTTAGCATTAGTTTCCTTGAACCAACAACAAGTTTTGGAAGAAAGAAATATGATAAGGGAAGACAGAACAAATATGTAGTCCTTAAGGTTTCAGGCCTGTGTACAAATCCTAAGATTTGGAATATGGAGTATGGATATTCTGTGTCCTTTCCATGAATTATTATAAAAGTGGAAAGAAGTTATAATTTGAAAGAATTTCTATTTTAAGTAGATCAGATGATTTTTAAATGTTTATCAAAAAACCAAATGTTGCAAATTTGGAGTCACTGAAGCTATTTTACTCAATTGCTTTTAAGAGTTTAAAGTTAAAAAAAGTAATGATTACAGTTCAGCAAATCTGTTTCCTTTTGGAAAACTTCATTGCTTATATTTTATAATCAACCAGTATAGAGTTAAAGATTAGGACAAGGCTGCACTAGCCCAGGTAAGAAGATGACAAAAAATTTTTTTCGTTAAAAAAGCAGTCTTTGATCTCTTGAGAATGCAGTAGAAACCAGCATCAGAGACTTCCTCTGCATTTTTAATAGGACTTTTGCTTTCCATGATGTTCTATATTGACCCTTTATTATTTTTTTAAAAAGTCTCTGCCCCTCCCCCAAGTCATTTGAAATGAACACATTACCAAAAAACAAATTTACTTTTCTGAGGCTTTATTTTTTTGTTTCAAGTACTTAATGCTTTTTTGAAAAGTTTAAAATGCTAACTCTAACAAGGGGCTGATGATGCTGTAGTGTAACTAACAAGGGACTAGTTTAGCAGTTACAGTTGATTAATGAAATAGCAGTCTTACCTTTTCCTTTCATGTTTTTCTTTTTGTTTTTTGGGTTTTTTGGTTTTGTTTTGTGTGTGTGTGTGTGTGTGTGTGTGTGTGTGTGTGTTTGAGAAACAAATGGGGAATTTGAATAAAATATATCATTTACATAGAAAGTTATGTAATGATGCCATATAGAGTATAATGATTTCCTAAAACCTTGTATTTAAAGTAACCTGAATTACAATGAGAGATAAACAGAATATTTACCCATCCCTTATGAGGTGCTGCTGATATGTAAATTTATTCTTCTACTTTGCACAAATATACTTTTGAGCTACTGCTTAAACACTTTGAGGTCCTTAGTCAAACAGTTTTAATGATGCCTCCAATATTATGAAAGTGTGACATTTGATGAATGTCTCATATAGTTTTGATATCTGGGCACATGTCAACAAAAAAAATTGAGCATTGGTTTGTTATGCAACACCTAGATAATTTATAATTTTACTGTTTATATCCATCTTGACATTTTTTATCTGCCAAAGGCAGGTTTCATTTGGAATCTTAATCTGAGATTTATTTGGTGGATCTGGAAATCATAGCTAGGGTTCCCACAGGAAATGGTCCATCTACCAACAGATTAAATGGCAGTCCTGCAGTTGTTAGGGGAGCTCTGCATTTAACACACATGCATACTCATTCAGTCAGCGCTGTGGAGAAAAATTAAAGTAGTAACCCAGGTTTAGGAACAATGTAGCTAAAAAGTCCCATATTTGCTGAATGACAAAGGGTTATATAGCAGCATTTCATTTTATTATTCGTGCTTGAATTTCTTGTTTGCTTTGTTGAGTCTGCTGACGAATACTAATAAATGCCTGCAACAATCCAGACGAGAGATGCCTGGCAACAAAGCTATGCGGTGGACCTCCCTGATCTTCTCCAGTTCACAACCTGACCTTTTGAAAAATTGGCTTGGCTAAGCTGCAGAATTTGGGTGTAATGGTTATTGTTAACTCCAGCTTTAGGATTTATTAATTTGTGTGATCAAGACTTACCTATACTTCAAAGTTTCAAAAGACCAAACACAATCATCCATCCATTAGAACTAACATTGTGTTTCAGTGATTCCCGCTTAGTATCTGACTGGTGATTCTTCTATTTTGTTTTCCAAATCTAAATATATTCTTAAACAAAATGAGTGGCACATATAAAGAAAGTTTGTTTTTTCCTCTTTATTATTGGAAAATTTATCTTTTATAGATTATTTATGAAATTGTTGAATTCACAATTGGTATGTCTTCATTCTTAACAAACAAAAAATACATAATTATTAAACCTATTTTATTGCAGTTGTAGAAATTTCCAGGACTTTTCCAGTTCACTCGTGTTTTTAATTAACTTATACAAATTATTCTAATAATAAGAAATTTTGAGAAAGGCTGAAAAGGTTACAAATATATTACAAATAGCCAAATAGCTCATATCACTGGGGAACAACAAAAAGAGTTATGTTAATCAAATTTTAGGATAGTTTTCACAATCATTTCAGCCTAAATAATATTTGTAGTGTTTTTAACATTTGTAATAGAAGTTGTACAAACCCTAAATTTGTGATTTATAAGTTAATTATATAGCCTAAGCTGTAGGATATTACGCTATTATATTGTGCTCATTGCCTTCATATGGTGAAGGATGTTGAAATTTAAAAGCTTAAACATATGATAGAATTTCACAAAATACTTACGTACTTTAAATAGTTCATACAAAGAAATCGGAACTTTTCCTCAATAGGATGAATATTGATTCATTCGTGACTACTTCAGACTTGGTGAAACAAACAAAAACTTAAAAAAAATTTGTGGCATCACCACTTTAAATAGCTGTTTTATCTGAAAAAAAAAAGAATAAAATTTCAGTAAAAGAATTTTCATGAATAGCCAATAGATAGTTTGAAACATGGTACATCAAGTCATTGAATTGTTGTATCTAAGGTAAAATAATCTCACCACTTCTTTTTGGCATGTGTGTTTATCTAAATATAACCATGTGTAGGAGTATAAAGGATGCAGTTTATTTTGTATCTCCAACTCTAATGTCCAAATGAATGAGTTATGTGATATTGACAGATTTAGTGATTATCTGGTTTTTCAACCTTAATAAAAGCTTATTTCAGTATCTTATAGCTACACGTAGCCTTTACCATTCAATATGTTTTTGACTTCTCTTCAATATGTGTACAATATACCTTATTAAGAATTACATATGCACTGGGGACAGTGGCTCACACCTATAATCCCAGCACTTTGGGAGGCTGAGATGGGATCGACCTGAGATCACTTGAGCCCAGGAGTTCGAGACCAGCCTGGGCAACATAGGGGAGACCTTGTCTCTACAAATAATAAAAACAAATTAGCCAGGTGTGGTGGTACATGCCTGTGGTGTTAGCTACTCTGGAAGCTGAAGCTAGAGGATCGCCAGAGCCTAGAAGGTTGAGGCTGTAGTGAGCCATGATGGTGCCACCTCACTCTAGTCTGAGTGACAGAGTGAGACCCTGTCTTAAAAAAAAACAAAAAAAACATAAGAAATCACTGTCTGTGCTTTCCAATGTGGTAGCTATGGGCACCATGTGGCTACTGAGCACTTAAAATCTGGGTAGTCCAAACTGAGATTTGCTGTAATTATAGTACAAAAAAGAATGTAAATTTCTCAAAGCAATTTTTTAATACTACATGTTGAAATGGTCATATTTGAGAAATATAATATTACTCATTATTTCTTGTTTGATGAGCTTATGAGAAAATTAAAAATTGTATAAGCAATTTGAGCAATGTATCTTTTGGATAGTGCTGATCTATATGATTAAACATATCACCGGGACTACCTCATTCTGCCACCAACCTTTTCTTTACTTGTTTGCAAAGGTTATTCATATTGTCTGCCTCCCTCATTCTTTGTCATTTCCCCTGAGAGCAGATAGAGTTTTTAATTTACCTTTACATCCTACACAGCACCTGGCACTGTGTTGGTACTTAATAAGTGTTGAATAAAGTACTCATTTTCAATACTTGTTTGCTCTCCATATATTCTTTAGCTGATTTTCTAATTCAGTATTTCTGGCCAGATGCGTTAGCTTACACCTGTAACCCCAGCACTTTGGAAGGCCAAGGTGGGAGGATTGCTTGAGCTCAGGAGTTTGAGAGACCAGTCTGGGCAACATAGTGAGATCTCATCTAAAAAAAAAAAAAAAAAAGGAAACCTAATTTAGTATCTCCTTTCATTGATTCATTTCATTTCATTGAATGAAAGACCTAATATATCCACTGTTTTGTTCCAGTATATTTTAGGAAGATGAGTATATTAGGGAGCTTACAGTCTAGAAAGGGAGACACACATAGATGAGAAGGCTGTGAACTGTAGAAACCACATCTGTGTAACTATTCTCTATTCTTCTATAATGTGGTTGGACATAGTTGCTAATGTAATGTTGTTGAACACATTATAGAAGAATAATTACATAGTTGTGGTTGGTAATTAACTTGGTGGTGATATTGAAAAACACATGAAACAGAAAGATTATCTTATAATTTCATTTATGCTGTTTGTAGAAACAATCTAAAAGTATGTTGGCAAGTTTGTTTAAAGCACAGATAGAGGTTATTAATTATGTAGACCAATGAAAGTAAAATTATGACTTTATTTTATGACTGTTGAAGCCAAAATACAAATTTAAAAAGCCCTGAGAGAGCTAGTATACGGTATTCATGTAAAAAGTTTCCATTTTTTAAGCTAAGTTACCTAATTTCCTGTGACTCCTAAATTAGATTCTCAGGAAGATAGGAGCCTGTGGTCTACCAGCTGTGATCCTGATTGTAATTAATATCATAGAATATGTAATTAATAACAGATTGTAATTAATAACATAGAAGTATGTTATTTAAATTTCTTGTTTTCCTGCCATGGGATTGAATTTACTGTTAATTTTCTTTCTTTGACGGTGAATTTTCTCAGAATCTTTCCTGAATGTCAAGATTTCTAAATTTCAAAGTTGTATTATTTCTGTAATGTATTAGTTTTATAATCTGATACAAACTTTATTAAACCATTATGTATTAATTACAAGTTTTAACCATCTTAAGTATTTTCTCTTTGTGTTTATGTTTCTCATTGAATTAGGTGGCATTCTATTTATTTTTCATTTCCATGTCTTCTGATATTTTAGAAGAATTACATACAATTGTTAACAGAATAAGATTATTTGGGCCAAAAGAAAAGAGAAAAAGAAAAAAAAAAGAGAAAGTATTAGATACATTAGTATTTCTGAGAGATTTTTTCCCCATAGTTGCTAACATTTCCTGGAAGAAAAAGTAAATGTTTAGATAACAACTTGGTTGATTAGGTCAGCTGTACTGATTTTAGCTGTGCAACTATATGCTGACTATTGATCATCAAATAAATTTGTTCAGGAAATTGAGAAAATTTAAAATATGAAAACTAGAATAATAACTAGGAAAATAGATACTTTTCTTGCTTTTCTTAATATTTGAGAGAAATTAAAGATATAAATTTGAATTGTAAGTTTGAATATGGTCCCAAGATGGTGATGTTATCTCACAGAAAGGTGAGAGAAATCAAAATAGAGAAACTAGCTTTTAGCAAAGCAGATTCTAAAGATAATAGTAGCTAATATTTATTGTATATTTTGTGCTAACACTTTTCTAAAAGATTTATGTAACTTAGTTTAATTCTCAACATTTTTTTGAGGTAGATGCTATCATTTTGTACTCTTTACTGCTAGGAAAATTGATGAAAGGTTAAATATTTTGCTAAAGGTTGTACAGCTATATTGTGGAGCCAGAATTCAAACCTTGTAGTCTGTCTTCAGAATCCATGCACTGACTGTGGTTCTGCTTGGAAGGTCTAAATATATCAGTGGTGTAGTGGTTAGAACACTTGGATGGTCTAAACTTTTATCTTGTACACACATATTAGGCAGATCTACTATAATGTTATAGAAGTTCCTGATAATGTTATGTGGGGGGAAAAACACATATAATATACATCTGTATTGCCTAGATGTTGTAGGGGAGCACATATAATATGCATCTCTGTGGAAAGCTAACCCTCTATTCCACAGAAAAGGGAAGCATAGTTGGACATATTTAGTAATGGAAATAAATATTATTTGTGCACACGGAGACAAAGAAAGTATATACTATATTTAAATTACTTAAGGAATTTGTAGAAGTCATTGGGAGCAATCACTAGTCGGCATTGTTCTGATTATTTCAAAACTAATATTCATTAAAAAAAAAGTTTTTGCCCATTGAAAAAAGACATCTTTTGTTTAAAATGTGGAACTACTGTAGAAATTCCATCATCACATCAAATTTGCACTCCAATAGGAAAAGGAAGTCTTATATTTTGATGTTTTTATATAATATGGTGATGGACCATATAGGAAGGAAAGAAGCATTAAAGCATGCGATTTGGTTCTTTTTATATTTATAAAATCAGATGCTAAGGTGTAACCTTCTTTTCTCACCCCCCAAAAGACAGAATTTACAGAAATAGTGAAGTTATGTTATCAAGTATCAGGGAGCACATTAACAAACTGCCTTTACTATGTTCATTTTAGATATATATGCACTAAGTAGTACCTTCATCTTAAGAGGCAGGCGATCCATTTATTTGAATGTATTTGCCCCTAATACTTCTATCCACCCTTTCTCTTTCCTGTCTCTGAGCTCCCAGGTAGCTGGGATGTTGCTATTCTGAGTAACCCCAGTGGGAACCCTAGAGACAATTCTAGCTCAACCACTCTGAAGAAACAGCTCTGTAAACAGTATTGACCCCCCCAGGGGACCATCAAATCCGTTTACACAGATACCAGTTGTCACAAACTATTTACAAAGCCAGGCAGAACAGAATTTCCCAGCCTCTGAGAATCCCTATTTGATTCTAGCCACTGCCTTACTTCTGTATAGTGGTCATTAAATAATAGTTACTTTTGGCAATGAGTCATGATTTATTGGGTAGCATCAATCTGAGTATAGTATATATTAAAAAATGTATAATTATCTGAAGAATTGAACTCAAAGGGAATCTCAAAGCTTTCTTTCCTAGAATAGGCAATGGTATTGTAACACTGTTAACTTTCCAGACTAAGGAATTGAGGGTTTAACAACAGCATTAGCATTGAGACAGTTAACAATACTGACACCTCCAGAAGCAAGCAATAATTCATTAGATCATGAAAATGGTTCATTGGAAACAGCATGAAAGTCACTAGAGAGATACAGGATCCTCAAAGCATACAATGCAGCTGGTCTATGCAGATGTATTAAGTACTAAGATTCTATGCCTAGATGAATAAACTGTCTAGCAATAGCAGTAGGTGGCATTTTAGGGTAATACCTAGTAGTAATCCATAATATCATTTTTCAGTTGATAGCAGGATAACTTTATGTGGTAGTGATGGTATGAGACAGTAAATGCAAAAGTTGGGAATTATATTTGGTTTGAAGTGGTCGAATTCTTATGTCTAAATAAAACAGTGTGCCCACAGAAAAGCAAATGAAGAGATTGATAGTAATCATACATTTTTTCCTGTTGTTTAACTCTGAGAAAAGAAAGTCAGACTTCATAACTTTTGAATGATGAAGAAGAGATTGACAGTTTATTCTTTAAGTCCATATGGATAAATGAAGTTGAATAGTATTAATTCAGTTAGTCATAATGTTAGAAGAGTTAACAATGACACTGATTAAACACTAAAGTGGATTACTAAAGAGAGTTTCCGTTTCAAACCATATGAAAGAGATAGAGGAATCAACAGGATGGTTTTAGGTTTAAGTTTTCATCTGCCTAGAGATAAGAGTTTGAATCGAAAGTGAATATCTTTCTGTTTAACATTTGTCTTATCTTTTAAATTGACTAATATGCAAAACAGACCAATAGCTTCACTTTAATGGCATTTTATTGGCTTGTGTTTATATTTCTGTATGCAGTTCTTTTTAAAGTGATGGGGCAATACAAATAAGCTCAGCTAAAGCTCTTAGTAGCTTCGTCTCATTATTGCTTCATAAAGATCCTTCTCCTGGGCTGGAGAGTTTAGGGAAAATAACTGAAGTCTGAACTTAGAGTTACTAACTGCTTTCATCTTCTCTTGGTTAGAAAAGGTACTAATTCAGAAATAAATTTGGGCTATGAATAAGGTAAAGAAAATTAGGCAAAATGCAAGATGATAGAGCAGTATCTTAAAATTTGTCTTGAAAAGTCAAAGTGTTTCATGCCTGTTGCTTACTCACTAATGTTTCAGAAAAAAAAAAATTGTAAGGTCAGGCATGGTGGCTTATGCCTGTAATCCCAATACTTTGGGAGGCAGAGGCAGGAGGATTGCTTGAGCCCAGGAGTTTGAGACCAGCCTGGGCAACATGGCAAGACCCCATCTCTGAAAAAAAAAAAATTAGTGAGGCATGGCAACACAGCACACAGCTGTAGTCTCAACTATTCGGGGGGCTGAGTTGGGAAAATTGCTTAAGCCCGGGAGGTCAAGGCTGCAGCGAGCCATGATTGTGCTACTGCACTCCAACGTGGGTGACGGAGCGAAACCCTCTCAAAAAAAAAAATTGTGTAGATAGTTATAGAAAGAATGGTTAATAAAGCAAGCATGATAAAATGTTAATATTTGGGGAGTCTAGGTAAAGGGCATACAGTAATTCTTTGTTTTGCAACTTTCTTATGAGACAAATTATTTCAAAATGAAAAGGTACAAATGAAGGATTATCTAATGTCAGTTTTTGTCGGCTTTCTCATTTAGCTTGCTTCTGCAGTCATTGAAATCTTTGATGTTTGGCTCTCATTTCTTCTCTCCATTTTCTGCCATTTTTCTGGATGACTTCAATGCCTTCAAAGGTGGTACTTTCAGCACTTTGACTTTTTGATTTTCTCCACTCCAAGTATGTTCACTTTTAATTTATTTCATCAACTCATTTCCAGATGAGCCATACCTTGGACTTTGTCCTTAATACTGATTTTAGAAATTTTCTTCCGACTATAACATCTTGTCATTTCAATACAAGAAATGTCTCTTCATTTTTCCTAAATTTATTTCTTCTCCTCTATATCTATTCCTATTCTTCCTATTTTTATAGTCTATTAACTTTTTATTTCATCTAACTCTGGCTATCCTTTGGCAGTTTGCTACTTCGCATATCCCTACTTGACCTTTTTTGGAGCAAATGCCTTTGTGAAGTCTTCCTAGAGTCTTCCAGGTGAGCATTAGTATGTCTAGCATATTGTATGTATTTGGCCTCCATAGCCCAAGCATAGTCCTTATTATACTGTATTCAGATCATTAGATGAGTTTGCCATCCTCACTGTACTAGAGAGTCTTTGAGTGGAGTGTTTGTTTCTTATTCATCTTTGTTTTCCCAGTAGCTACCACAAGACATACCACACTGTAAGTTTTCAATGAACGATCAGTAAATTAATGAATAAATAAATTAGAAGAGTCAAACTTTTTATACAAATGTTTGAATACTAATATAGTGTAACGCAGGATGGCAGAGAGGAGAGCATTGAAAGCCTTCAGAGGATTTAACATTGATTTGCTGGAATCATACTTGCCAAAATAGTTGGTCAAAAAAACAAGACAGGCAGGAAAATTTTTATAAGTCAGCCATGTGTATTCTAAAGTAAAATTAAATTCTCAGACTGGGAGTCTGAGGTGGGAGGATTGCTTAAACCCAGGAGTTTGAGGCCAGCCTGGGCAACACTGCAAGATCCTGACCTAAAACATTTTTTTTAAATAAATTTTCAGTAGAAGAGTATGGATAGTCTGATTTGCAGAGCAGGCTCCAAATTTCTGATGAGCCTTTTGAAATAGAAATCTGAAAGCTTTTACTACTGAACAAAATGAGAAATATCCAGAAATAGAGCCATGTCACACAGTATGGGTTCTTTAAAAATATTAAACATTTATAATTAAATTTTAGAATGGAAGTCTGGAGTGTGTCAGAAATTGATGGATTTATTGTAATAAAACTTCAAGGGGTTATAATTACTAAGACCCAGGAGGGATCAACACAGAGTCTTCTTATTAGGAAGCTCTTATTGGGAAGCTTCTGCATCTCCTCTAAGATTGAAGAAGATAGTGTGGTCACAAGTTAAATAGTGGTAATTTATCAAGAGTTCAGGGGATCACAAAATTTCACATTAGGTTAAAGCCAAAGAAAGAGAACTATAAAACTAGTAAACAACCATTTACATTTGACAGTTTTAGGAACAGATACATCTGAAGATTACTTGTTCATTCTTGACAGCTCAAAATGCTTACTTGGTTTGCATTAGATGGTCACCATGCTAGTTTTCTGTAATAGGCTGGCATTAGTATAATGAAACTCTTAAAATCTGAATGACAAAAGTTTATAAACGGGCACTAAGGAAAGCCTCTATATCATTAACAGACCATGCTTTCTAACACTAACATAACATTGTAAGTAACTCAAATGAAAAGCAATCAGAAATAGTTACTGAAAGCATTATCAAAATAACAAACATTGCCCCTAGGGACATATTTTTAAAAAACTCTTAGGCCCCACATTCTTCAGTTTATGAAGTGCCATATTTCTTCAAAAGGAAAAAGGATGGTCCATGGACCACTGCCAACTATAAAAGCCCCCAGGTCCCCATGACAGCCCCACAACTGCTTCAGACTCTTAAGTCCCAACTCTTTTTGGCCTATTTGAGACCAAATTTACCATTATCTACAACTTATCCCAATGCTTATCTGATTACAGTAGGAGTAAGACTAGAAACTATATGTTTAAAGCTAAAGAGTGTTTCCAAAAATATTTATTTGACTGAATGATTTAATATGCAGTTATGGTGTTTAATATATCATGTGTTATTTGTTTGTTTAAATACAGACATAACCCACAGTTATCTTGAACAAGAAACTACGGGGATAAATAAAAGTACGCAGCCAGATGAGCAACTGACTATGAATTCTGAGAAAAGTATGCATCGGAAATCCACTGAATTAGTTAATGAAATAACATGTGAGAACACAGAATGGCCAGGGCAGAGATCAACGAATTTTCAGATCATCAGTTCTTATCCAGATGATGAGTCTGTTTACTGCACTACTGAAAAATACAAGTAAGTGCTCACAGCCTTAGATTTAGAAGGAATTGGGGCCAGGCGTGGTGGCTCATGCCTGTAATCTCAGCACTTTGGGAGGACGAGGTGGGTGGATCACTTGAGGTCAGGAGTTCGAGACCAGCCTGGCCAACATGGTGAAACCCTGTCTCTACTGAAAATACAAAAATCAGCCAGGTGTGGTGGCACATGCCTGTAATCCCAGCTACTCAGGAGGCTGAGTCATGAGAATCGCTTGAACCTGGGAGGCGGAGGTTGCAGTGAGCTGAGATTGTGCCACTGTACTCCAGCCTAGGCAACAGAGCAAGATTGTCTGAAGAAAAAAAAAAAAAGAGAAAGTTAGAATTGGAAGAACTTTTTCTCCCTCCCTTCTTCCCTTTCTTCCTCTTTCCTTCTTTCTTTTTGGTGTTGGCTAATTCTAAACTTATTAGAACTTGGCGAATCTACCAGGGTTTTCTACTGTTTCCATGGTATGGATATAATATGTCTAGTTAACTAAGTGAAAAAGCACAAAGTGCATCTGAAGAAAGACAGGTTTAATTCTATTTTATTCAATATTATTTTCTGTGACCTTTCTTTATGTATTTGGAAATAACTGTTAAATTGATATACATGACATATCATTCATGAAAGTAAAAAACTGGCAGCTCCAGGACAAGGTAAGCCCAAACATGCATTTTGGTTTGGGTTAGCGCTATTTTTCATTTAAATGAATTTGATGCTTTTAAAAGGGCCTTGTTCTCTACCATTTGCATTCCTCATTATTTTACTTTCTCAGCTTTTACCCAGTAACCTTGCCTACCTAGCTCATGAAAGGATTTGAATTTGTGATACCTGATACTTCTACCCATGAGATTAAGGAACTTTGATAATTAGTCATGTGCTAGAAAAATATTATTAGATTTAAAAAGAAGTTTCAGTGACTAATATATTTTCAGTCTAGACAAAATAATATTTTGCAGCATACTATTTTTAACAGATTTTTGCATAGGAACTTTTATTCTACTTTCAAATTATTCAGTAGATATGTTAATAGATAGTAACATATAATGAAATAGATGTATTGATATGTTCCCATCCCTTTTTCAGATTCTTACTAAGGTGTAGGTTGGAGTCCCTTTTGAGGAGTAGAAGCACAGAAGAATGAAGTAGGGATAAACATTTTATAACCACATGGGTAAAGTAAATAGTAGAGATTGGGCTAAAGTCAGATTATGAGATATCTAGCATAATTACAACAGGAGATGTACGTGGTAAATAGAGCTGCACTGACTGTCCCAGCCGTCACTAAATTTCTTCTTAGTGACTCCAAAATTTACCTGTGCTTACAAATTTAATATAAGGCCTTCAAAAAAACAGCCCATCTCTTTTCCTTTCCCTTCCTTTATGGTGTTTGCTTACAAGTTGATACTGTTCTCAAGTAGCATACAAAATGTCAAAAAATTAGTTTATCTTACTCTGAAATGTTAATCAGTTTCTTTATTACAGCGTTATGGAACATAGACATAATGATATGCATTATGAATGTATGACTCCTTGTCAAGTTACTTCAGACTCAGATAAAGAGAAGACAATAGCATTTCTTCTAAAAGAATTGGATATTCTCAGAACAAGCAATAAAAAGGTATAATATGGAAAGTCTGATAATTGTATAGTATGGGTTTAGCTGTTGATCTTCTAAATTTCCTTTGTTGCCCATCATAATTCAGTTTTATTTTGCACTTTAATCATTTAACAGTAGCTTTATGTTTTTGCCATACCTTGCCATCAGGGTATGGTTGAGTTAAGGGGTTGAAAATGAAAGCATTTTTTTGATTTCATACCTTGCTGGTCCACATTAGCACTTCCTTTTTCATAAGCCCCTGGTTCCTTGTATACATATCTTTAAAAAAAAAGATTCAAGTTTTAGTAAAACTCTGCTTCAGTATTATAGAGAATGGGAGATAGAATGCACTGGTTTCATGTTACTATCTTAATTTTTTTTTCTTTATTAGTATCCATGCCCTATATTTGACCTCAATAATACATGTAATTAAACATTTCAGTAGCAAGGCTTGGCAATATTGTCATTTACCTTGTGTTAATCTTATACTGCTGCATTTTGTCCAGTCCAATTTGTCACGTTATGTTTTATCTTCTGTTCTGACTCTTATTCTAGTTATAGTCATGTGATCATTAAATAATTTTATTAAATAATGTGCATTTTCTGTGTCTTCTTTTTTTTTTAACCTCTACATACTGCTCTGATTTTAATATTCTAGTTGTGTAACCTAATCAAACTGAAGCATGATGTTAGGAATGTTGATCATGTTTGGAGGAAAACAACTAAAATGACAAAAACCTAGGGAGGAATTAAAAAAACATGTGGAGGGATTCTGTATGAGATGTTTTCTGTACTTTCATTTAGCAGTTATTTATTACATGCCACTTATGAGTCAGGTGTCAGTGTCAATTTAAATGGAATATGATGGGGTAGTATTCTCAAAGGGAGATTTGTATCAGATATTAAGATTATTGTCTTAATTTTGTTTCAGAATATTGGATTTACTAAGATAAACTGTAAAGCAGTGCTATCTGTTATTTTATTAGGCAAATCCCTTCCAAATATTTTGCATTAAGAAAAAAGGATGAATGAGACTGCTTTTGCAGTAGTCATTATTATTATTATTTTTTTTGAGATGGAGTTTCACTCTTGTTGCCCAGGCTGGAGTTCAATGGCGCGATCTCAGCCCACTGCAATCTCCGCCTCCTGGGTTCAAGCAATTCTCCTGCCTCAGCCTCTCGAGTAGCTGGGATTACAGGTGCCCGCCACCACACCTAGCTAATTTTTTGTATTTTTAGTAGAGACGGGGTTTCATCATGTTGGCCAGGCTGGTCTCAAACTCCTGACCTCAGGTGATCTGCCCACCTCGGCCTCCCAAAGGGCTGGGATTACAGGCGTGAGCAACCACATCTGAACTGCAGTAGTTATTTTTAAGAATAATGTTGGTCCTCTGAATTTAATTTGCCTGTTCATGCACATATACACATAAATTAAGTGTATATTGGGATGTTTTTACAATTTCTGTATAACTACAGGTAATTATTACTTTATAAATAACTTAAATTTTAAATTTTTTTCTGGAGTTATCTATCTAGGAAGTTAAATATAATATAAGAATTAAGAAAAAACCAAAAACTTTGAAATTAATTATATTTTTGCAAGACATTTGTCAAATAAGAATCCATGATTTTTTTCAATGTGCTTTAGCTTCAGCAGAAATTGGCTAAAGAAGATAAAGAACAGAGAAAACTAAAGTTTAAGCTGGAACTCCAAGAGAAAGAAACAGAAGCTAAAATTGCTGAAAAGACAGCAGGTATAGTAGAGGAGTATTAACACATGGCTTGAAGAATCACACACAAGGTTATTATATGATGTATCTTGGTGAATACTAGCATACTGGCTTATTTGCCAAAGGAGGGGAAGCTCTCCTTTTTTTTTTTTTTTTTTTGGCTGCTTAGAAAATAGGTGGCTTTAACATCCTGGTACTGGTATTAGTGAGAGCTTTACCTGTATTCATACTGATTTGGGCATTAAATGCATTGTTAACACCATGTCAATCCAATCACAAAAAGGTTGTTTGTTTTGTTGGAAGGGGCTGAACAAACAAGGGGAAATAATGATTACCAGTGCCTCTACCTTTCAACCAGCAGTTCAAATACCACTTATTGTTTTAGCTCGTTGAGAGGAAATACTTCTCCTTTGTATGAAGATAGTCACATATTCATTGCCAATGGAAACCTACATTTGATTAAAAAATCTGTTTTGTGCAATTAATAAGTTTTCATCTGATGACGTAGACGCTAATAGAGGTAATATTTTCCCTGAGATTAAAGTGAAAGGTTGCCAAACTTTCAGATTATGAATGATTACCTTAAATATATTCTGGAGTCTATGTTTACTCACAGGTCTTTGCAAGCAGAAATTTTTAAATGTATTTTTGATATGTTATAGATACAATGAAATGATTCACAATAGTCTATGATCTCCATCTGTGTATGCCACTGTGAATGTATCTCTCACATTGTTTTAGTATGTTAAGGAAAGAGAAATTTCATGGAGTAATAGACATTAGCATTCAGAGCCATTTTAGATATCACTGATTTTTAACATTTTTATATCATTTGGAATGCTTTTAAGAAGCAATTGAATTTTGTGATTAGTCTGAGGTCATAATCATGCTTTACAAGTCACTTAATGGGATTACATAGGTGAAAGAATTATTTTAGGTCAGAAATATGATTAACTAGGAGAGCTTGCTTTAAAATATGATTGTGGAAAATAGAACTAAACATTGCTATGAAAATATAACAAAGATGACCATAAATAAATACACCAGCTGAATACTAGATAGTTGCTTTTCTGTTAATGTTAAACTACCGTAATGTTTTTATTTTTGTGTGTGGGAAAATATGAAAGTAACATATTTTAAGGAAAATTAATAGTTTGTTAAAAATAAGCATTTCAAATATAAATTTTGAACAATTTGGCAATTTCTTGGCTTTTTATAATCATGTATAAATATACTAATTTTTAGGATACTATTAGAAGAAATTTGTTTTGGATACTCTTACAAGAATTTTGATGCATTTGCATAATGTTAACTTTGCATATGTCTTACAGAAATAATTTAATAAGATTAGGGTTTTCATAACCTATTGATAATCATGAATTAATGTGTCTGCCCAGCCCATTTATCTCTTGGAGGGGAAACCTAATTAAGCAATAATATTTACTCTTTAATTTTTTTTATAATGTAGCTAAGCAGATACTTTACATATTTATTTATTGGTATATATTTAAGTGTTCCCATTTGAACAGTTTGAATCAGGCATTCATAACATGGAAATAATTTGATTACTTTGTTATATTTCTCATTAATAACAAAATATTATATTAATAAATGTCAATTATTTAAAAGATGTTTAATAAAATATTTATAGCATTCTAAATTGATGAAAATAACAGTGTTATTTAGTTTCTCTGGAACAAAACAATCTAGTTAAAAGAGATATGTCCAACCATTTGCTTATAAAAATGACACAAAATGAAAATTCCCAAAGTTGTTTTAAGGGATAAATTTTCAAAGTATATCTTTCCTCTTTAATATTTTACTTCTATCTCATTTTAAGAAGAGACTTAAAGTATTTTTCCTATAACATTAGAAAGAATTATTGTTATTATGTCAAAATAATATGAATTGCTGAAGAAATTCATTGGTTTAAAACAACAAAAAATTTGGTAACTGACCCTTTCTTTGGTGGACTTTTGAACCTTTTCATATTTTCCCATTTTATGTATGGTCTTAATAAACTTGTCTTAAATAAACTTATTTTCTATCTGATGAATAGGAGGTACAGTCAAAAAGCAAAACAGAACAACAAAAACTACCTTGTCAGTATCTTAATAGAAAAAAGAGCAGTATAGGACTATGATGACATCTAATGAATTCTTTATTTCTTGTAATGTGAAAGAACAAATAATCCACATATGCATGGATGTTTGTTTCTATGACTGCTCATTTTTATATTTGAAATAAAAAGTGTATTTGGCAAAATATGTTATAAGCACGCACACATACATAAGTATTATAACGTAGTTAAGCAGAATATATATGTTTAAAAAGATCAAACCATTTCACAATAAAAGAAATACTTATAAAAACATCTGAACTAAACATTGGAAACAGCAAATAGGAGACAATCTGTCTATAGATTTTAAAAATAAAATGTTAATTAAAATATGAGGTACCCTAAGGAAATAGTAGGCATTTTCTTAGAGTATGTAAAATATAGAGATTTATATTTAAAGATATTCATATAATATTAGTTGCAATAGCAAGAAAATTAAAAACAGTCTAACCATAAGGGAATTATTAAATAAGTTATGATACATTTATAATTTGAGACATTTTGTAATAATTAAGAATATTTGAGGATATGAGAAAAACTTCATAACTATTAAGTGAAATAGGGGAAAAACTATAGTATGATTTTATAAAAATAAAAATATACATACATGTATATTATATAAAATAAGAGGCAAATGTTGGTGGTCTTTAAGTGAAACTATTGATTTTTCAGTGAACAGTTTCTGCCTTTTTCAGATTTTCTATAATGAGCATAGATTTAGTGTTAAAAAAAAACATTGCTTTCAAAAGATGTGATTTTTTTTTTAGAAATTACTTGCACTCTAATCTTAAAATTTGAGACATAAAGACTCTATGGTTTTATGAAAACCATATGATGGCTGTGATCCAGTTTTGCCATTTTTTACCCACACCCTTTTTTTAGTCTTTCAGCTTTTCCTTGTATTTATTTTTATATATTTATGTTTATTATGTATCTATATATATATTAGTCCATCTTGTCTTCCAAGGTGATTGTATAATTTAGAAGAATCTGGTACAGTCAAGACCACATAAAACAAAAGATGTCCAGTTCTCTGTAGGCAGTTTGGAGCAATTGGGAAGACCAAAATCCTTAGAGTCACATTGATCCAGGTTCAAATTACAGCTTGGATACTTGATATTGATTCTCTACCGTTGGGCACGTTTTTTAGCCTCTTTGGGTTTATCTTCTCCGATGTAAAATGTGAATATTAACCAACTTACCAGATTATTTTAAGGATTAGTGTTAATATATGTAAGGACATGGTATATAACTAGTACTCAGTAAGTTGTGTCTCAAATTAATATTATTTTATTGCTTTTACGTTTATGAAATTCTTAAATCTTTGATGTCATCATTTCCAGCAGTTATGAAAAGACATTTTATTGTTTGGCTTTTAATTAAAAATTAATGGGTTACTGTTAATAGATTTTGAAAGGGCACTAAACTGAAAAATGGACAAGCAAAAGAAGAAACAAAGTATTGGATTATTAATAAAATCACAGTTGAGATATAGATATTTAATATCACTAATACATTTTACTCAAATGTGAATTCAAAATAAAAGAAATGAGATGCAAAAGATTTCAGCTTTTCTGCAATATGTACCTATGATAAACTTTCATGTAGACTGTTCCTTAGCTTCAAGTCTTTTTCCTTTGTTTCCCCACTGGTTTTTTCATAACACAAATCTGTTATTCTAATGTGATTTTATGATAGTTTGAAACTCAGCTCTGTCCCCTATCATGTTAAAATCTCTGATGGTTGACTACCTTTCTTTTCCTTTCTCACATCACCATCATTACTGTCATTGTCACCATCATTGATACTGTTTATTAAGCACTTAAATGTTTCAGAGGAACTATGCTTACTTCTTTACAAATCAAACAAATATTTATTGTGGACTCATTATGTTCTAGGCACTGTGTTAGACACTGAATATAGATCAGCATATAAGACAGATTTGGGATCTCAGGCATTTTTTTGCCTGGTATTACTTCTCAATCATAATACACCATACATGTTGTAAGTAGTGGTTAAATGCGCAGACTTGGGATTCAGACCTTTGTTCTAATCTTTTTGACACTTATCATGTGTAATGACAGCCTCACTAAGCATTAGTTAAAAATCTACTATAGGTTGTTGTGATGCTTAAGTGAGATAATGTTTACGAAGTGCTTAACCCATAGAAGGCACTCAATAAATAATAATTATGATGATAAGATGATGATGTAACCATCTTGTTTTCTCAAGACTTCTTCATCTAATAGAGGACATACTCAAAGTGTTCCTAATTGTGTGGTTATGTAAATTACTATCCCATACTAATTATATAGATAAGTATGGGATAGCTATTTATATATGGTTTTGTTTCACAAGGAATTGATTGTTTATTTCTTTTGTTAAAATAGTTTACAAAGAATTTTTATTTATTATTTAATTTGATCCTCAGTTTTGAGTTTTCCTAGATTTTTAGAATTAACCTTATTTCAAAAGTGTGCAAATATTTTTTTAAAATTTAAAATCTCTAAAAAAAAGTTAAAATGTGTAATAAATAATTCTTATTTAGTCTTAGGAAAGCTGAAATGACCATCTCACTCCTTATGTGTTAATGATTTACTTCACTGTAGCTGTTTAAGACTTTTTACTGAGTTTTAGCTCATTAAATTATACATGTGGGTAATATTATTTGAAAATTGTATGAATGACCTTCAAATACTAGGGGATGTTTTAGAGAAGCAGAGGAGAAACATTGCATTTTTGTTCTTTGAGTATGTATCTCTTCTCACCTAAAAAAAGTCATTAAAACACA
Source organism: Homo sapiens (assembly GCF_000001405.40). Classification (NCBI taxonomy): domain Eukaryota; kingdom Metazoa; phylum Chordata; class Mammalia; order Primates; family Hominidae; genus Homo; species Homo sapiens. The sequence goes on from NC_000014.9 coordinate 37,275,412, forward strand.
AGCATTTTAAAATTTATTTTAGTTAAATTGAGTTTAACAATGAGACATAGTATGCTATGGCCTGATTTGCATCCATTAATTTGCTCTTATATCAGTGATGATGTGTTTTTATGCCTTTTAAAAATAGCTTGTTCAATTAAACCTTTCATTTTTCCTAAACAGTCACAGTGGGCATTATCTAGTGTTTTTGTTTCTTTAATTTTTGTTATTCTATTAAATTCTATTCTATTGCTTTTATAGTATGCAGATGATGCTTGAATTTTACGTAAAAGTATTTAAATAGTGTTTTATATGTTATTTTGTGATATTTAAAATATTTGTATTTCTTTAAAAGCCTTATTTTTCTATTTCTTAAAAGCTCACTTTAGAGCCTCTGCTTTATATGTTAGTTATTTTTCTTTCTTGCATGTCATCCATTAAAGATTAGCTGTGGAAGGTTGGAGCATGGAGAGATTATGAATGACAGAACAACTCCTGTAGAATAATAATCAGTTTTTGGTATTTAATGCTGTTTGACTTTTGCAGACACATTTCTTATTAACCTTTGGTACAAAGAGAAATCCAGGTTCCTGATATCTCATGGAGAAGATGAATTTGAGATCCTCTTCCAATTAAACTGAAATAAAGCCAATATTAGGTTTTAGCCAAAAGAACTCCTTAGTTCCTAAGTCTTGTGTTTTTAAGTCTCTCCCTTTCTCTCTCTCTATTATCTAATCTATCTTACTGCATTTTAACATGTAATTCAATGGTTACATAATTTGCTTAGCTTACTTGTACTGATGATGCAAGCATTTGATTTTTCTCTTTAAACATAGATTTCTTTCTCTGCATGCAAATTTAGACTGATATTTTGTAAATTAAAAAAATATGTTGTCAATATATTTTTTATTACAGAGAATGTTTATTTTCTTTTGGTAGAGAGAAGAGGAGTTTAATTGTGATTGTTCAAAGGATCAGTCACAGAATCCCTGAAACTTACAACTTAAGTTTTTCTATTCAGGTTAAAATGTAAAGGGTAAAAATATAGATTTGTAATCTACCATTATAGCAAGTATATCAAGACACCCCAGTGGATTAAAATGGGAAAAAATTATATTATAGAAAATGTTTACATTATTCTCTTGTAAAAAGATTATCTGTTACTATGTATCATATCTCAGATGATGTTGACCATCTAATTAAGAGGAACAAGAGTTAATTTTCTTTACCAGAACAGAAAATGGCATAACTTTTATCTTTAAGAAATAGTACATATTGGAATCTAATTTTTCTGTGTATATAATGGGCATCAATAAAATGTGATAGCCTTTAACCTAATACTTGAATGCCTTAATAGTATTAAATTATAATGCTACATTAAATTTATATTTGTATTTTTTTAATTTGAAAAGAAAAAGGATTTCAAGAATATGAACACTAATTTCAGATAAGAACATGAAGGCCCATGTCTGTGAAACACAGCAGGTAGAAATATTGATAGACTATTGATTATATTACTGTCTTTGGCTACAGAATTCTATGGATATGAATCAGAATGAATTCTGACGAGTGCCAGGTCAAATAATACTTGAGGAAAGAATATAACCAATTTGTATCCTTGCTTCCTAGAAAAGTTTGGTTTTTTTCTGGAAAAGCAATAAAATTGGAGTAGATGGAGGATCCATTATACATAAGAATAGCCAACAGCTGGAAATATTTTATTGGGTTTAACATACAATGGACTTTAGCATAATGTCAAGCCTTTGAAAATATATGTAATTAAGGTATTTAAAACATAAAAATAACAAAAATAAAACTTTTCAGAAAGTTATCTAAAGACTTTTTCACACGTCTAATGATTCTAAAGAGGAAATGAGATTAGAAAATGTTTAGATAGCAGTTATATTTCAAAGAATTTTCATATTGGTATCAAATTTAAGGCTGATAGTCTGTTTAGTAAATAAAAATTTTTTAAGTTATATTTCAAAAGACATACAATTATCAGTACTGATTTTAATGCTTCAGGGATAAACTTTTCTCTTTCACATTGGAAAAGGTAGCTCCAATATCACATATATTAAATCTTTGAATGTAAGCATAGAGCATATTTTCAGAAAACTTTTTTAATATAGTCTTTGAGTTTTCTGTAGTAAATACATGTGTATAGTAATCGAGGGTTTTTTAAAAAATGCTTTTGATTCATTGTCTTGCTACTGAAACATACTATTTTGCATAATTTTCAAATTAATTTTGAACACTTCCTGTACTGATGCTGAGTGTATAAATTTACAGCAACTTTACAGGGGAAAATTTGACAATATATATTAAGAGCTTTAAAAGCTGACTTTTAATCTAGCCATCATACTTCTAGTAATTTTCTTAAGTAATTAGGTGTGTATATACATAAAGATGTGTATACAAAGATATCCATTACAGTGTTGTTTATATAGCCAATAGTTGGAAATGGTGTACAATCTAATATTAGGAGCATCTTAGTTGAATCACATATAGCATGTCCAAATGATAAAATTTCACCTGCTATTTTATATTTTTTAAGAATACTGAAGAATATAGGAACATATGCTGCTTATTTTAATTACAGGGTTACAAAGCTATACTAAATATTTTTCTCCTTTAAATTTTTATGAGTTTGTACTACTGTTTAATCAGAAAAAGTTATTTACAAAGTAATTGTATAAAATGTTGCAAAGTCCAGTTTTAAAAAAACAAATAGTCTGGTCTATGAAAGAAGTTCTGGAGTAATAAGTTGAATTCAGCATTGTTATGCCAAAAACAGAAACATCGAACTAATTTGAGTCGGTTTTGGTTAATTTTCTACTGGTGTGGGGCATCTACCATCTATTTTAAAATTTCCAATAGCCAGTTTATGCAAAGAAGGAAAAATTACAATTATTAAGGAAATTAAAATATATAATGTTTGTAGTTCTAGAATATATATGTGGTGGTTTTATAAATGTTAATTGTTCTCATATTTGCAAGAAATGAATTTAACATCATTATAAGTCTTCTCCAGATGGTTATTTCTCATGTAAAACTAATGGTAGATATTCATAGAATTTGAGATTCTTTCATATGTAGTAAAGTCTGGTCTTTTACAAAATTATTGTGTATATTATATTGCTTAGAATTTTCCAACATGAATTATTATCCAGTTATTTAATATGTTTAAAATCCTAATGATTTCTTTTTCCTTCTTTTTAATTTAGCCTTTTATATTTACATAACTACCATAAGATGTTAACAGATGGATTCTTTTTCCTGTGAAATGTCTATCCTCCCAATTATGTTATTTAGAGAATCATGAGCCAGTGTTTAAACTAGAATGTTATCCAAGGTACTGTCTCACTCGTACTGTATTTTAAAAGTAGTTTGAAAAGTGTGGAATATGGATTTGCCAATAGACTTGGGTCTACTAAGAAAATATGTACTCTGCCTTGACTCAATAAACTCATACTTAGTGTGGTTCAGCTTCTTCATATTTACTCTTGCCCATATTAGAAAACAATTAGCTTACTAAACAAATTTGAGTATTTGGTTGAGGGGGGTACGGGTGATCCTCTCTGAATCTTTCTCATTTGACTAAGAATTATAGGATATTTGATAACCGTGTTTAAAAATGGAGATATCCAAATATTATTGTAAACACCCAATGATTTGTTTTACCTACAATATAAGTATTTTACTTGGTTGGCTTACATAGTAGCTAATAATATTTGTTAATGTAATTTAACTGCTGTGAACCTTTACTGAACAAATATTGAAATTTATTCAAGTCAAAGAAAGAGAATCTCTAATGACTTTTGTTAAAGCTTCTATTTAACAGTTAAGGAGAAAAGTTTGTATGACATACGAGATGCAATTAACAGTAGATTTTACATTTAATAAAAAGAAAGAAGCATGCGTATTTGCTTTATTCATTCCATCATAATTTGCATTAGAGCTGTGGGTGTTTAATGAGCAAATTCCAACTAAAATGCTATATTGATTTTCTAGTGAACTTTGTTATAGTCATCTACCTTGGAAAAGCTCAGTGTTTACAATTAAGTTTTCTTTACTAAAAATGTTTGAGAGTTGCATATTGATCCTTCAAAAGTACTGAATTCCAGAATCAGGATTTTTTATAACCAACAAATTTCACATCTAACCTAATAGATGTTAAAAATTATCATGCAGTAAATACCTTAATTTTGGTTTTGAGGGTTTTTTTGTTTTATTTTTAATTGACAAATAATAATCGTATATATTATTCCCTTAATTGATGTATGATTTGCAAATTTATGAAGTGCAATGTGATGTTTCAGTACATGTACATACATTGTGAAATGATCAAATCAGTCTGATTAACGTATTCACCACCTCAAATACTTACTGTTTCTTGGTGATAAGGACATTTAAAATGCATTATTTTAGCTTTTTGAAATATACATTACTCTTCATTATAAGTCACCTTGATGTGTAATAGATCACCAGAACCTATTCCTCCTGTCTAACTGAAAATTGTATTTTTTGACCAATATCTCTTCTTTCCTCCTCCACCCTCATCCCCAGCCTCTGGTAGCTATTGTTCTACTCTTTACTTATGTGAGTTCCACTTTTTTAGATTCCACATATGTGAGATCATGAGGTATTTGTCTCTCTGTGCTTGGCTTATTTCGCCTAGCATAGTGTCCTCTAGGTTTATCCACGTTGTTGCAAATGACAGAATATCCCTTCTTTTTTTCAGCTTTTCCAGCTGAAAAACCTGAATCCTAGCTTTTAAAGGCTGTATTGTATTCCATTGTACCACATTAAAAAAACTCATTTATCTATTGTTTGGCACTTCAGTTGTTTCCATATCTTGGCTATTGTGAGTAATGCTGCAGTGAACATGGGAGTGTAGGCATCTCTTTAACATACTTCTTTCGACTCCTTTGGATACATACCTGGAAGTGGAACTGCTGGATCACATGGTAACTCTACTTTTAGTTTTTTGTGGAACCTCATACCGTTTTCCAAAATGGCTGTAGTAATTTACAATACCACCAACATTGTGTAATGGTTTGCTTTTCTCCACATCCACACCAACACTTGTTATCTTTCGTGTTTTTGATAATAGCCAATCTAACGGGTGAGATGATAGCTCATTGTGATTTTAGTTTGCCTTTCTTTGGTGATTAGAGATGTTAAGCTTTCTTTATATAACTGTTAACCATTTGTGTGTCTTTTTTTGAGAAATATTTGTTAGGTTCTTTGCCCATTTTTATTTATTTTATTTTATTTAGTTTTGAGACTGAGCCTCACTCTGTCGCCCAGGCTGGAGTGCAGTGGCACGATCTTGGCTCACTGCAACCTCCACCTCCTGGGTTCAAGTGATTCTCATGCCTCAGCCTCCCAAATAGCTGGGATTACAGACGCATGCCACCAGGACTGGCTAATTTTTGTATTTTTAGTAGAGACAGGGTTTCATCATGTTGGTCAGGCTAATTGTTATTGAATAGTTCGAGTTCCTTGTATATTTTTGGTATTATTCTTTTCATTAATGTGTCATTTGCAGATATTTTCTCCTACACTGTAGGTTGTCTCATTATTGTTTTCTTAACTGTGCAGACGCTTTTTAATTTGATGCAATCCTATTAGTCTTTTTTTACTTTCACTGCCTGTGCGTTTGGGGTCATATTCAAGAAGTCTGTGTCTAAACCAATGTCATGGAACTTTCCCCCTGTGTTATCTTCTAGTAGTTTTATAATTTCCAGTTTTATGTTTTAGTCTTTAGTGCATTTTAAACTGATTCTTGAATAAGGGATGAGATGATGCCTATTTTTATTCTGCATGTGGATATCTAATTTTCCCAGCACCATTTATTGAAGAGATTGTACTTTCTCCATTGTGTGTTCTTGGCACTTTGTTGAAAATCAGTTGACCATAATTGTGTGGATTTATTTCTGGCTGCTCTATCCTGTTCCATTGGTCAGTGTGTCTTTTTATGACAATACCATGCTGTTTTTTTGTTGTTTTGTTTGGTTTGGTTTTTTTGAGAAGAGTCTTGCTCTGTCGCCCAGGCTGGAATACAGTGGCACGATCTCAGCTTACTGCAACCTCCGCCTCCCAGGTTCAAGTGATTTTCCTGCCTCAGCCTCCTGAGTAGCTGGGATTACTGGCACGCACCACTATGCCCAGCTAATTTTTGTATTTTTGGTAGATATGGGGTTTTGCCATGTTGTCCAGGCTGGTCTCGAACTCTTGACCTCAGGTGATCCACCCGCCTTGGCCTCCCAAAGGGCTGGGATTACAGGCATGAGCCACTGCACCTAGCCATCATGCTGTTTTGATTACTCTGGCTTTGTGATATATTTTAAATGGTAGTTGCTTAAAATTGCTTTGGCTGTTTGGGGTCTTTTGTGATTCCATATGAATTTTAGATTGTTTTTTCTATTTCTATTTCTGTTCCTATTTCTGTGAAGAATTACAGTAGAATTTTGATAGGGATTGCATTGAATCTTTAGAGTAATACCTTAATTTGAAAAACATTCTTATCATTTATAAATTCTATAACCAGATTTTATGTGTTTGTGCATGTGTGTTTTCTGGCATTTAAATTTTAACCTTAGAATACATAAATGGTAATGTCCTTTAAATGCACATATACATCTTTGGATTTGAAGTAGCATTAAAAAAAAAGTGTTTTCTCTTGATCACACAGGACCAAAGAAGCCCTCTGTATATAACACTTAAAACTAAAAGAGCATTTCAAAATTTTTCTGAAGTTTATTTTGTAGTTTGACAGTATAAATAAAATTTGGTTCAGCGATTCAGGTATTTGAGGCCCTCTTTGTCTAATATTGCAGTAATATTATTATTATTATTATTATTATTATTATTATTTAAGATGGAGTTTCGCTCTCGTGCAATGGCGTGATATCGGCTCACTGCAACCTCCACCTCCTTGGTTCAAGCGATCTCCTGCCTCAGCCACCTGTGTAGCTAGGATTGCAGGCATGCACCACCACATTGGATCCCTGCCCAAGGATTGTTGCAGATTAATATACAGTTAATCAAGATAGTTATTAGGCCCAGCATGGTAGCTCACACCTATAATCCCAGCATTTTGGTAGGCCAAGGTGGGAGAATCACTTGAGCCCAGGAGTACGAGACCAGCCTGGCCAACACAGTGAGACCTTGTCTCTACAAAAAAATAAAAATTTGGTAGGCCAAGGTGGGAGAATCACTTGAGCCCAGAAATTTGAGACCAGCCTGGCCAACTTGGTGAAACCCCGCTGGAGCCTGGGAGGTAGAGGCTGCAGTAAGGTGTAATTGTGCCACTGCACTCAGCGTGGATGACAGAGCAAGACCCTGTCTCAAAAAAAAAAAAAAAAAAAAAAAGAAGGTAGTTATGATTTATTTCTTAATTGTGAGTAGTGGAAAAGTGGTGGTAGAGTATTCAGCATGGATCTAATTAGCCAGTCAGTTCACACCCTGGGCTAGATGGCATAAAATTTCATTACACTACTCAAAACAATATGTAATTTAAAACTTATGAACTGTTTATTTCTGAAGTGTTTCACAATGTTTTCAGACTATGAATAACTGAAACCATGGAAAAAGGAACTACAGATAAAACGGGACTACTGTATCAATTCCTCATGCTGTTTTTTTGTTTTTGATGTTGCTGTTTGTTTGTTTGTTTGTTTGTTTGTTTTGAGAGTCTCATTCTGTTGTCCAGGTTGGAGTGCAATAGCGAAATCTCTACTCACTGCAACCTCCACCTCCCGGGTTCAAGCGATTCTCCTGCCTCAGCCTCCTCAGTAGCTGAGATCACGGGTGCCCGCCACCACATCCAGCTAATTTTTTGTATTTTTAGTAGAGATGGGGTTTTGCCATGTTGGCCAAGCTGGTCTCAAACTCCTCACCTCAGGTGATCCACCTGCCTCGGCCTCCCAAAGTGCTAGGATTACAGGTGTGAGCCACCACGCCTGGCGCCTCATGCTGTTTTGAAAGAGCCACTGCACCCAGCCAATATTTTTGATAAACTATTATTAATATAATTGTGGTATGCAGCATACAATATAGAATGGATTCTGAATAATTTCTCTTTCAGTCTCTTACATAATTTTTGCCTGCCAATGAAAAAGGCTAAAAATTGAGGAATTTTGACTTAGATTTTTAATATGTAAGCAGTACAAATTAATCAAAACCACATTATTAATATGTCTAGGAGTTAAGTCACATTGTGCGTCTGTGGTTTGAGTATGGTTACTGTAGTGGTAGAATGGAACTAACATTTGTTGATGATCCACTGTATTTTATTTATTCGGCCAAGAGCTTTCATATATTTTCTAATTTAATTTTTCATAACATCATGAATAGTGGTATTTTACCCATTTTATATACCTGAACTTCAACTAAAATAATTTAAGAAATTAACACAAACAAGCTTGCTAACCTTTAGTACCTTAAATCACAGTTAAAACTCATATTCTTCCATACACCATACTGTTTTCCATACTATGCAAGATACACCATGTTGGTTTCTCCAAGCTGTTATTATTGCCCTTACTGGACGGATATTCTGTAGCACTTTGGCCTCCCAAAGTGCTGGGATTACAGGTGTGAGCCACCATGCCCAGCCCACATTGCAGTAATGTTTTAAAAATTATGTAAGATTTCAAACATACAAACAATAAAATTATGCCTAAGAAATGATAATTTTAGATAACATTAAACCTCCTGATATAGTGCTGCAAAAATCTAGATGATGCCATTTGTATTAAAATCTATATCAACAGTGCCCCCTGCTCTGTGCAGATGTGCACTACTATAACAGCACAGCATTGTCCTATTTTATTCTTCCCTTACCCATTTTCTTTTCTCCCCTTCCACCTTCCCACTGAGATGATTACTATTTTGAATTTTGTGTTTATACTTTCCATGATCATTGTATTATTATTATTTTTATTTATGTATTTATATTTTTGAGACTGAGTCTCACACTGTTGCCCAGGCTGGAGTGCAGTGGTACAATCTTTGTTCATTGCAACCTCCGCCTCCTGAGTTAATGCCATTCTCCTGCCTCAGCCTCCTGAGTAGCTGGGATTACAGGTGCCCACCACCATGCCTGGCTAATTTTTTGTATTTTTAGTAGAGACGGGGTTTCACCATGTTAGCCGGGATGGTCTCGATCTCCTGACCTGGTGATCCACCTGCCTCGGCCTCCCAAAGTGCTGGGATTACAGGCGTGAGCCATTGTGCCTGGCCTGCTCATTGTATTGTTTTTACTAATTGTGTCTATTCATAAATAGTTGGTAGAGTTGCTTTACTTTGAAACTTGCTATTTTTGTCAGCATTTTGTTTTTGAGATTTGTCCATTTGTCCATAGTCAAGTCATTTTAAATGCTGGGTAGTATTCCATTCTGAATGTAATTTATTTATTCCTGTTAATGTTGATGGACATTTGGGTTATGCCTAAGCTTTTGCTATTATAAGCAATGCTACAGTAAGTATTTTTATACATGTTTACATTTACATATGTGCATGAATTTCTCTAGGCTATATACCAAAGAGGGGATTTGCTAGCCTAGGCCTGTCTTCAACTTCAATAAACATTGCCAAATTGCTCTTCAGATGGTTGTAGAAATATATCTGCCTATCTGCAATATGTGTGAGAGTTTTCTTTATTTCACAGGCTTACAACATTTGCTATTATCAGACCTTTAAATTTTTGCTTTAAATTTTTTAGGGGTATGAAGTGGTATCCCAGTTTTGCAGTACCTATTATTAAAAATAATATTTTATGAATTGATTGATTGATATTAATTCAGTTTATTGAGTAGTCCTTACAGTAATAATTACTTATGGCTTTTATTTTTGCTAAAGGTATACATTTGTCCTTTATTTTGTATGATTGATTGTGCGCTTTATATATTTTGGTAGCTCTGGTTGAAGAAGTGTATTTTGCGCAGAAGGAACGTGATGAAGCTGTTATGTCTAGACTGCAATTAGCCATTGAGGAGAGAGATGAAGCAATTGCACGAGCCAAGCATATGGAAATGTCTCTAAAAGTGTATGTACACATTTAAAACTCAGTATGATATTAGGAACACTTATAAAAGGCATGCTTTAGGTGGTAGTTACATATTTAAAAATGTGACTTATGCTTATGTGTTACACTAGGAAATTGCATGTCTCCAGTCTTTTTCTTTTTTTCTTTTCTTTTTTTTTTTTTGAGACGGAGTCTTGCCCTGTTGCCCAGGCTGGAGTGCAGTGGCGCAATCTCAGCTCACTGCAACCTCCGCCTCCCGGGTTCAAGTGATTCCCCTGCCGCAGCCTCCCAAGTAGCTGGGACTACAGGCGCCTGCCACCAAGCCTAGCTAATTTTTTTTTACTTTTAGTAGAGATGGGGTTTCACCACATTAGCCAGGATGGTCTCGAACTCCTGACCTTGTGATCTGCCCACCTTAGCCTCCCTCAGTGCTGAGATTAGAGGCATGAGCCACCGCGCCCGGCCTCTCCAGTCTTTTTCTAAAACCTTTGGCATGCTAGTTTGCCTGTCAGGAATAGCAGTCAGTTTAAAAAAAGAAAGAAAGAAATGCACATCACTCTCAATACAATTACTTTCTTTATTTCTTCATAGTTTTGTTGTTTCTTCATATGTGACTCCTCTTTTTATTATCTCCTCTTCTCCTCATTATCACTTTTAAAATTCATTTCAGCTATCTGAGTCTTTCACTGCTCTCTGCTTAATATCCCTGTTCCTGTTCTTTACTGCTTTTTACTTGCAGTTTTTTTAGCTTTGTTTTTTAAATGTGAGTGATACTTGAATAGGGTGGAGCCTAAGAATCTACATTTTTTAAAGCAACCCAGGTGATTCTGATAGGTAGATGATGGACTACACTTAGAGAAACAATGCCCTAGAAATATGTACTTTTCAAATTCTAATGTACAATCTGACCACTTGGGAGATCTTGTCAGAGTGCAGATTCTGGTTCATTAGGCCTGGGTTGGGACTGGAGATTCTGTCCTTATAACAAGCTCCCAGATGTTACACATGATGCTAGTCTAAGGAATATGCTTTGGGTAGAAAGGCCCTAGAACATCTAGAAATATGTTACCTGTACAGATAGATAGAATCCAGTAATCTAATATTTAATGATCAATCAGCATACTTATGGCATGTTTACCTTGTCCAGTGTTGTCCTAGGCTCTGTGGAGGAACAGAGTAAAGTACTAATTAAAACATGGTTCACTGGGGAGACAAAAAGCCATAAATAATTAATAATATGTGTCCAAGTTGTGATTAGGTAATATTTGTTTTTTGTTTAGATTAATGGCTTCATTTTTTTTGAAGATTGATAGGCTCATTATACAGCATTAAACTCATTGAAAAAAACAAATCAAGAAACAAAAAAAATCATCTAAATTCCACAATGCCTATTCCAAAATAACCATCTTTATCTATAAGGAAATATTATTTCAAATATTTTCTCTTATATACCTAAACATCATTACCTAGAAGGATAGATGGCTTGGGGTTGATTGGAGGTAGCCATAAATTAATTGGATAAAAATCAATTCATTCTCTATATGTTGTCATATTTGAAAAGCAGTGTAATGTAGAGACTAAGAGCACAGATTCTGAACCCAGTCTATCTTTGAATATTGGTTCTGCTGCTTCCTTGCTGTATAGCGATGGACAAATTACCCAAAGTCTTTAAGGCTCAGTTTTTTTGGTCTACAAAATGTATATAATAGAGCAGGTTATGAGGACTTACACAGGTTGTCATAAGGAGTAAATTACTTGTTGACTATATATGTATATATGTAAAATATTTTATATATATTTAAAAATATATATATATGTATGGGTTGGTTGGTTGTTTAGAGACAGAGTCTTGCTATATCACACAGGCTGGAGTGCAGTGGTGCAATCAGAGCTCATTGCAGACTTGAACTGGGCTCAAGTGATCCTCCTACCTCAGCCTCCCAAGGAGCTATGACTACAGGGACTTCAGGCACATGCCACCATGCTTGGCTGATTTTTAAAGTTTTTTGTAGAGGTGGGGTCTCACTGTGTGGCCCAGGCTGGTGTCAAACTCTGGGCCTCATGTGATCCTCTCACCTTGGCCTTCCAAAGCACTGAGATTACAGGCATGAGCCATTGCACCTAGCCAAATCACTGAATATTGAAAAATATGTGGCTCATAGTGGGTGCTATGTAAGTATTAACTTGAATTTAAGAGTAATAGTCAATTGAAGTGAAACTGAAGAAAATTTTGAACTTCATGCAATATTTTCTCTCAATAAGCTATATTAATTTTCTAAAAGCTCTTCTAATATTAACAAATGAGACTGAAAAAAAAGGTGTTGGAGTCATCAAATTTTTTTCTTTTTCTTTTATTTAATCTATATTTATTTTTTAAAATTGAATAGAGCCAGGGTTTCACCATGTTGCCCAGGCTGCTCTTGAACTCCTGGACTCAAGCAATCTGCCTGCCTCAGCCTCCCAAAGTGTTAGAATTACAGGTGTGAGCCACCAGGCCTGGTCAGAATTTTCTCGTAAATTGTTTCAATTGACAAGATCATGTGACTCTCAGGTATGAATTGACCTTAAAAGAAGAAGTTGAAGTAAAATTAATATAAGTAGAGAGTTTATTGGGGCCAAGCTTGAGGATTGCAGCCTGGGAGCTCAGATTCACGTTGCCCTGAAATACACTTCTATTAGCAGGAGTTAAGAATGGACTTTTATTAATTGTTTTCTTTTTTTAAGTTTTTGAGGTTTTTTTTGGTTGTTGTTTTGTTTTTTAATAGAGATGGGGCCTTGCTGTGTTGCCCAGGCTGGTCTTGAACTCCTAAGCTCAAGCAATCTGCCCACCTTGACCCCCCAAAATGCTGGAATTACAGGTCTTAGGCACGGCACCTGGCCAGGAGTGAATTTTTAAATGCAAAAAAGAGAGATAGGGAGTGGGCTGATACAAAGTTTGTCAGGAACTGTAATTACTTTACAAGAAATAACATTAATTAGTGATTGGCTATACATTGTTAAGCTATAGGGTGTGGGTCATAGTGTCTGGTATGGCATTATTAGGTTAATTTATAGCTACTTGTGGCAATAGCAAGCAGTTTGAAGAGATGAATAGAGGCCGGACATGGTAGCTCACACCTGTAATCTCAACACTTTGAGAGACTGAGGTAGGAGGATTGCTTGAGTCCAGGAGTTCAAGACCATTGTGGGCAACGTAGTGGGATCCTGTTTCTACAAAAAAAATTATTTAAAAGATGTAGCCTGACATGGTGATAAATGTCTGTAGTCCCAGCTACTTTATAGGCTGAGGTGGGAGGATCGCTTGAGCCTCAGAGATGGAGGCTGCAGTGAACCTATGCACTCCAGCATGGGTGACAGAGCAAGATCCTGTCTCAAGAAAAAAAAAAAGATGAATACATAGCTCAGAGGGTGGCAAGTAGGACATGATTGCAGTCTCGTTTTCATTCTTTCTGGGCCTGATAATTAAAAGGGCTTGCATTCCTCAGATAAAAGTTCTTTTCTCATATGAAAGAAAGAAAGAAGCACTTTAAAACTCTGCTTTTTTCATTATGAATTTCACATTAAAAAATCTGTAAAAGTTGTATTCATTTCTATAGCCACGTTAGTTTTTATAGCCAAAGTGTGCCCTGTTGTTTAATCTTAACTTTAAAAGGATTGAATAATCATTGCTGGAAGTTTTATCATAGATGGCATTTTTATCCCTGAATTTTTTATTGTGAGGAATCCCTGGGTGTGTCAGTGGAAACAGAAACACAAACTCAGTGCACTTCTTTTCTCTTATTCAACACAACAGTCAACACAGAAGCCTTTTTTGGCCAAATGTGTAGTTATTTCCTCCACACACCAAGCAAGTAATCAGTTCTGCAGTGGACACCAGCTGAGTGTCCTCCAATTAAATTCTGACACTATCTACCTGGAAAAAGCCTCAGATCCCATAGGTTGAGGGCTCAGTCCCACAAGACTGGCCCTGCTTCAGACAAAAATCGTTAAGTCCAGGCCTCTGAAACTTCTAACTGACCAGCTTCAAGTTAGTGTTCATACAGTCCCCTCTTTGGGTTTGATTAATTTGTTAGAGCAGCTCACAGAACTCAGGGAATCTTACTTACGTTTATTAAAAAGGATATGACAATGGATACAGATGAAGAGATGCAGAGGTCAAGGTATGGGGGAAGAGGTGCAGAGCTTCCGTGCCCTCCTTGGGTACACCACCCTCCAGGAACCTCCACATGTTCAGCTATTAGGATGCTCTAGGAATCCTGTTCTTTTGGGCCTTTAATGGAGACTTCATTACATAGGCATGATTGATTAAACCATTGGCCATTGGTGATGAACTTAACTGCCAGGTCCCTCTGCAGAGGTTGGGGGTTGAAGCTCAAAGTCACAACGTTTTAATCATGCAACCCTCTTCATGACCAGCCTCCATCCAGAAGGTATCTAAGGGCTGCCAGCTATCAGTTAATCATTAGCGTACAAAAAGACATCACTTTGGAGATTCCCTGTAGGTGAGGAAAGGGGTGGAAGGGTGGAATGATGACCAAATATGTATTTCACAATATCACAGCAGGTGAATGAATTTCACTTTCAAAGGAAGAGCTCATAAATACCTTATTCTCTGATTTAACATGCTTCAAATTGGCTGTGTGTTATCCTTGTATTCAAATTTTTTGTGAATATAATTCTTGAGTCAAATATCCTTTTATTCTAAACATTGTAAAAATGTTACTCGCTTGTCTTCTGACATTGTTTGCCTGAAAAGAAGTCTTGACAGATTCCCCATCCCCTTGTGTGTGTGGGTTTTGTTTGTTTGTTTGTTTTTTGAGACAGAGTCTGGCTCTGTCGCCCAAGCTGGAGAACAGTGACGTGATCTCGGCTCACCACAACCTCCGCCTCCCAGGTCCGAGCTATTTTCCCACCTCAGCCTCCCAAGTAACTGGGACTACAGGTGAGTGCCACCACACCTGGCTAATTTCTGTATTTTTAGTAGAGATGGGGTTTCACCACATTGGCCAGGCTGGTCTGGAACTCCTGACTTCAAGTGATCCACCCGCCTCAGCCTCCCAAAGTACTGGGATTACAGACATGAGCCACCGTGCCCAGCTGTGAGTGTGTGTTTGTCTGTCTTTTTTTTGTCAGATACCTGAAGGAGTCATCCTTTATTCTTAAAGTAGGGCTGAATCAGGGCAATTGTTCATCATTCTTTAATAAGGTTTTAGGGACCACAGCATGCTTTTCAAAGGATTATTTGATTCTTCCTTTATTTCATGGAAATTTTACCTTTTTTAAAAAACTTAACTTTTATTTTAAGTTCAGGGGTACATTTGCAGGTTATTATATAAGTAAACTTGGGTTGTGGGGTTTTTTTGTACAGATTATTTCATCACCCCAGTATTAAGCCTAGTATCCATTAGTTATTTTTCCTGATCCTCTACCTCCTTCCATGCCCCACGCTCCAGTAGGCCCCAGTGTTTGTTGTTCCACAGTATGTGTCCATGTGTTCTCATAAGTTAGCTCCCACTTATGAGTGATAACATGTGGTATTTAGTTTTCTGTTCTGGCATTAGTTTGCTAAGGATAATGGCCTCCAGCTCCACCCATGTTCCTGTGAAGGAAATGATCTTGTGCTTTTTTATGGTTCCATACTATTATTTCATGGAAATTTTACTTTCTAAAGAGGTTTTTTTGTAGAGATAGGGTCCTGCTATGTTGCCCAGGCTGGTCTCAAACGCCTGGCTTCAAGCAATCCTCCCTTGGCCTCCCAAGGTGCTGGGATTATAGCTGTGAGCAATCACAACTGGCTCATGAAAATTTTAGGTCTACAAATGTTTTGGTTTTCTACTTTAGAGACTCCAGATATACTTATATGGGACATTTTTGTCCTTACGTGTTATCTGTTCAATAATGATTAATATTTTAATCTGCTTTTGCATTGACTGTGATGATTGTGAATCTTTCCTTTATGTTGGTAATACCAATTGTCATTGTTCTTTTCCATGGTCTTTCTAATTAATGTATGTAATGTTATTTATTTATTTTTGATTCTCAACTTACTTCCTTAAGTTTTATATTTCTCTTTTCACTTTATTGTGTTAGCCCCTTCTCTTTTATTTTATTGAAATGATTTTCTTTTCTTTTTCTTTATAAAATGCCAACCGTGGGTAGGAAAATTTTCTTCTTTCCCTTGTGTCTTATTTCATTCATGCTGCCGCAATAATAGAGTATCTGGGACTAGGTAATTTATAATGAGCAGAAATTTATTGGCTCACAGTTCTGGAGGCTTGAAATCCAAGATCGAGGTGCTGGCATCTTTCAAGGGCCTTCTTGCCAAGTCATCACATGGTGGAAAGCAAAAGGGCAAAAAGAGGCAAGAGGGAGCTAAACTTGCCCTTCTATAATGACATTAATTCAATCCATAAGAGAGGAGCCTAGTGGCCTAATCACCTCTCAAAGGTCTTACTTCTTAATACTATTACATATTACAATGGCAATAATTTTTTTTTTTTTTTTTTTTTTTTTTTTAGAGAAGGAGTCTCACTCTGTCACCCAGGCTGGAGTGCAATGGTGCAATCTCGGCACACTGCAAGCTCCACCTCCCGGGTTCATGCCATTCTCCTGCCTCACCCTGCTAAGTAGCTGGGGCTACAGGCGCCTGCCACCATGCCCGGCTTATTTTTTGTATTTTTAGTAGAGACGGGGTTTCGCTGTATTAGCCAGGATGGTCTCTATCTCTGGACCTCATGATCCGCCCGCTTTGGCTTCCCAAAGTGCTGGGATTACAGGTGTGAAGCGAAGCCACCACGCCCAGCTGGCAGTTAAATTTTAACATGAGTTTTGGAGAGGACAAGCATTCAAATCATAGCACGTTGGTTGATGTTTTCTTGTTTTATTATGAACTAGTTTCTTTTGCATGTTTTGTGTTGTATTTGTGGTGTATTCATAGTTGTCACATCATTTCTTTGCATCTTGCTCATACTTGAAATAGGCAATTTTGTCAAAAACTTTTAGCAGAACAGAATGGTACAAGTGAATTTCCTTAATAAACTTTTTTTTTTTTTTTTTTTTTTTTTGAGAAGGAGTCTTATATCTTGCTGTTGTTGCCCAGGCTGGAGTGCAGTGGTGTGATCTTGGCTCACTGCAACCTCTGCCTCCTGGGTTCAAGCTATTCTCCTGCCTCAGCCTCCAGAGTTGCTGGGATTATAGGCACCTGCCACCAGCCCCGGCTAATTTTTGTACTTTCAGTAGCGATGGGGTTTCGCCATGTTGACCAGGCTGGTCTCAAACTCCTGACCTCAGGTGATGTGCCTGCCTCGGCCTCCCAAAGTGCTGGGATTACAGGTGTTAGCCACCATGCCCAGCCTAATAAACATTTAATTTTCAGGCCTGTTTGCCTTCTTTGAGCTGCCATTTCTTGGCAAGGCATTGCTCTTGCTACCTTTCTATATAACCCTAGGGCAATGGGATGGGAATGGAATTTGGTAAGACCTCTGTGGGACTGTATGCTCCTTTTGCTAGAGGTTCTGTCTTCTGCCTGTGGGATTTTGCTTGGTGCCAAGCATTAAGGGTTCATGCTATCTGGCCTCTCTATACGTATCCTAATTTCATGGGGATATTGCTTTTGGGCTTTTATTTGTTTCAGTATTGTAGTAAAACATAGCCAGCCTTGATTCTTGCTTCCTCTGTACAGATTCTTACGTAATAAGGCTTTTCTTCATGAAAAGTTTTTCTTACTTTTCTCTGGGCTGTCTACTCAATTCATTCTCAGATTACTTCTAAGCTGTGAGGTATCAGTGAAAAATTCTGTTTTATTAGCTCACTATCTTCCCAACACCTGTTTCATAGGTAATCTAGCCAAAATAATCATCTTTGCACCCTGCACCCCCTCCCTATTTTAAAAAATTACTACATGGAGCCAAGAGGGCTGAATAGGAACAGCTCCAGTCTACAGCTCCCAGCATGAGTGATGCAGAAGACGGGTGATTTCTGCATTTCCAACTGAGGTACCAGGTTCATCTCACTGGGGAGTGCCAGACAGTGGGTGCAGGACAGTGGGTGCAGTGCACTGTGCATGAGCCAAAGCAAGGCGAGGCATCGTGTCACCCGGGAAGCGCAAGGGGTCAGGGAATTCCCTTTCCTAGTCAAAGAAAGGGGTGACAGACGGCACCTGGAAAATCGGATCACTCCCACCCTAATACTACGCTTTTCCAATGGGCTTATCAAACGGCACACCAGGAGATTATATCCCACACCTAGATCGGAGGGTCCTATGCCCACGGAGCCTCTCTCATTGCCAGCACAGTAGTCTGAGATCAAACTGCAAGGTGGCAGCGAGGCTTTGGTGGGGGGTGCCCGCCATTGCTCAGGCTTGAGTAGGTAAACAAAGTGGCTGGGAAGCTCGAACTGGGTGGGGCCCACCACAGCTCAAGGAGGCCTTCCTGCCTCTGTAGGCTCCACCTCTGGGGGCAGGGCACAGACAAACAAAAGGCAGCAATAACCTCTGCAGACTTTGAAGAGTCTGTCTGATAGCTTTGAAGAGAGTAGTGGTTCTTCCAGCACGCAGCTTGAGATCTGAGAACGGGCAGACTGCCTCCTCAAGTGGGTCCCTGACCCCCGAGTAGCCTAACTGGGAGGCATCCCCCAGTAGGGGCGGACTGACACCTCACACGGCCGGGAACTCCTCTGAGACAAAACTTCTAGAGGAACGATCAGGCAGCAGCATTTGCGGTTCACCAATATCTGCTGTTCTGCAGCCACCACTGCTGATACCCAGGCAAACAGGGTCTGGAGTGGGCCTCCAGTAAACTCCAACAGACCTGCAGCTCAGGGTCCTGACTGTTAGAAGGAAAACTAACAAACAGAAAGGACATCCACACCAAAAACCCATCTGTATGTCACCATCATCAAAGACCAAAGGTAGATAAAACCACAAAGATGGGGAAAAACCAGAGCAGAAAAACCGGAAACTCTAAAAATCAGAGCGCCTCTCCTCCTCCAAAGGAACGCAGCTCCTCACCAGCAACAGAACAAAGCTGGATGGAGAATGACTTGACGAATTGAGAGAGGAAGGCTTCAGAAGATCAAACTAGTCCGAGCTAAAGGAGGAAGTTTGAACCAATGGCAAAGAAGTTAAAAACTTTGAAAAAAAATTAGACGAATGGATAACTAGAATAATCAATGCAGAGAAGTCCTTAAAGGACCTGATGGAGCTGAAAACAATGGCACGAGAACTACGTGATGAATGCACAAGCCTCAGTAACCGATGCGATCAACTGGAAGAAAGGGTATCAGTGATGGAAGATGAAATGAGTGAAATGAAGTGTGAAGAGAAGTTTAGAGAAAAAAGAAAAGAAATGAGCAAAGCCTCCGAGAAATATGGGACTATGTGAAAAGACCAAATCTACATCTAATTGGTGTACCTGAAAGTGACGGGGAGAATGGAATCAAGTTGGAAAACACTCTGCAGGATATCATCCAGGAGAACTTCCCCAATCTAGCAAGGCAGGTCACTATTCAAATTCAGGAATTACAGAGAACACCACAAAGATACTCCTCAAGAAGAGCAACTCCAAGACACGTAATTGTCAGATTCACCAAAGTTGAAATGAAGGAAAAAATGTTCAGGGCAGCCAGAGAGAAAGGTTGGGTTACCCACAAAGGGAAGCCTATCAGACTAACTGCTGATGTCTCAGCAGAAACTCTACGAGCCAGCAGAGAGTGGGGGCCAATATTCAACATTCTTAAAGAAAAGAATTTTCAACCCAGAATTTCATATCCAGCCAAACTAGGCTTCATAAGTGAAGGAGAAATAAAATACTTCACAGACAAGCAAATGCTGAGAGATTTTGTCACCACCATGCCTGCTCTACAAGAGCTCCTGAAGGAAGCACTAACCATGGAAAGGAACAACCGGTACCAGCCACTGGAAAAACATGCCAAATTGTAAAGACCATCAAGGCTAGGAAGAAACTGCATCAACTAATAAGCAAAATAACCAGCTAACATCATAATGACAGGATGAAATTCACACATAACAATCCTAACCTTAAATGTAAATGGGCTAAATGCTCCAATTAAAAGGCACAGACTGGCAAGTTGGATAAAGAGTCAAGACCCATCAGTATGCTGTATCAGGAAACCCATCTCACATGCAGAGACACACATAGGCTCAAAATAAAGGGATGGAGGAAGATCTACCAAGCAAATGGAAAACAAAAAAAGGCAGGGGTTGCAATCCTAGTCTTTGATAAAACAGACTTTAAACCAACAAAGATCAAAAGAGACAAAGAAGGCCATTGCATAATGGTAAAGGGATCAGTTCAACAAGAAGAACTAACTATCCTAAATATATATGTACCCAATACAGGAGCACCCAGATTCATAAAGCAAGTCCTTAGTGACCTACAAAATGACTTAGACCCCCACACAGTAATCATGGGAGACTTTAACACCCCACTGTCAACATTAGACAGATCAACGAGACAGAAAGTTAACAAGGATATCCAGGAATTGAACTCAGCTCTGCACCAAGCAGACCTAATAGACATCTACAGAACTCTCCACCCCAAATCAACAGAATATACATTCTTCTCAGCACCACACCACACCTATTCCAAAATAGACCACATAGTTGGAAGTAAAGCACTCCTCAGCAAATGTAAAAGAACAGAAATTATAACAAACTATCTCTCAGACCACAGTGCAATCAAACTAGAACTCAGGATTAAGAAACTCACTCAAAACTGCTCAGCTACGTGGAAACTGAACAACCTGCTCCTGAATGACTACTAGGTACATAACAAAATGAAGGCAGAAATAAAGATGTTCTTTGAAACCAACGAGAACAAAGAAACAACATACCAGAATCTCTGGGACACATTCAAAGCAGTGTGTAGAGGGAAATTTATAGCACTAAATGCCCACAAGAGAAAGCAGGAAAGATCTAAAATTGACACCCTAACATCACAATTAAAAGAACTAGAGAAGCAAGAGCAAACACATTCAAAAGCTAGCATAAGGCAAGAAATAACTAAGATCAGAGCAGAACTGAAGGAAATAGAGACACAAAAAACCATTCAAAAAATCAATGAATCCAGAAGCTGGTTTTTTGAAAAGATCAACAAAATTGATAGACCATTAGCAAGACTAATAAAGAAGAAAAGAGAGAAGAATCAAATAGACACAATAAAAAATGGCAAAGGGGATATCACCACTGATCCCACAGAAATACAAACTACCATCAGAAAATACTATAAACACCTCTACACAAATAAACTAGAAAATCTAGAAGAAATGGATAAATTCCTGGACACATACACCCTCCCAAGACTAAACCAGGTAGAATTTGAATCTCTGAATAGACCAATAACAGGCTCTGAAATTGAGGCAATAATTAATAGCTTACCAACCAAAAAAAGTCCAGGACCAGATGGATTCACAGCCGAATTCTACCAGAGGTACAAGGAGGAACTGGTACCATTCCTTCTGAAACTATTCCAATCAATAGAAAAAGAGGGAATCCTCCCTAACTCGTTTTATGAGGCCAGCATCATTCTGATACCAAAGCCTGGCAGAGACACAACAAAAAAAGAGAATTTTAGACCAATATCCTTGATGAACATTGATGCAAAAATCCTCAATAAAATACTGGCAAACTGAATCCAGCAGCACATCAAAGAACTTATCCACCATGATCAAGTGGGCTTCATCCCTGGGATGCAAGGCTGGTTCAACATACGCAAATCAATAAACATAATCCAGCATATAAACAGAACCAAAGATAAAAACCACATGATTATCTCAATAGATGCAGAAAAGGCCTTTGACAAAATTCAACAACCTTCATGCTAAAAACTCTCAATAAATTAGGTATTGATGGGATGTATCTCAAAATAATAAGAGCTATGTATGACAAACCCACAGCCAGTATCATACTGAATGAACAAAAACTGGAAGCATTCCCTTTGAAAACTGGCACAAGACAGGGATGCGCTCTCTCACCACTCCTATTCAACATAGTGTTGGAAGTTCTGGCCAGGGCAATCAGGCAGGAGAAGGAAATAAAGGGCATTGAATTAGGAAAAGAGGAAGTCAAATTGTCCCTGTTTGCAGATGACATGATTGTGTATCTAGAAAACCCCATCGTCTCAGCCCAAAATCTCCTTAAGCTGATAAGCAACTTCAGCAAAGTCTCAGGATACAAAATCAGTGTTCAAAAATCACAAGCATTCTTATACACCAATAACAGACAAACAGAGAGCCAAATCATGAGTGAACTCCCATTCACAATTGCTTCAAAGAGAATAAAATACCTAGGAATCCAACTTACAAGGGATGTGAAGGACTTCTTCAAGGAGAACTACAAACCACTGCTCAAGGAAATAAAAGAGGATACAAACAAATGGAAGAACATTCCATGCTCATGGGTAGGAAGAATCAATATCATGAAAATGGCCATACTGCCCAAGGTAATTTATAGATTTAATGCCATCCCCATCAAGCTACCAATGACTTTCTTCACAGAACTGGAAAAAACTAAAGTTCATGTGGAAGCAAAAAAGAGCCCGCATCGCCAAGTCAATCCTAAGCCAAAAGAACAAAGCTGGAGGCATCATGCTACCTGACTTCAAACTATACTACAAGGCTACAGTAACCAAAACAGCATGGTGCTGGTACCAAAACAGAGATATAGACCAATGGAACAAAATAGAGCCCTCAGAAATAATGCCGCATATCTACAACTATCTGATCTTTGACAAACCTGAGAAAAACAAGCAATGGGGAAAGGATTCCCTATTTAATAAATGGTGCTGGGAAAACTGGTTAGCCATATGTGGAAAGCTGAAACTGGATCCCTTCCTTACACCTTATACAAAAATTAATTCAAGATGGATTAAAGACTTACATGTTAGACCTAAAACCATAAAAACCCTACAAGAAAACCTAGGCAATACCATTCAGGACATTGGCCTGGGCAAGGACTTCATGTTTAAAACACCAAAAGCAATGGCAACAAAAGCCAAAATTGACAAATGGGATCTAATTAAATGAAAGAGCTTCTGCATGGCAAAAGAAACCACCATCAGAGTGAACAGGCAACCTACAGAATGGGAGACAATTTTTGCAACCTACTCATCTGACAAAGGGCTAATATCCAGAATCTACAATGAACTCAAACAAATTTACAAGAAAAAAACAACCCCATCAAAAAGTGGGCGAAGGATCCGAACAGACACTTCTCAAAAGAAGACATTTATGCAGCCAAAAAACACATGAAAAAATGCTCATCATCACTGGCCATCAGATAAATGCAAATCAAAACCACAATGAGATACCATCTCACACCAGTTAGAATGGCAATCATTAAAAAGTCAGGAAACAACAGGTGCTGGAGAGGATGTTGAGAAATAGGAACACTTTTACACTGTTGGTGGGACTGTAAACTAGTTCAACCATTGTGGAAGACAGTGTGGCGATTCCTCAGGGATCTAGAACTAGAAATACCATTTGACCCAGCCATCCCATTACTGGGTATATACCCAAAGGACTATAAATCATGCTGCTATAAAGACACATGCACACGTATGTTTATTGTGGCACTATTCACAATAGCAAAGACTTGGAACCAACCCAAATGTCCAACAATGATAGACTGGTTAAGAAAATGTGGCACATATACAGCATGGAATACTCTGCAGCCATAAAAAATGATGAGTTCATGTCCTTTGTAGGGACATGGATGAAGCTGGAAACCATCATTCTCAGCAAACTATTGCAAGGACAAAAAACCAAACACCTCATGTTCTCACTCATAGGTGAGAATTGAACAATGAGAACACAGGAAGGGGAACATCACACACAGGGGACTGTTGTAGGGTAGGGAGAGGGGGGCGGGATAGCATTAGGAGATATACCTAATGCTAAATGACGAGTTAATGGGTGCAGCACACCAACATGGCACATGTATACATATGTAACAAACCTGCACGTTGTGCACATGTACCCTAAAACTTAAAGTATAATAATAAAAAAAAATTAAAAAAATAAAAATTACTCTACAACATCCTACTTTCTTTACCATTTGGTTAAGTTGCATATTCTGTTCATGAGTCTATATGATGGGATAAGTAGATTTTGGTGTTCGGATTTCACTGTGCCATCTTTACTTGGAATTCCAATTTTTTAGATATTTTTTAAAAAGTGTAGAATAGTTTTATATTTCTAGAACAGTTGTGAAGATCATACAGATAGTTGCTGCATAATCCTCACGACTTTCTCTTATTGTTAACATCTTAAATTACCATGATACTTTTGTCACGGGGAGAATTCAGTATTGTTACATAACTATTAACTAAACTGTATACTTTCTTTGGATTTCACTAATTTTTCTCAAATATCCTTTTATGCTCTAGGATCCTATGCAGGATTGGATTTAGTTTGTATGTCTCCCTAGCCTGTCCTGGGCTGTGACATTTTCTCTAACTTTTCTTGTGTTTTAAGACCTTGATAGTTTTGAGGCATATTGATCAAGGTATTTTACACAGAATGTTTCTCAATTTGGGTTTGCCTCATGGTTATGTTGGGTTTATGAGATTTTAGGATGAAGACTGTAGAAGTGAGTGCCATTTTCCTTATGTCATTTGAAGGTTATATTTTCCTAATAGGATTTACTATCAGTAATATTAACCTTGATCATCTGGCCAAGATATGGTTTGCTAAGTTTCTCCACTGTAAAGTTACTTACCTCCATTCCTTTGTTCATACTCTACTCTTTGGAAGTAAATCACTAAGTACAGTCCATACTAAAGAATGAAGATGGGAGGTTGTTGAGCCCCACCTCCTGAGGGGAGAATACTTACATACATTATATGTAATACTTTAATACAGGAGATTTGTCTCTTTTCCCATTTATTCATTTATTCAGCCATTTGTGTCAGTATGGATTCATAGATGTTCATTTAATACTTTGGATTATAATCTAATACTATGTTATTTGTGTTGTTGCTTGAAATGTTCTACCTTTGTGGATTGGAAGCTCTTTCAGGTTAGCTCCTATATTTCTTTGATATGTCCCCATTCCTTTCTGTTATTTATTTGTTTTTGTTTTGAGACGGGGTCTTGCTCTATTGTCCTGGCTGGAGTGCAGTGGTATGATTACAGCTCACTGCAGCCTTGACCTCTTGGGCTCAAGCAGTCCTCCCACCTCAGCCTCCCCAGTAACTGGGACTGCAGGTACTCACTTGGCTAATGCCTGGCTAATTTTTAGAAATTTTTTTTAGAAATAGAGTCTCACTATATTGCCTAGGCTAGTCTCAAGCTCCTGGGCTCAAATGATACTCCTGCCTCAGCCTTCCAAAGTTCTGGAATTACAGGCATGAGCCACTACACCTGGTCTCTTCTGATTTTTGAACATTTTCTGTTTGGCATGGCAGAATGCTCCAGGGTCACCTTATGTAAGGATGTATAGAGCTGTGCCCCTCCAGTAGATTCAGTCATTCCTCCAAGGAACTCTAGATCCTTTTATTGGAAAATAGTATTAGAAACCAAGATCTGGGTATGGGGTGTGCCCTTTGTTGGGGGAGTATGACTACTTCTAGACCCTTTCTGCAGACAGAGTAGGAAATACACACACATATATATATATATAGTAGTATCTTATACTATATATATGTGTGTGTATATGTATATGTGTGTGTGTATATATATATACACACTAACTGATGTATACACATATCTATATATATACTATATACACTAACTGATGTATACATACACATATCTCTTATTTATGCATCTATCCGTTTGTATCTATATCAAGCTAAACATGAGTTCACACTGATGTTCTTAATTCTAATCCATTACCACACTGTTTATTCTAGCCTTCCCCTTTTGTTCATCTGTAAATTACTCTACCCAATGGTGACAAAACTGGCCCCCACCAACCACCATCTATTTACTTATTTGTTGAAACCCAGTATACATTGTAACTCTTTCTGAATCATTAACCTGTACCTCCATGAGAAATAACTTTAGCAATGAGAATATATTATGTATAGTTGTTTTAGTGTTTAGGCTTATAGTTTCAAGACACCATTTTCCAAAATTACTTAAATTGGCTCCTTCCTCTGCCCCACCTCTTTAAGTTAGTTTAGGCCATATTTTTTAATGTAATTAGAGTTATTTATCGTAGTCTGCATTCTATCCTAGTGTCCTTTGATCTCCTAGTTGGTTTCTTTGGGTGCATACATTGATTCACTATGTGCTGTAAATATCTGTGGGTTTTGACAAATGGGTAGTATCATGTATCCACATTAGTTCTGCCACTTTAAAATCCCTACTGCTTCTTCTACTCAAATCTTCCTCCCTCCCCAACTCTGTGGCAACTACTGACCTGCTTTCTTCCCTTAATAGTCTTTCCTTTTTTAGAATGTCGTATGAATGGAATCATACAATATGTAGCCTTTTCAAATTGGCTTCTTTCATTTAGCAGAATGCATTCATGTTAATGCATTAATTTATGTAATGTTCTTTTTTTCTTGTTGAATAGTATTCCATTGTATATCACAGTTTTTGATTCATTCCTTTGTATAAAGGATATCTTGGTTACTTCTATGTTTGGTGATTTTGAGTAAAGTTGTTCTAAGTATTCACATACAGGTTTTTGTCTGGACATATATTTTCAAATCAGTTGAGTAAACCCAGTAGCAATACTGCTGAATCATAAGTTAAATCTATGTTAATTTTATAAGAAACTGCCAAATTCTTTTCCAGAGTGGCTATACTAGCAATGAATCAGAGTTCCTGTTGCTGTATATCCAAGGAATATACAAGCATTTGGAACTGTTGTTTTTTTTTTTTTTTTTTTTCTTGTTTTGGATGTTAGACATTCTAACAGGTGTGTAGTAGTATCTTAGTATTTTTATTTGCATTTCCCTGATGACAAATCATATTGAGCATCTTTTTATATGTTTATTTTTCATCTGCATATCTTCTTTGGTAAAGTGTTCAGGTATTTGATGGTTTTTCAAATTGGATTATTTTTTCCTTGTTGTTTAAAAGAGTTGTTTATATTCTGGATATAAGTCGTTTATCAGATATGTGGCTTGCACATATTTTCTTCTAGTTGATGTCTTGTTTTTTTGAGTCTCTTAGTGTGTTTGGCAGAACACAAGTTTTAAATTTTGATAACACTTAAATTTTGATAACATTAAAAAATCTTTTTTTTTTTTTTTGCTTATGGACATTCTTATATTCTACCACCATTTGTTGGAAAGGCTGTCATTTCTACATTAAATTTCCTTTGCACCTATGTCAAAAATAAGTTGACTATATATCTGTGGGTTAATTTCTGAATTTACTATTCTGTTTCATTAACCTATATGTTAATCCCTTTGTCAATATCACATAATCTTGATAGTGAGTCTTGAAATCAGGTGTAGTCTTCCAACTTTGCCCTTTTATTACAGAATTGTTTTGGCTATTCTAGATAACCTTTTTACAAAATTTCAGTAATATAGTCATTAAAACTTTAGAACTCTTCTTTGGAGATTTGCGGGTACTATAATGTTCAATTTATCAGGCACCAAACAGTGGTATATTATATTTACATGCAATTTATGTTCATAAATTTTATTACGTAAATCAGTCACCAATTTTATTCATGAGATTTGCTTCTAAAAAGATTTTTATGCTTTAAAAAAATCAAATTGACCTCCAAAAGACAACAAATCAATTTTTCATAAAATGTCACAACTCTTTTGAAGTAGGTATATTCATGTTTTATAGATGAAAGAAGCTTAGAGGGCTAGACTACTTGGCCAAAGACTCAAAGTCAGTCAATTACACATTGTCAGAATGTCTACCTCAGATTTACACAGGCAACTCAAACTTAGCATATCCAAAATGAAACTTATTAATTCATTCTTAAAACCTGATCCTCCTCCTTAATCCCTTATTCTGATCAGTGTTACAACCATCTGCCTACATATCCAAGCCAAAACTTCTTCCTCAGAACTTCGATTAAACTGATCTTTTATTTGGTTTATTCTATCTCTTTAACTAAAATATTTAAATTGAGCCTATCATTCTTCCCTATTTTTTACCCTTCATTGCTTATCTACTTTAATTTATACATTTATTTGTTACAGTTTTTATTAAAGTATATTGAAATTAGTGTTCCTTGAGACAGAATCTTTTTCATTTTGTCTTTTAGAGTATTAGTATTAAGGGAAGAATGGGAATGGGAGAAAAGGAATGCATTCAATTCTCAGGCTTTTCTTTTTAATTCATTCAGTAAATATTTATTGACTATACTGTGTCAGGTACAGTGCTAGTTGCTGGGGACACAGCATTATGGTCAAATTGACTTAAGTAAATAAGTAAGTAATCATATAAATGCTTAAAACAATTAACAGTTAATCTGAAGAATTTTTGGTTCCTAGAAACAGCTTACAAGAAGGACTCCTTCTGTATCAGAGTCTAGGAGTTCAGGTAGGGGGAAGAGTCAGGGAAGGCCACACATACCAAGCAAGAAAAGCAACAGCAACAAAGAATATTATGTCAGCATAGTATCAGATGGTTCTATGAGGTTCTTTTCTGCTGAATCTATAGGTTCTGAACTGTCAAGAGTGTGTTTTAGAGTACATCTTGATAACAGGACCAATGCATAACTGTTTTTGCTTGACTGAAAGGTATATTTGGGGGCATCGAGTATACGATAAAATTATATAAATTGTTCACATCTTTTAAAAAAATTCCTAATTTTTGCTTCCTATAATCTTCAGATCCTTTGTTGTCTTTTTTCTCTCATCTGCTTTGCTACTTCTGATCTACATTGTATCTCTGTTACAGTGTCTGCTTTGTCTTATTCTGCCTCTCTCTGCTTTTCTTTACCCCTTGGCTTTAATGCTTTTTCTCTTTTTTGGCTTTTATCAAAAACTAGGGAAAAAAATAAAAAAGGATTCAAGTTAAAATTACCTACATATACATACTCTTATATACGTTTGCATTTGTATACTTCAGCTTTTCAGATCATGATACCTTTTTTTCAGTCTCTTTGCTATTGTTGGTACTTTTTTAACATGTTAAGTGTGGTGGTGTGTAGAAAATGAGAGAGAATAAAAGCAAACAAATCAGAATTTTCTGATTAGAATAAAAGCCAACAAATAAGAATTTTCAGAAAAATGTGAAATTTGTTTATCATTGGAGGTCAACGTTTGGCATCTTAGGATTGAACAAGGTGAACGACTGTAGTTTCAGAAAAGAAAAGGGTGATATTGACTGATTTAGGGATAAATCAAGAAATGCGACATTTCACGCATGGATCTTTTCACTTAGAGTGCAAGGATGTCAGTCAGAATTTGCATGGTATAGGAAATCAATTGAAACTTGAGCCCATAGACATTTACTTCAGCAAAATTCTTACTAATTATCATGACTATGTCAAGTTAGACTGTTGTAGGCATAATTTAAAGTTTACAAAAGGTTGAAATTCTTTTGTCTAATTGTGAACCCCATATTAATGAGATATAATTTATAGTTCATCAGATATATTTCATATAACACCAACTATTATTTTAAGTCTTTATTTAAATCAGTAAAGTATTATGTGTTGTACATACCACTAGTAAACCTTAGTACCTTCCCCAAAGTCATTTTAAATAGAAAATTAAAGCCATGTATAGCTGTTTCAAATCACCTCTTTTCTGAAAAGGCAAGTTGTCTAAGTTTTGTGTTGTTTTAAGTGACACAGTATGTGATATACTTACTGTAGACCTGAATTTCATTTTCTGAAAATTATTTTTGTTGATTCCTAATCTTTAACTAGATATTGAATGATCTAGCTTAGAAAATTATGGCAAATATTCCAAATTGGCACTTAACAGTGCATTAACATCAAAGATCTAGTCTCATTTTCCAACACTCTGTATCAAGGATTTGCAAAGTAAGAACTTATGTTGAAATTCAGCCTGCTACCTGTTTTGTAAATAAAGTTTTATTGGGATACAACTACACTTGATCACTTATTGTGTATGGCTGCTTTTGTACTATGGAGGCAGAATTTAGTAGCTATGATAAGAGAGCCTATGGTAAAGCCTAAAATAATTACTATTTGGCCATTTGCAGAAAAACTTGGCTGATCCCTACTCTATATAATCTACTTGAGACTAAATTATGACATAATCTATCTTTAATATCTGTGATATCCGTGATATTTCCTGAAACTTTTAAAAAAATACAAGTAGAGAAATACAAGTATCAACTTTTTCTCTTTCCAGACTCATGTTTGTATTGAAAGTTACTTGCATCTATGCAGATTTTCAAATCTTGAAGTAATCATTTTTTTATTTTAACCAGTTATATATTTTTTTCCTGGCCATTTATCACTATAATTATATCAGTTATAAAGAATAATAACAAAACAAGATTGAGATCCAAATGCTAAGTGGCTGACTTAGCTCACTTACGTCCTGTGTGTCAGACCTAGCACAGCAGCCTTACCAAAAACATACTTGAAATTCACTTATCGGCAAAATGACAAGTCAGTATATATTATGTGCTTTTAGCAGCAATCACACAAATTATTTAAAGTCTGAATACTAAATTCATGTGCCAGGGATCTGGAATAGCCCTTGATAAGAACTTTTGATTCTGATTTTTTAAAAATGTTTAAATTATTAGTAGGGAATTTTAATATTAGACTAAATACAATTATCTTAAACCTTTCCTATTGAAAGCTGTTAATTTAAAACGTTTGAACTCTTCATCTTCCTCTCCTTAAAGTAATGCTTTACATTGCAATGCCTGAAGACAGCCTTAAATATTACATAGAAATTCCATACACATTTTTTGTGTGTGTTGATTATTTGGAATATACAGACTAGGTAACCTACTGTTATTTCCTTCCTGGTCATATAAAATTCTTTGAAACTAAAAATAGAGATTTATAACCTTGGTAACTAAATGTCTTTTGTTGTTGCAAAGGTTCCAGAGGAATCTAACAGTCCAAATATTTAATTGTCCTGTATCTGTTCACATTTTAAATCATCAAGGTTAACAAGGTAATTGTGAAGTTTATAAGCATTTTAATTGGATTTTATTGGGTAGCAGCCATAATTAGATCTTACTTTGATTTTAGCTAAAAAGAATGGCAATAAAAGATAACATAAGATAAATATTTCTCACCACATATAACTTCCTTAGAAATCGTATTTAGCCAACCAATTACTGCTGGTTAAATGCCACTCATTTTCTTCAAATATTTTCACTATGATAATAAATAAATGTAAGAATTTTATTATCTTATACTTTTCTGTTAGGTTTTTCAATTGAGATGAAAAGAAGTGTTTATCTTCACAATTCTTGTAGAGCAAACTTTTGTTAGGCAGCATCTTTGAAAATTGTTCATTTATTTTGAAGAAAAAAAGATAAGAGATGAAAGTAGTTACCCTTCTTGAAACGTAAACCTAAGTGGATGTTAGTTGTTTGAGATACACTGAATTATATATAACTTAAAATTACTGTACCTTCCTGTTAACTGATACTATTTATGTCTAGAAATAGCTCTTTAATATATGTGTATATATTTTTTCTGTTAAAATACTAAGTTCTAAAAGTACTACTTTTCCATGAGTGTAGTAATTTTATCCAGTTGTGAAGTTTGGAACCATTTTGTGGCATATTTATTAGGTGTCTTCTATTATCTTTGGCTAGTATCCTATTTTATGGTAAATGTCAAATCACAGGAGCACAGAAACGGGGAAAACTTGAGAAAACAGAAACTTGGATATCTAAACTTTTTAGTATAATTTTAAAATAATTGAGATCCTTTCTAGAATCTATACCTTTTCACTAACATATATCACAAATTTTCTTTTAATTACTTTGAATGGTTGCCTAAATTATATTATAGACATTTTGTAGGTAATTTAAAACTACTTTCTTTACCTTTACTGCATTTCTTTAATTTCTCAACATCAGCAAACATTTCAGTAGCCACTACGACTCTTAAAAGACAAAATGCATTTCTGAGGGGAGCCAGTTTTTATTTTTTGTCTTTATGTCGAATAATTCTACATATATTATGAAGAAGAAAATAACAGTCATCTAAAAATTGTGGTCAGCCTTCCTATGCATTTGTTTCATAATAACAAATAGGTAACAGCAAGAGATTTTTACTTCAAATTTAGTGTAATTATTTGTCATTGCTTTTAAGGGAACATAGTTAAACTTTGTAATAAAAATACTAGCCTTGTTTTACTTATGATGGTGTCCAAAAAAAGAGAGGAAATACAGTTTCTGATAAAAATGGAAAGTCCAGGAATAAATATAATGATGAGAATGAGTGCTTTTATCACTGGGGAACTTTCTTCATCTAAGCACATATGAACAATTGATCCTTGTAGTCATATATAGCAGTAAACATTAATAACTTAACAGTCTGAAGTCAGTGCAGAAGATATGGAGCATTATTGAAAGATGGAGTCGAGCAGGTGGCACTTTAATATGTTCAGTGTCATGGTTGACTCTAAAGACTAGTCGAATGAAATTACTTGAGGTTCTAAAGATTTAAAAAGCGAACTCATTTTGCTGCACTAAGGAAATGCTACTGATCAGGCTTTCTGTGTCCCTTTTTTCTAGGCTAGAAAATATTAACCCTGAAGAAAATGACATGGTAAGCCATTCTCTGAGGAGATTTCTTGATGTCAGTCTTATATCTTAGAGGCTTAAGTTCAATTGAGTGGGTTTCAAGAACTAAGATGTGGGAAAAAGAAGAATTGACACACTAATAATGTACATCTTTGCTGCAATATGAAAATTCAATAACTTCACTCAGTCAATTTACAATTCACATGTGCCTATTAATTAAAACCCTATATTAAATAAAATATATTAAAACTTCATGTCTGACTAACATATAATGGTGTTGGTAGACATTACAGGAATTACTGAACAGAATAAACAATGCAGACACAGGGATAGCTATTCAGAAGAATGGAGCTATAATTGTGGATAGAATCTACAAGACCAAGGAATGTAAAATGAGAATAACTGCAGAAGAAATGAGTGCACTAATAGAAGAACGGGATGCTGCCTTGTCTAAGGTAACTCTGCATATATCTGTAAAAGCATATACTTACCATTTTCCTCTCTATTTTTTTAACCATTAAAAACTGACTTTGGCCCAGATATTCTTAATTCACATTAATTTTTAGCACATAATTAATACCACAGTGATTAGCTATATTAAAATAATTATGTATTTTATTATACTACTGTTCAAAATATGAAACCTCATTTTAAATAAAATTTAATGCAGTCTCATTTCTTAATAAAATTAAACTTGTTTTATTACAGACTAACTTGTTATAGAAATTGTTATATTTTTTCAACTAATCACTTTTATATGGGACTTCTTACTTAAATTACAGTTTTCTGAAGGCTGAGACTATGTCTATATTACTGTTTTATTCCCAGTGCCTAATTCAGTACCTTTTAGTAAACCTTGATTAATGGATCAAAATTATTCATGTATTTTTTTCTGAATGCTACTTACACCTTCCTGCTCTACCTGAAACCTGATTACCTCCCTCAGGCCACTGCTTCCAGTGCAGTCCTTTCAACTAGTGGCTGTGCTCTCTCTCATACCAGTTATACCACTGGGCTTGGAGGCTTGTTTCTTGTTATTTTATTTATTTATTTATTTATTTATTTATTTATTTATTTAGTGTGTGTGGAGATTTGGTATCACCTTGTTTCCCAGGCTGCTCTTGAACTCTTGGCCTCAAGTGATCCTCCTCCCTCGACCTCCCAAAGTGTTGGGGATTACAGGCATGAGCCACCACACCTGGCCTTGTTAGTGTTTTCAGATCAATGTCTTTTTCACTCCCTAAATACCTCCAGCTCTGAAACTCATGCATCAGACTGTACCACCCAGTGCACACTATTGTTGTAGTCGTGTACACACTTCTATGTCACTTCTCTTGTTTTGTTAAAATTTTTGGGCCTATTCCAATGTCTCTTTCTTCAGCCTACTCCTGTCATAATTCTTGGTGATGTAAATTCCTATGTAGATAATCCTTTCAAAAATTGCAGCCTCTTATTTCCTAAATTTCTCTACTTTAGTCATTGTGTGCTGCACACTGTATCTGCTATCTGCTCTGTGGTCATACTCTGTTCCTGGTCATTCTGAGTCTCAATGTCAAGCTTCCCGCTTTCTGACTACCAGCTGCTATCTTTCTAGCTCATTCATGCTAGAACTCTGACTCCAGCATTTTTTTTTTTTTTTTTAGACAGAGTCTTGGTCTGTCACCCAGGCTGGAGTGCAGTAGTGTGATCTTGGCTCACTGCAGTCTGTGCCTCCCAGGTTCAAGTGATTCTTCTGTCTCAGCCTCCTGAGTAGCTGGGACTACAGGTGTGCGCCACCAAGCCCAGCTAATTTTTTGGTATTTCTTGTAGAGATAGGGTTTTGCCATGTTGGCCAGGCTGGTCTTGAACTGCTGACCTCAAGTGATCCACCCACCTCGCCCTCCGAAAATGCTGGAATTACAGATGTGAGCCACCACGCCTGGCCTCAGCTTATTTCTATCAATCTTACTAACTCTTTTCTGTCTCTCAAACCCCTTATGTCCTTACTCCCCCACCCCAACACACACACATCTGGCTTAAATTCCATAGCCCATTATAATTATCGCCAACTTGCACATAATATACCCTCATTTCTCTTTGCCCTCTTCCTTTGTCCTACTCACCCAGCAAAATCAAAATCTATTTAAATGAATCTCTCTGTTTTGTATCTTCACAGCTTTGTAAGGCAGGAGAAAAATCACACAAATTTACTGACTGTACTTACCTTAAATCCATGACCAACTATTAATATATTCAGTTAGGTTCTTAGTGTTGCCTGGCAACTTCTTGCCTTTTGCTTGTCTATTCACTCTCCCCTCTAGAGGACTATTTTATCTCTTCTTTCTCCTTAGTTATCTCACCTCTCCTCCCAGTTAAAAAGATAACTTCTGCATGCCCACAGCCATTTCATCTACTAGCCTACCTGCATTTGCACCCATGTGCTCTGCCTTTTCTACTTTACTTTTTTCTAACTACATGCTTCTATTTAAAGACAATCTCTCTATTTCCATACTAGTTCACATCTTTTCTGGCCTTCACAAGGTGATCGCTTAACCACTTGTTCCTTTTCTCTCCTACTTCATAAAATGTTTGATATTAGTTCATTTCCATTGCTATCCAAAATGCCTTACCACCTCCCATGGAGGCTGAGTGGAAGTTTTGGTAAGTCTTGGCCTAGTTGTGGTTCACCCCTGTATTTTGGATGAGGCCTCCCAAACTGAGAGCTGAGTATTTGCAAGGGCCCGACTCCTGGACGATCCTGTATTCTAGTGTGTGTTTGTTTCCTTAGCACTGGAAGACTGTGGAAAACTCAAATATTTTTTCAGAGGTTTGAGGGCTTAGCTTTTTAACTTAAAGACCTGTAGAAGTTTGGAATTTGGCAAATGATTTGGTTCAGAAACAAGTCTCAAATCTCCATTTTGTCACTTCAGCCCTGAATAGCTGTCAAAAGCTTGGGTGGTTTCTCTGTCTTCCAGCAGGAGCTCTTTGCCTAGTTAAAGCCTGATTTCTCAGTGTTTTCCCCATACCTAGAATATGACACTCTCAGGGGGAAAAAATAACTGCAGATACTCCAGTCCTTCCTCTCCAGTTAACTCCTCTTCAGAATCTTAGACACTCAAGCCATTATTGCAGCAACAGCCCTCTGATACCTTTAGGCAGATGATTTTTGCATTAAATCTGGCTTTTCTTGTTCTTGAATGAAGCATTCGTTCACCACAAATGATTCCATGCTGTCTAGACATGGAAGTAAGTTAACTAAAATAAGCACATAGAGCATAATTAAATTGACTGCCACTCATTCCCTCTTCCTATCTTTTCTCCCTCCACTGACTTTCATGGTATAAAAGGATAAATAAATAAGAAGTTAACATTTGGTAATATTTGCTGACAAGTTGTTATGTATAAATACCACCGCACTATATTTATGGTTATGTTTTATGAGAAAGGAGTTGTTTAGTTATTTTAATTTGCTTATTTGCAAGCCCTCTGGCTCAATAAATACTCATTTTAATTTTTATGTTAGTCATTGTATACTTACACTTTTGAATTATTGTCTTATATTTCTGAATGGAATCTTTTTTTAACTTTGATTTTTTAAAAATAAATTTGTTGGAATAGTTTTAGATTACAGAAAAGTTTCAAAAATAGTACAATATAGACAGCTCCCATATATTACCCAGTTTTGGTTTTCTCTAATTTTGTTATCTTAAATCATTGTGATATGTTTGTTAAAGTTAGGAAACCAACATTGGTACATTAGTATCAATTCAACTCTAGATGTTATTCAGAATTCACCAGTTTTCATTAGTGTCCTTATGTTCCATGATCCAATCCAGGGTAGCATATTGCATTTAATTGTCACGTCCTTCTAGTCTCTGGTCTGTGACAGCCTATTCATCTTTCCTTGTATTTTTTTCCTCCATAACCTCAATAATTTTGAAGAGTACTGCTCACATATTTTATAGAATATCTCTGAATTTGGGTTTGTTTTTCTCATGATTAAAGTGAGATTTTGAGTTTTGGGAAAGAATACCACAGGGATTTTGCCTTAATTTAATTTAATTAACTTTTTACTTACTCTGAGAATGGATTCTCACTCTGTCACCCAAGCTGGAGTGCAGTGGCACTGTCTTGGCTCACTGCAACCTCTGCCTCCTGGGTTCAAGCGATTTTCTTCCCTCAACCTCACAAGTAGCTGGTATTACAAGCGGGTGCCACCACACCTGGCTAATTTTTTGTACTTTTTTAGTAGAGATGGGGTTTCATCATGTTGGCCAAGGTGGTCTAGAACTCCTGACCTCAAATGATCTGCCCACCTTGGCCTCCCAAAGTGCTGGGATTACAGTTGTGAGCCACCTGCCCAGCCTTGATTTTAAAGCTATTATTTAGCATCAGACATTTTCTAATTATGTCTTCTGTATAGTGCTAGGAGAACTTTAGTCACATTCCATATAGATATTAAAAATTTCAGATTCAGTTATAATTTGTTGACTTTGATACACTTGATATCTTACTTTATTTTTCAAATCAAGTCAAAATCATTTATTTACTTTAATTGACCTAGTTAAAAATGTTATCTTTTTCAGATAAATCCTTATACTCTTTATTTATCCCAAATTGTTTTTTCATTTCTCTTCTATCTCAAACTGAGAGCCAAAAGCCTTAAAGTCTTTCATATAATTAATTTAAAAATTATAATTAGCAATTGTTTGATCAAGGAATTATCTTACCAACCAGTCCTCTATTCTTTCTTTATCATTTTTTTGGCCAATTCACACTTTCCTATTTTATTCGAATTGTAGAAATATCTGGAATCAGAAGATAAAGCTGTAAACTTCCATTTCTTCACTATTCTCCTTTTCCAGGATCTTTCAGATTATTATTCTATACAAACAAAAAATTTAGAATTTTAATTGGAAAGATTTTTATAGAATTATAGAATTTTAAATTTTGTAGGACCTTAGGAGCCATCTAGTTAAATTGTTCACCAAATTAAGGAATCTGATCTGTCACTAATTTTCACTTTAGTCAAATACCCATCTTCTCTTAATATCTAGCCATTGGTGTTAGAATTGGTCTCAGAACATTTGACAAATAAATCATATTGCATCAAATATATTCAAATATTTATCAGTAATGTCCTAAGTCATGAGGGCTAGGCTTAGAAGCACAATTGGACTCAGGTCACACATCAATAAGCAACAGAAAATTATTGAACTAGCCAGGATTGGTGATTTATTAGCTTTGAGGGCTGACTTTATTGGGAGATACAGTAATTCAAGTAATTATTCCTAGATATTCTGGCAAAATTAGGCTAGCTCTGGGCTATGTTTTACTTATAAGGGTATACATAAATGGGCAAGGCCTGGCACCTGGAGGCTTTGGGTCTTATTGGTATTTGTAGTTAGAAGGATAATATTGTAGAGCTCTTCATTGATTGGACCCTTGCTGGTACCTAAGTGAGGGGCCCAACCCCTGAGACCTGAATAAGTCAGGTATGAGAATGGGGGTAACTGTATGGACTTTATGGACTTTAACCACATGGACCACTCAAAACAGAAGGCAAAAGTCTTGTCATAGAGACTTAGAGTACAGCAGGTATAAAGGAAGAAAGTGGTAAATTCTTTATGTACATGCGTGTTTGGACTCTATTATAGGCGTAATGGAAAATATGCTATGACTCTTCAATGAATTTCATTGGCATCGACTGATGAGAATGGAGCTTTGATTATATTGCCAGGCTTGATTATAATTAGTTCAGAAACTATATGAAAAGGTGCATACAGGCTAAAAACTTCTAGGAGCAAAGCACAGCAAGGCAAAGCAGAAACTAGCACTGTTTCTACTTTTCAGGTATTTTCACATCCTTCAACCTTTCCTTGGGTTTCCTTCTACTTTTCTGTCTTCTAGGTGTTAGTTTCTTCTTGCCTGTTAAGGCCAAATCAGTGATCTTACATTTCTGTTTTCTGAACACTATATGGAGAATCTGAACTCATCACTATTTTCTAGAAATGAGTCATTCTATATATCTAAATTTATTATCACTCTTTTAATTTCTGTACTCGTTTCTTGGTTTTATTGTTGAAAATATTTCTAAGATATTTATATTGCTCCTTTAGATGAAATATAATGAGCACACCTTTTGTGATAATTTAGTGGCTTATTTTTTTTATCAAATATTGTAATGAAAAGTACAGATCCAGAGATCTTTCATGTTCAACATTGATAGAAAACCCATGGAAGAATCAAGGGGTAATTAAAGAAATTCAGCTAAACATTTCACTGTTCAGATTCCTTTACCAATATAGGCTGCAAGCCTATACCAAGCACCAAGCTGAAGGAGTAAACTAAGTGAGAGGAAGACATGAATCCAATCTAGTGATGTAATGAAGAAAATTCTAGGAAGACTGCTGAAGAATGCATGGAAAGTGCATTGGTCTGTTCTTTTTGACTCTTTCTGCCTTTAAGCCTGTTTTTCCCTCTTACTAGAACATACTTCCTCTCTGCTTGTTGCTCACTTGTCTGCATTATACTTCAAAGCCATTTTAAATATCATCTCTTCTGTAAAGATCACTCACATGAAGCAATATTGATAACTATGTCATTTGTGCCCATATTTTACCTTGTATCCTGTTACAGGCCTTATCACACTGTATTACAGTTAATTGATTTTATGCCTGGCTTTCCTACTATCATGAACTTGCATGAAGATAGAAGCTGTTTATTTATTTGTGTCAATCACAGTCCCTTGGATGTGAAGTTACTTATTATGTTTGTGGAATTATTGAACTTGGCTATTTTAGATATTTCAAGATACATGAAACTAAAAGCATTTAGTGAAATATTATTCATTCATCCACATTTTATTGAGTACCTGTTATGTGCTGTGTGTTGGGAACTCAGCAATAATCCAGATATAAAAGGTTCTTACTCATATGGAACTTATGTTTTCATATGGAAATGTAGATAGTGAACAAACAAATAAATAAAGTACTTTCAGGTAGTGGTGTGATGAAAATAGTTAATGTATAGTGACAGCAGCTGGGGGGTGGGATTATCACTTTAAATAGGGTGATCAAGGCAGGCCTATTTTTCAAGATGAATTGTTGCTCTAAGACTTGAAGACTTGAAGAAGAGAAGTATCCAGCTGTGCAGAGAGCTATGGAAAGAGCATTCCATTAGAAAAGAAGAGATCAACAGTGCCCTGACAGAGTGAACAAGCTTAGGTTTTTAAAGTGTCAAATCAAATGTGCCAACCTTACATTTGATTGAAGTACAGTGAGCAAGGAAGATACTTATAAGTGATAAGGCAGAAGACATAGGCAGCAGACAAGTCTGTATGATCTTGGAGGTAATGGTCAGGAGCAGATATTGCATCTAAATGCAGAAGGGACTGAAAGAAAAAAGCTGTTGAAATAGTCTAAGCAAAAGATGAAAGTGATGGTGGTTCAGAGGAACAAGTGTAGATCAAGAAAAGTGGACAGATTTGGGAAATATTTTGAAAGTACGATAAGTAGGCCTTGAAGACAAATTGGATTTGGACATAAAGGAGCAGAAAGAATTAAGGCTAACTTCTGTATTTGGACTTGAACACTGTGTTGGCTCTATCTGTTGTGATGGGGAAGTTTCTTTGGGGTGGGATCAACATATTTTGGGAGGGGTATGACATTCTCTTTTGGATATGGTATATTTGAGATTATTCTTAAAAATTCAAGGAGAATTTTGAGCAGTTACTTGGTTATTGCAGCCATTGGGATATGGATAAGTAAAACTGTGGGACTAGATGAAACTGGGGAAAGCTCACCAAAGAGAAGAGGGGCTAAGACCAAGTTGTGTGGTGTGTCAACATTTAGCAGTTGGGCAAAAGAGGAGGAGCCAGGAGAGGAGATTGGAAGGGAATGTTGAATGAGGTCGAAGGACATTGAAATGAGTGTGGTGTCAGGGAAGGCAAGAGGGGAAATTGTTTCTGTTTATTTATTTATTTAATTTTTTTTTTTTTTTGAGACCGAATCTTGCTCTGTTGCCCAAGCTGGCATGCAGTGGCGTGATATAAGCTCACCGCAACCTCTCCCTCCTGGGTTCAAGCAATTCTCTTGTCTCAGCCTCTCGAGTAGCTGGGATTACAGGCCTGCACCACCATGCCTGGCTAATTATTTTTTGTATTTTTAGTAGAAACGGGGTTTCATCATGTTGGCCAGGCTAGTCTTGAACTCCTGACCTCAGGTGATCCACCCGCCTTGGGCTCTCAAAGTGCTGGGATTACAGGTGTGAGCCACCATGCCCAGCCAGAAATTGTTTCTAAAAGATGAGCGTAGTCAGTTCCCTTGAGTGGTGTGAATTCAAGCAAAGTGAAGATAGATTTGATCACATGGATGATGTTGAGGGCTTTGACAGGAGTTCCGTCCAGGACAGAGGCAACGTTGGAGTGTTTGAGGAGAAAATGGAAATAGAGGAAGTGCAGACAGTGAATACAACTTTTTTTCCCCCTCCTGTAATGTAGGCAGAAAAATTGGCATTAGATGGAGAGAGGGCTTATGGTATCTTGGGAGGTTTTTTTTTTTTTCCTTTCTTTTTTTAATGGGATGTTCTAGCACATGTGGTTGTTGTATTGATAAAAATGAACCAGGAAAAAGGAAAAGTGATGTTTTCAGGGATAAAAAAGATAATTGCAGCCTGTAATCCCAGCACTTTAGGAGGGCAAGGCGGGTGGATGACCTGAATTCCGGAGTTTGAGGCCAGCCTGGCCAACATGGTGAAACCTTGTCTCTACTAAAAAATACAAAAATTAGCTGGGCGCAGTGGCAGGCACCTATAATCCCAGCTACTTGGGAGGCTGAGGCAGGAGAATCGCTTGAACCCAGGAGGCGGAGGTTGCAGTGAGCCGAGATTGTGTCATTGCACTCCAGCCTGGGAGACAGAGCAAGACTCCATCTAAACAAACAAACAAACAAACAAACAAAGATAATTGCAGTACCAAGTCCTGGAGTAGATGAGTAAATTGATAGGAAATAGGTTCTAGAACATAAGTATAAGAATTGGCTTTTGTTAGGAACAGGGAAACTACTTTCATTTTAACAGATGTATGCAAAGCATTTGGATAGATACAGATGCTGGCAAGTTGATAAATTTAGTAAAGGGAAGTTGGGGGTGCAGTGTCATTATTAAAATGTTAGATTAATTTAGATTTTCAGTGGATTAGTGGATGGTGCTGAAGATTTAAAATGTGGAGACAGTTTGAAATCATTGTCTTTGTTTCTATATAAATGAACATAACTAGAGAAATGTAGGATTGCCAGGCAGAGCTGAATGCACATTTAAGAATTAGGGTAGTTAAATTTTTAAAAACGTGTCAGGGAAGTTGTGTGATTTCCTTTAGCAGTATTCCAATCTCGAGTGTGGTGTGAGTAGTGTGGTGTAGTAGATATTTGATTTTAACTAAGACTGAGATTTTAATGGGTGAGGGACCAGAGAGTTATTACAGCAATGAATTCCAGACTCTCCCTCACTGTGGACTCTCCCTTATGTAAAGAGGAAGAGGAGTGATGAGGCACATAGAAAGAAACTGAGGAGAGTGTGGTATCACAGAAGGCAAGGTCCCGGATAGTAAAAAACTGGTAAGTCCATGTATTAGAATTCTTGGTTTGTCAAGTAATTGTGCTATAGTGATTTGCAGTCAAGAGAAAAAGGCACTAGAAATAAAGATTTCGAATATAGCAATTATTAAGGTTAGTGATTTCCAGATATTTTTCTGTGTAATTTTTATGTGGTTGTATAGGAAAAAATCCCTAAATGATACATATTTTATCACACAGTCAGTAAGCCAGATTCAGAAGTGGTTAAAAAGAGGAAGCATATCTAAGGAAAAGTATGAATAATTTAAAACTTGCAAACAATTTCCTCCTTGTTGTAACAAGTATAGAAATTAAGGTCTGAGAAGATAATATAATGACACATATTTCAAGATTCAGAAATGGGTGCTAGAACTTTCCTAGCCTGGTTATGAATTCCTCATTTGGCGTCTGCATGACCAGCAGTCACTGTGATAAAGCAGATTGAGATTAGGGAGTGCAGCATAAGCTAACAAACCCACTTGATGAGCATACCTAGAATCCTGGTCAATGATGTAACCTTCAAGGTTATCTTTTCACTTTAGCAGAGGAAATAATCAAATATCCTAGTGTCTTAACCTCTCCTTTTTTAGTGTTGCCTTTACTTTGTGCTTCTTATAATTAGCATAGTGTCTAGCATGTAATAGATACAAAATAATGATGTTTAAAATATTAGAAATTTGACAAAAAGGTTATACTCGAAAGGAAAATAAAGCATAACATTTAGAGTTATGTTTTTCAGGAAAAGTAGGGAACATATTTGATATTCTTAATTACAGTGGCTGTAAGATTTTCATTAATTTTTTCCCTTGTCAGTTTGTTAATTTGCTTTCCTATCATACAATTATTTGCTTATGCATGTTTTTCAGTCAGTCTTGCTAAAATATATTGTTGATAGTTCATCTGTTGTAATTACTTTTTTCTTACTGTGAAATTTTTACAACTTCTTGAAAGTATATATAACTTTAGAAAGTACAGATAAGCAAAAAGAAGGAAAAAATTGCCCCCAAGCTCACTTCCTAGAAAGTTATATGTAGATTGTCTTTTTTCAATACATATTGTATTGTATATACTACTTTGTAGCCTGATTTTTCACATTGATTTGACATTTTGTTAGACATTCTCATA
This sequence comes from Homo sapiens, assembly GCF_000001405.40. Classification (NCBI taxonomy): domain Eukaryota; kingdom Metazoa; phylum Chordata; class Mammalia; order Primates; family Hominidae; genus Homo; species Homo sapiens. The sequence continues at coordinate 37,318,780 of NC_000014.9, forward strand.
ATTTTACTTCATTTTATTTATTTATTTATTTATTTATTTATTTATTTAGTTAGTTAGTTAGTTAGTTAAGACAGAGTCTCATTCTGTTACCCAGGCTGGAATACAGTGGTGTGATCATGGCCGTGGTTCAGCTCACTGCAGCCTTGACGTCCCAGGCTCAGGTGATCCTCCAACCTCAGCCTCCAGGGAGCTGGGACAACAGGCACACACTACCATGCTAGTCTGATTTTTTTGTATTTTTTGTAGAGACGGGGTTTCACCATGTTGCCCAGGCTGGTCTTGAACTCCTGGGCTCAAGCGATCTACCTGCTTCTGCCTTCCAAAGTGCTGAGATTACAGGCATGAGTCACTGCACCTGGTCTCATGCTTTGATAATGTGGACATGTTAAGATTTGTTTAACTCACCTGCCATTGAGAGTTTTGAGAATGGGAACATTTTTGTAACTAAATTTTTATGTACATCCATGTTTCTTTCTTCAAGGAAAATTCCCAGGAATGAAAAGGACAGACCAAAGAATACAAACATTTAAAAATAAATATATATTTCTAAATAGCCTTCTTAGAAAAGTTGTACCTAGAAATGTTATTTGAAATTTCATTTGGGGACTTTAAGCAGATAAAATGCTAAGAAATGTAGACTTAATTCTCTAGGCAATGTGAAACTTGCAGTTTTTGAGTTTTCTGATAATGCAGAAAGTGCTACTCTTGAGGAAGATTTCTGGGCAAGACTTTATCAAGTGCCTTGAGTAATATGAACATAAGTCTGAGGAGACCAATGATTATGGGAACCTATTATAATTGAGGCAAGAGGTGATGAGGTTCTAAACAAGAAAAACAAGGAGAGGAATAGATTTGAAAGCTATGGAAGCTTCTATTTTTGTAAATGAGGGTATAACTTGAAGGGAAGTAATCTCAAGTGAAGGATTTGATGAATTTTTATATATGTGTGTTCCCTTGAAAGCAGCATCCTGATCAAGATATGGAACACTGCTAGTACTCCAGGAGGCTCTTTCTTGTCTCTTCCCAGTCGGAATTTCTCACCAAAGATAATCACTCCTCTTATTTCTGTCTCCATGGGTCATTTTGCATGTTTTAAAACTTCATATAAAAGGAGTCATATGTTATATACTCCTTGTGTCTAATTTCTGTCACCCAGTGTTAACTACTGTATGTTGATCTGTATTGTTAATAATTATTAATAATGTGTCTTTTTCATTGTGGTGTGATGTTCCCTTGTGTGAATATGCCATGATTTATTTGCATATTAAACATGTTAAACAGATGACAGAAATTTAGATTGTTTTCATTTTTAACCTATTATGCATGAAGTATTATAGAGATTCTTGAACATATCTTTTGGCGGGCCTTAGCATTTATTTATTTTGATACATATACAGGCACATACAAAAGAAAAGAATAGTTGAGTCATAGGTTTAGCTTTATTAGGTAATGCCAAATGTTTTTCCAAAGTTGTGCCAGTTTACAGCAGCAATGTAAGTGAGTTGTTCCAGCTGTGAGAGTTAATACTTGGTATCATTACTGATTTTAATATCAATCATTCTGATGGGTGTATAGTCATATTTCATTGTTGATTTATTTGTATTTTGTGTTTCCCTAATGACTAATGATGTTGGTAGCTTTTTATATGTTTTTTGACCATTTTGATATCTTCTTTTGTGAAATATCTCTTCGAGGCTATTGTCCATTATTAAATTTTGTTGTTTTTCTTATTGATTTATGTAATTTATATATATTTATACAGTCTGTGGCTTGCATTTTTATTCTCTTAATGCTGTCTTTTGATGGCAATAATTCTTAATTTTAATGTAGTCTAATTTATCATTTTTTTCTCCTTATGGTTAATGCATTTTGTATCCTGTTTCAGAAACCCTTGCCATTCCCATAGCACTGAACATGTTCTACTGTGCTTTCTTCTAGAAGCTTGATTATTTTAGCTTTCACATTTAGGTCCTGATCAGTTTCAAAATACTTTTTATATTGTCAAAGTCATTTATTTTCTTCATATAGATGCCTAGTCAACTTGTCTCAGCATCATGCAATTAATGAATTGTGTCTCCCCATCCTCCCAACAACGAATTGCAGTAGAGCCCATGTAATGACTTAGGTTATTGTGTGGATCTGTTTCTGGACTCTGTTCTGTTCCATTGTTGTAGGTTTTTATCCCTGCAATAATACTCCATGGTCTTAATTTCTGTAGCATTATAGTAAGTCTTAATTTGTGATAGTGTAAGGATCCAGCTGTCAAATGTTCTTCAGTATTTCTGCAGCTATTCTCAGTTCTTCATTCAGCTTGTTATTCTTCAAGCTGGTAGTATTTAATGGGGATTGCATGGCCTCTAAAGAATAGTTAAAGCAAGATTGGCATCTTAGCAATATTGAGTCTTCCAAATGATTGATCTTTTCATGAAAATGATTACTTTTTTCTTTATATACTGCTTTGCATCCCATAAATTTTTGATATGCCATTTCTCATTATTATATATGTGTCTCATTATTATATATGTTGAAATATTTTTTAGTTTCTAATTTTGTTTTCTTCTTTGACCCATGAATTATTTAAAAATATGTTGCTTAATATTAAAACATTAGGAAATTCTGAAGCTATCTTTCTGTCACTGAGTTGGAATTTAATTCCCTGGTGGTGAGAAAATATAAGCTATACTATTTCAATCCTTAGAAATTTTTTGATACTTGCCCTGTGACCCTAAATAGGCCCTGTTTCTTAGACAATTCATGAAGTTTGTATATTCTGTAGTTGTTGAGTGTAGTATTGTCTCCGTATGTTATTTAGACCAAATAGGTTAATCGTGTTGTCCAGTTGTTGTGCATAGATGTATTGTTCGTATGTTGTGTCAGTTATCAAGAGAGATGTTTAAAGTATTCAATGATTATGATTAATTTTTCTCCTTTTAATTCTGTGAATTTTCATTTTATTTATTTTGAAGCCATTTTATTATGTACTAAGGTCTTTACGATTACTGTATCTTCCTATAGAATAGACTTTTATCATTATGAAATGCCCACTTTTATTTCTGGTAATACTTTTTGCCTTAATGTCTACTTATATATCTGAATGTTATATCCTTTTCCATCCTTTTCCAAGTTCAGACTTGACCCCAACATCTTATTATGAGAAATTTTAAACATATGGAAAATTTGTATGAATTTTACAGTGAACGTTTATATATATACCACTTGGAATCTATTATTATATTTTGCTAAACTTGATTTATCACATTATCTAGGTATTTATTAGGCATCCCTCTGTCCATCAATTCGTCTCACTTATGATGCATTCATGTAAATGCAGGCATCAATATATTGGCTTCTAAACCCTTCAGCATAGTATATCATTAGATGGAATTCTGTATTATTGCAGTTATTTTGTTTTTATTTAAAAGTTATGCACATTGAAATATAGAAAACTAAGTGCACATTCTCTACGTCTGACAAGTGCATACAACTGTATAGTTACCACCACGATCAAGATGCAGAACATTACTACAGTGTTACCCCAGAGTTTCCTCATGCCCTATCCAATCAATTCATGTTCCCACCTCTCAACGGCAATCACTGATCTGATATTTTTATATCACTCTTTAGTTTTATCTTTTTGAGAAAGTCATGTTTGACATCACAATATATCTAAGATGACCACATTTATTTGTTTTACTCTGTTCTTATATAGATAAGAAATGTATCTTTTTTTAAAACTTGTACTTGGCTCAGGAGGATTTTTTTTAATATTTTTATTTTGTGAAGTAGACCTAGATTTTCTTTCTTTAAAAATATTTACTCATTTATTCATTTATTTTTTCCACATCCTCTCCAGCATCTGTTGTTTTCTGACTTTTTAATGATTGCCATTCTAACTGGCATGAGGTGGTATCTGACTGTGGTTTTGATTTGCATTTCTCTAATGACCAGTGATGATGAGCTTTTTTTCATGTATTTCTTGACCGCATAAATGTCTTCTTTTGAAAAGTATCTGTTCATATCCTTTGCCCACTTTTTGATGGGGTTGTTTGTTTTTTCTTGTAAATGTGTTTAAGTTCCTTGTAGATTCTGAATATTAGACCTTTGTCAGATAGATAGATTGCAAATTTTTCTCTCATTCTGTAGGTTGCCTGTTTATTGTGATGATAGTTTCTTTTGCTGTGCAGAAGCTCTTTAGTTTAATTAGATCCCATTTATCAATTTTGGCTCTTGTTGCCGTTGCTTTTGGTGTTTTAGTCATGAAGTCTTTGCCCATACCTATGTTCTGAATGGTATTGCCTAGGTTTTCTTCTTGGATTTTTATGGTTTTAGGTCTTATGTTTAAATCTTTAATCCATCTTGAGTTAATTTTTATATAAGGTGTAAAGAAGGCATCCAGTTTCAGTTTTCTGCATATGGGTAGCCAGTTTTCCCAACACCATTTATTATATAGGGAATCCTTTCCCCCTTGCTTGTTTTTGTCAGGTTTGTCAAAGATCAGATGGTTGTAGATGTATGGTGTTATTTCTGAGGCCTCTGTTATGTTCCATTGGTCTATATATATGTTTTGGTACCAGTACCATGCTGTTTTGGTTACTGTAACCTTGTAGTATAGTTTGAAGTCAGTTAGCGTGATGCCTCCAGCTTTGTTCTTTTTGCTTAGGATTGTCTTGGCTATACGGGCTTTTTTTTGGTTCCATATGAAATTTTAAGTAGTTAAGTGTATTAGAGATTTTTATGAGTGCTTTTGTTATTTTGGTTTTAACAATCATTGAAAATTCAGAGAGTTTTTCACTGTTAATCTTTACTTTTTATTTGCTCACAATTTTGATTTCAGATAAAATTTACATGCACAAATGAAATACATAAATATTAAACTGGCAATTTGATGACTTTTGACAAATTCATACACCCATGTAACCACATCCTTTTAAAGGTATACACATTTCCATAGCCTTAGAAAGTTCCCTCATTTATATTTCCTTCTATCAATCATCTCTGCCTCACCCAAACAACTTTTCTGATTTTTTTAAATTACAGATTTGTTTTGCTTCTTCTAGAATTTTATGTAAGTGGTATTGTGTAATGTCAGCAAGATATTTGTGATATTTTCCTATCAGTAATCTTGTTTCTTTTACTGATAAGTAATACTTCATTGTTTAATATTACATTTGTTGTTCATTCTCCTGTTGGTGGACATTTGGATTTGTCCAGTTTTTATCTATTATGATTAAGACTGCCATGAGAATTCTTGTATAGGTCTTTTTGTGGACATACATTTTTATTTTCTTGGTTAGACACCTAAGAGTGGAATTGCTGGATTATAAGATAGGGATGTATTTATTTTTAAAAGACATCAGCACAGTTTATGTGGAAGTGACTGTATTATTTTACATTCTCAGCAGCAATTTACTGAAGTTCTGGTTGTTCTGCATACTAATCAACACTTGCTATTGTCACTGTCTTTAATTGTAGCTATTTTAGTAGGCATGTATTGGTATATCATTGTGATTTTAATTTGCACCTCCCAGTGACTAATGCTGTTGTGAACTTTTTCAGATACTTACTGGCCATTCATATATTTTCTTTATTGAAACATCTGTTTATGTATTTTGCCCAATTTTATTTTGGATGATTTGACTTTTTATTACTGATTTGTGGTTCTGGATGTGGTTCTGATTGATTCTGGATGAAGTCCGTTGTCAGATACGTGTATTAAAATATTTTCTCCCAGTTTTTGCTTGCGTATTTATTTTCTTAATACCATCTTTTGATGGGAAGAAGTTTTAAATTTTGATGACATCTAATTTATCAGTATTTTAGTTGTCTTGTTTAAGGAATCTTTCCGCATTTCAAGTTTGCAAAGCTGACAGCTTGTTTTCCTCTACAGGCTTTAATGTTTTAGTTTTCACTTTTAGTCTGTGATTTATTTTGAGTTACTTATCATGTATGGTAAGATAAAGATTGAAGTTCATTTTTTTAAACAGGTGAATATCCAGTTGTTTCAGCATTATTTGTTGAGAGATGATTTTCCCCCATTAAGTGGCTTTCATGCCATTGAAACAAATTAATCGACCATGTAAGTGTGTGTCTGTTTATGGATGTGCTATTCTCTTCTAATGATCTATTTATCTATCTTTATGCTAATGTCACACTGCATTAATTACTGTAAATTTCTAAGACAACCATTGAAAGTCCTCCAACTTGTTCTTTTGTAAGGTTGTTTTGGTTATTCTAGGTTTTTTGCATTTTCCTGTAATCGTTAAGAGTCAGATTTTTAATTTCTACAAAACACCTGATAGGCTTATGATTGGCATTGTGTTGAATCTATAGATCATTGGAACAGAGGGAGACTGACACCTTAATAATTTTTAGTTTTTCAATCCATGATATATATCTCCATTTATTTCACTTATCACAATCTGCTCCAAATTAATAATGCGCTACATGGTTTAAATTGTAATAATCTTTAAACAGCAAAATTCCGTTTACCCTCGTCTTTTTGATATGTTGACATATATTTTATATTCATTTTACTTCAAATAAAACAATTTCCTTCAAAGAAATTAGGAGAAGCAAAAATATACTCTTTTTTATCTACAAATTTATTTTAAATTCACTTTATTTCTTTATGTAGGAATTTCAATTTTGTTATTTTTCTTAACTTAAATAACTACCTTTTAATATTTTATTTCTTTTCTTTCCTTCTTCCTCCCTCCCTTTCTCTCCTTTTCTTTCTTTCCTTCCTTTCTTTTTTCCTTTTTCTCCTCCTCTACCTCCTCTTCCTTTCTTTCTCTTCTTCCTTCTCTTTTTCTCCTTCTTATTCTCTCTGTTTTTTCTAATATTGTATATATCTCCTGTTGTTGAATTCAGTTCTCATTTATATGAATGTCTTCATTTTACTCTCATTTTTGAAGGATATTTTCACTAGATAGGAATAGATATATGACATGAATATAAGGGACACCCTAGGGGATCTTCTGTATTCAACATATATTCCTCCTTACCCCCATTGGATAGTGGCAACCCAGTTTCCTCTTGGTAGTGAGGATCTGTGATCCCAGGCAGTATAGCAGCCTCCTTCCTCACCTGTTGATTCAAAGGCATGAGGAATTCCAGGTGGTAATTTCAACTTCCAGACAAGTGGTATCCATGTTATGTCCTCCCGCGAAAGCTTTTCTCCATTTGGAACTAAGATGCTTGAATTAACAGCATCTTAATTTGCAGAGATAGGAAGCAAATATTTTGCTAGTGGATCACGAGGGGTAAAAGTGAATGGAGTCATTCCTATTTTTATCCCTTAATTCTTGGGCCCATGAATCCTGGCTATGGATAAAAAAACATTGTATAATAGACTCTGATACAGAGTACATATGTTACTTTGGAGAATCTTACCCAGCCCCTCAAGGGACTGCCACTTAGCTGGCACTGTAACCAAGTCTTCAAAAGACCATTTTGCTATTCTGTCAAGCTAGCTGCTTCAGGATGATGGGGGACATGGTAAGACTAATGAATTCCTTGAGCACAGGCTCACTGCTCATGTGTGCTTCCCTGTGAAGTGAGTTCTTGAATCAGAAGCAATGCTCTGTGGGATACCATGGTGGTAGATAAAGGCATTCTGTAAGTTCACAGACAGTTTTTTTTTGGCAGAAGCATTGTGTGTAGGGAAGGCAGATCCATATCCAGAGGAAGTGTCTATTCTAATAAGAAGAGAGCACAATCCTTTCTGTAATGGAAATGGTCCAGTGTAGTCACCCTTCCATTATTCCCCTGGTAGATTGCTCAGGGAATGGTGCCATGTTGGGAGCTCAGTGCTGGTCTGTACTGCTGGCAGACTGCAGACTCAGCAGTGGCTGTAGCCAGGTCAACATTGGTGAGTGGAAATCCATGTTGCCGAGCCCTTGCAGAACTTCCATGCCTGCTATCATGTTTACTGTGTTCATGAGCTCATTGAGGAGTGATAGGAATGTCTGGGGAAACAGGCTGACTGGTATCCACAAAATGGATCATCCTGTCCACTTGATTATTAAAGCCCTCCTCTGCTATGGTCACCTTTTGGTGAGCACTCACGTGAAACACAAATACTCAGTGTTCACATGTGAATGCTTTATCTTGAAATGTAAATTATCTTTAAGATAATCTTGGTAATTAATATAAAGGACTAATTCTAAGGAAGAGCAGAAAATGAAAAAAAAACTATGAGTGTAGCTAGAGACAATTCTTGATTTGGCAAAGACTTAGAGGAGGCAGGGAGAAATGAACTCAGACAAGAGTAATAACCAATAAATATATAGCTGTATTTAGAAGTGAAGAGAGATGAAGTCAGAGAAGTTTATGCTTAATCCCTTATTTCTTATTGGATGTACTTTATTTGTTGAGCCTAGGAGATAGAAGGTTGGATTTAGGGTCTTGAGGTCAGTAAAACTATGCAGTGTGTGGAAGAAATCCAGGTAAGAAAATGAAATGGATTAGCATGCAGTATCCCACATGAGGTTGGAAATAATAAAATTCAAAGTCTTTTTTTTTTTTGAGACAGGTTCTCGCTCTGTTGCCCAGGCTTGAGTGCTGTGGCACAATCATGGCCCACTGCAGCCTCAATCTCCTAGGCTCAAGGGATCCTCTTGCCTCAGCTTCCCAAGTAGCTAGGACTACAGGTGCATGCCACCACACCCGGCTACTTTTTGATTTTTTTGTAGAGACAGAGTCTCCTTATGTTGCCCAAGCTGGTCTCGAATTGGGCTTAAGTGACCCTCCCACCTCAGCCTTCCAAAGTGCCAGGATTACAGGCGTGAGCCATCGTGCCTGGCCAATTCAAGCAGTCTTTAGCTGACAGTGAAAGTGGAGAAAGTATATGTTTGTCTTCCATTATAATGGGTTTATCCTGGGTTGAAGTTGACAGGGTCTCTAGTGTAAGGAATTTGAAGGTGCTTGGGACAGTGTTACCAAAATAGTGAACCAGATGGTCTAGCACAGACAAAAAATAATCCTTTTTAAAAGAAACTATTATTTTGCTCTTCTTAAAGAGTATTTTTAATAAGAAGGCAGAAGAATAGCAAGTTGTGATTTAAGAGCAAGAATTTTGAATTAAGGATTAAAGAGACCTAAGAGCAAGATACAGTACTCGTGGACATTGTTTGAAGGTAAATTTCATTAGAAAAGGAAAATGGGTTAAATGTGAGGTTAGAGTGTTGTTTGGGTGACCATTGCTTTTGTCTAAAATTTTTGCAGAAAATTTTCTGTTTTCTTTTTTTTTGAGACAGAGTTTCGCTCTTGTTGCCCAGGCTGGAGTGCAATGATGCAATCTCTGCTCACTGCAACCTCCACCCCCCAAGTTCAATCAATTCTTCTGCCCCAGCCTCCCGAGTAGCTGGGATTACAGGTGCCCACCACCATGCCCAGCTAATTTTTTTGTATTTTTAGTAGAGATGGGGTTTCACCATGTTGGCCAGGCTGGTCTTGAACTCCTGACCTCGGGCAATCCATCCGCCTCAGCCTCTCAAAGTGCTGGGATTACAGGCATAAGCCACCACACCCGGCCCAGAAAATTTTCCATTAAAATACGGGAAAGTAACCTTGGTGGTCAGTAGTTCACAGTGTCACAGATGAGAAGCTAATCATCCAAATCAGTCAAACTAGCTGTGGTGAGGGACCATTTTTTAAGTTTTTTTCAAAGCTTCTTAAAAGTTTTATTATATGTTACTACTTTTGTAACATATAATAAAAATGAATTGCCAAAAAATGAAATTTAAAAAAATATGCAAAATTCAAACATATAGTTTTTAAATTATTGGCTTTAACAGCCATAAAATTTCTTGTCAGATTACCATAAAATGTTTAATTGCTAACTCTGAATTCTAGTACTAGCTTCATGTCAGTAACAGACAGTTTTGGAGTAGTGCTTGTCCCTGGATCACACTTTGAGGAGCACTGCTCTAAATGAGATAGCAGAAACTTCAAAAATGACAGCATTATTTAATGAAGTATTAGTGGACTGGAAATAGCAGTTGGGAACCAGGAAAATCCAAGTCCTTTTCTCCTGCATCTGAAGTAACAGTGTGTGAGAGAAGGAGCATGCTCAGTTACAGAGGGTTCAGAGAGAAGTGTCACTGGAAGTGGGGCAGTTTTGTACTGAGCTGAGGAAATAAAGGGATTAGGCTTAAGAATATATAGAATGATCTTGGCAATGAAAAATTACTTCCAAAGGCCAGAGATGATGAAAGTACAAAGAGAGCGGGCAGGTAAGGGAAAGAGCTAAGTCATAGGAAAATTATACTTTGTTTTTTTTTATTATACTTTAAGTTTTAGGGTACAAAATTATAGTTTTAAAATACTAGTTGACTTTAGGGAGTTGAATGATAGACTGTTTTCACTAAGATTGCTCTTAAGTTAATCACCACTCAATAGTTTGAATGATGTTCCTGGACTTACATATACACATCCATAAAACAACTTTAAGAACATTAAAAAAAAAAGAATGCGGGTAAATGATTGACTTCATTAAAAACTAGAAAGTGTCCTGAGAACTGTCTGAGGTCTCTAAAGCTTTTGCTACAGTAGTTGGTTAATCAGTACACAAATATTTACTTGCTTCCTGTAGATAACACTAGTTATCATACTTACATGTTCAGAAATAATTTGAGTCTGAAGTCTCAATGAGAATGACTTTTTATATAATATTCAACTTGTTGATACTTTGATTTGTCATACGAACTTTTAGTTTTAGCCTTGTTGTAATCTTAGAAGTTAGAGTTGCTTCTGTTAGGATTTAACAATGTTTGGGCAGCACATATTATACAAGAAAATTAAGAATGAGCACTTAAGTAATTGACAGCTCTGTTGAGATTACAACATTTATAATGGCAAATAAAGTTTGCAAACCAAGAGGAAGCACCTGTGATTCCAGGAGTATAATAACTGAAAAAGAGCTTAATAAACTATTAAACTGTGGCTATCATCCAGTAAACACTAATACTCTTTCCTGAACTCTGCTTTGTGTTTTAAAATAGTATAAGAAACATCTCTGTCCTTTTATGCAATAACTGCCAACTTAACATTTAGGTTATACTGTTGTTTGTTTATGGATTTTGAGAAAATCCATTGAAGTTTACTTAAGAACCAACTCATTACAATGGTATTATTTACTGAATTTTATTTTCCTGATCATTAGCTAACTACAGAGTTCAACATTACAAGGTTATAACTGTACAAAAAGGATCAAAACACCACATCCTAGTAGTTGTATTAGCCAGAGAAGTAGTCATCATCTTAGAAATAAATGCTTTTGCAGCACTGAAGAGATTATAAAAAAGGAATAAGCCAAATCAGACCTTTTATGTGGTAATTTTATAATTATCTTTATTTTAGTCATTTTAGTAATAAAATATTGTTCTACATTTTAATTACATTCTGATTATTCATATTAAACTATAGAAATGCAATACTTTTCTGGTATAATTCTTATCAAAACAAAATTCAGAACGGTTCTTGAATTTTTACATTTATTATTGACTTTGAAGAGGAAGTGTTGTTAGTGAATTGTAACTTTTAATTCAGCTACTATAATTGTAATCTCAAATCCATTTAGTCTCCAAAGAGGTTTTAGTTAAATATTCTAAACACCTGGAAGCTAGGAAAATACCAACATAGTGTTCTTAAATTTTATACAAACATAATTCTAATTTAACTTTAATGTATTAAGTATAGTTATGATTCCATATAATTAACAGTCCTCAATATAATTAACAGTTCACACATTAAATATGAGATATAATAGCCTTTATGTTTGGATTACCATTTCCTCTTGTTAAACCCAATGGCTATCCCAGCAGGTTGAGATCTTGAGAAGCCGTGGGTGTAATAAAAGGGCTGTTATCAGAACATCAGATACTTCTAAAGTTAAGAGACTGTGTAGCTTTTGTTTTTGTGTCCTCTTCATTTTTTTTTTTTTTGCAACCTGTTTAGATTACTTCCTCAGACTTATCATTCTACCCTGTCCTTCTTTTACCACTAAAATACACAGAGTACACAGCCAGAAAATTAGGATGCCAGGAGGAGAGATCAGAGAGGGATGGGTTAAACAGACAAGTGATAAATTAGTTTTTGTGACTTTTGTGTTCAGGACAGTATTTGTTGTATCTAAAGGGCTAAAATGGAGCAGACATCTGGCATATATTGAATATTTACCTTTTTTAGTTCCTTATGTCAAAAATGAGTGGGTTGTAAATGTGTGGATTTATTTCTGGGTTTTCAATTTTGTTCCATTGGTCTATGTGTTTGGTTTTGTTTTGTTTTTTAGTCTATCCTGTGGTTCCATATGTATCTGTTTTATGCCAGTTACCATGCTGTTTTGATTGCCATAGCTTTGTAGCATAATTTGAAGTCAGGTCATATAATGCCTGAAGCTTTATTCTTTTTTTTTCAAGATTGCTTTGACTACTCTTGGAATCTGCTTTGACTACTCTTGGAATCTTGTGACTCCATATCAATTTTAGGTTTATTTTTTATGTTTCTGTGAAGAATGTCATTGGTGTTTTGATGGGGATTGCATTGAATCTGTAGGTTGCTTTGAGTAGTATGGATATTTTAACAATATTGATTCATTCAATCCATGAACATGGATTCTTTCCAGTTTTTAGTGTGTGTGTGTGTATGTCCTCTTCAGTTTCTTTCATCAGTGTTTTATAGTGTTCATTGTAGAGACTTTTTACTTCTTTGATTAAGTTTATTGCTAGATATTTTATTTTATTTTTCACTATTGTAAATGGGATTACATTCTTGTTTTTTTTTTCAGGTTGTTCACTGTTGGCATATAGAAATGCTACTAATTGTTTATGTTGATTTTATATTCTACAACTTTACTGAATTCATTTATCAGTTCTAATAGTTTTTTTGTGTAGTTTTTAGGTTTTCCTAAATATAAGATCATGTCATCTGCAAAAAAGGATAATTTCAATTCTTTCTTTCCAGTTCGAGTATGCTTTATATCTTTCTCTTGTCAAATTGCTCTGTCTAGGACTTTCAGTAATATGTTGAATAAAAGTGGTGAAAGTGAGTGTCCTTGTCTTGTTCGAGATCTTACAGAAAGCACTTTCAGGCCAGGCACGGTGCTTCACGCCTGTAATCCCAGCACTTTGAGAGGCCAAGGCAGGTGGATCACGAGGTCAGGAGTTCAAGACCAGCCTGGCCAGGATGTCTCTACTAAAAATACAAAAATTAGCCATGCATGGTGGCAGGTGCCTGTAATCCCAGCTGCTCGGGAGGCTGAGGCAGGAGAATCACTTGAAACTGGGAGGCGGAGGTTGTAGTGAGCCGAGATCGTGCCATTGCACCCCAACCTGGATGACAGAGCGAGACTCCTCTCAAAAAAAAAAAGGCACTTTCAGTTTTTTCCTATTCTATATGATTCTAGCTGTAGGTTTGTCATTTATGGCCTTTGTCATGTTGAGATGTGTTCCTTCCATACCTAGTTTGTTGATAGTTTTTATCATGAAGGGATGTTGAATTTTATCAAATGCTTTTTTTGAAATATATTGAAATGATTATATCAGTTTTGTCCTTCAGTCTGTTGATGCAATGTATCACATTTGCTGATTTGCATATGTGGAACCATCCTTGCATCCCTGAGATTAATCTCACTTGATCATGTTGAATCAAACTGCATATAACTTTTGACTCCCCAAAACCTAACTACTAATAGCCTACTGTTAACTGGAAGTCTTACCTTTAACAACACACAGTTGACTAACACATCTTTTATATGTTATATGTATTATATACTATATTCTTAAAGTAAGCTAGAGAAAAGAAAATGTTATGAAGAAAATTGTAAGGAAGAGAAAATACATTTACAATACTGAACTGTATTTATCAGTGCCATAAATTTACATCATCTGATTATAGGATGAATTATCCGAAATGGCAGGCAATTTTAGTTGTCAATCTGTGGTACATATCAGGCAATTCAACTTTTTTTTGGTAATGTCATGACTTTACTCTGCTTCTTTGGAGTACTTCCAACATCACTAGTGGAACTTTGTATGGTCCCATGGTGTTACTGAAGAGTTACAGTATTGCAGTGGACGAAAAATACGTGAGAACTGCAAGAGATCATTTTGCTATGATACACAATTTACTGGAGACATGAACTGCTGTTGTGGAGATGAGTAGCATCCCACAGTGTTTTAAGGAGATACTTGCAATACTTTAGCTCACTGCAATAGCAATAGCAGGTGGTTATGAAATTATTATAGTAGTACAGTATTGCTACAGATAATTTTATGCAGTTATGATCTAATACTATTAGGTCAGTGCAAAAGTAGTTGTGGTTTTTGGCATTAATAAATCTTTACCTTTGTTTACATTCTCTTGATGGCAAATGGTTCCGTGTGTAATCTGTGTGTGTGTGTATAGTTTGATAAATTTTAACTTTTTCCAAGAAATTTGTATACATTTTATGGTAGTAAATTATATTAATAAAATACTGCTATGCACATTTTTAATGTGTTCATGGTATACCTTTTTCTTAACTTTTTTGATATTTATACATTACACAGTTCATCTGTGAGATTTTTCAAATTGTCACAGATCTCCAATAATTTTTCTGATATACCGGGCCTACACAGTTCAAATTTGTGTTGTTCAAGGACCAACTGTACTCCAATTAAAGACAGATACTGTGACATATTAAAGGTAGTGAAAAGTCAGGACTCAATTATATATATTGTCTGTAAGAAGCATACTTGAGACAAGACACAGATAAGCTGAAAGTGAAACGTGGAAATATATAATATGTGAGCTATAAATATAAGAAAGTTGCTATGGCTATATTAATATCAGATGAAGTAGGCTTAAAGGCAAGGAGTATTACCAGAGATAAAGAGGGACATATCACCAGAAATACATAACAATTCTAAGTGAATATATAAATAATAGCAGATCATCAAAGTACAAGAAGCAAAAACTGAGAGAACTAAGGGAAGAAATACACTATTTGGCAATCATTATTGGAGGTATCACTGCTGTTCTTTCTGTAATTGACAGACGATTTGAACAAAATTCATTACCGTTAGAGAAGGCTTGACTTTGCAATCACCTGTTGACAACTATAGAAATACAGTCGTCTCAAGTTCACATGGAACAATAAAAAAGATAAGACTATATGCTGGACTTTAAAATAGGTCACAATAAATTTGAAGATTGAATTTATAGGCATATATGTCTGTCTACAAGGGAGCTGAATGAGAAATTAACTAGAAAAGATATTTAGAATAGGAAATTAAGCAACACCTTTTAAATAATTCAAGGATCAATGTAAAGTAGAAAGGGAAATTTAGAAAAAATATAATAACTGAATAATATACACAGCTTCATGCTAATACATTTAGTAACCCAGTGTAAATAAATTTACTAAAACTATTTAGCTTTTCCGTTTCTTGTGCAAGTTTTGATAAATTGCATTTTCAAAGAATTTATTCATCTGGGTTAAGATACATTTGAAATAAAAATATTGATAATTGAATATTTTTAATTTTATGGAGATATGAGACCTCGACTGTTCAGACAATCTTAAAAAAGAATGAAATGGAAGAGTTATGCTATCTGATTTTAAGACCCTAAAACTATAAGGGACAGTCAAGACTGTAGCTTATCCATACGCAAATCAATGGAACTGTATCGACAGTAGAAATAGATTCATTCATATATAATTACTTAATTGTTTTTTACATTTTTAACAGCTTTATTGAGATTCATATACCATTCATACCCTTAAAGTATACAATATAATATTTTTCGGTATATTCAGATTTGTGTAGTCACTACTACAATTTTAGAACATTTTTATCAACCCCAAAAGAACCCCTGTACCCATTAATAGACACTCTCCATTTATTTCCCCCAAATTTATTTCCACCAGCCCTAAGCAACCAATAATCTATCTGTCTATATATTTGTCTATTCTGGATTTTACATAAATGTATTCATAAGAGTATGTGGTCTTTTGTGACAGGCATTTTTCATTTTATATAATTTTTTCAACATTTATCCATCTGGCAGTATGTATTAGTACTTTTATTGCAAAATTGATCATTTTTAAATTGTCAAATTATTGTATGGATATATGCCATATTTTGTTTATTCATTTATCAGCTGATGAACATTTGCATTGTTTCCACTTTGCGACTATTAGGCTGCTGTGAACATTAATGTATAGGTTTTTGTGGGAGCATATTTTTCATTTCTCTTTAGTATATACTTTGAAGTGGAATTGCTAGATCATGTGGTAACTAACATTTTGTTGAACTACCAAACTGTTTTCCAAAGTACCTTTACCATTTTACATTTCCACCAACAATTTATGAAGGGTCCAATTTATCTACATTCTCGCTAACACCTGTTACTATCATTCTTTTTATTATAACCATCCCGGTGGATGTGAGGTAGTATCTTGTGGTTTTTAGTTTTTTGTCTTTTTAAAAATTGTGGTAAATATACATAACATAAATATACATAACATAAAATTTACTGTCTTCACTATTTTTACCTATACAGTTCAGTAGTGTTCGCATCACCATCCATCCATATCCAGAACTGTTTCATATTGCAAGACTTAAATTAAACAATAACTCCTCATTCTACTCTCCCCTGGCCCCTGACAACTTCACCCCTGACATTTCACTTTCTTTGTCTATGAAGTTGAGTATTCTAGGTACCTTATATAGGTGGAATCATACAGTGTTTGTCCTTTTGTGACTGGCTTATTTCATAATGCACAATGTCATCAATGTTGATTTATGTTGAAGTGTATATCAGAATTTCCTTTCTTTTTTAGACTGAGTAATATTCTATTATTTGTATATACCACATTTTGTTTGTCAATTCATCTGCTGATGGCCATTTAGGTTGCTTCTAACTTTGGCCATTGTGAATAATGCTGCAATTTATATATTTTCATTGGAGAAATATCTTCTATTCAAGTTTTTTTGCCCAGTTTTAAGCTGGATTTGTTATTGTTTGTATATTCTGGATTAAACTCCTTATTTGATATATGATTTACAAATATTTTCTCCCATTCCATGAATTGTCTTCTCACTCTCTTGGTTGTGTCCTTTTATGCACAAGTTTTTTAATTTTGATATAGTCCAATTTTATCTTTAGCTGCTTGCGCTTTTAGTATCATATTCAAGAAATGATTGACAAATCCAATGTCATGAAATTTTTTCCCTGTATTTTCTTCTAAGAGTTTCAGAGTTATTAGGTCTTATGTTTAGGTCTTTGATCCATTTTGAGCTAATATTTGTATATGGTATAAGGTAAGGGTCCAAATTCATGGTTTTTTTTTTTTTTTTTTGCATGTGGATATTCAGTTGTCTTTGAACTACTTGTTGAAAAGACTATCCTTTCCTCATTAAACGGTTTTGGTACCTTTATCAAAAATGACTTGTCTATATATGCACAGGTTTACTTTTAGACCCCACTATTCTGTTTTACTGGTCTACATGTCTGTCTTTATGCCAATATCACACTGTTTTAATTACTATAGCTTCGTAATTTTGAAATTTGGAAGTGTGAAACTTTCATGTTATCATTCTCTTTTATTATTATATAATTATTATTATATTATTATTATTATATAATGCCCTCTTTGTCTCTTCTAAGTTGCTTTTCCAGCTATGTCTATTCCACTCATAAGCCCAACAAAGGCATTCTTTATTTCTGTTATAGTGTTTTTGATCTTTGGAATTTCTTTTTCGTTCTTTCTTAAAATTCCCGTCTCCCTGGTTATATTGCCCATCTGTCTTCCCTGATGTCTACTTTATCTGTTAGAGCCCTTAGCATATTAATCACAATCGTTTTAAATTTCTGGTCTGATAATTCCAGTATCCCTGCCATTTCTGAGTCTGGCTCTGATACTTGCTCTGTATCTTCAGTTGTGTTTTTTGTTTTTTCCTTTTCATATGCCTTGCAATTTTATCTTTTTAAAAATTTTTTTATTTTTTTATTTTGAGACAGAGTTTCACTCTGTCGCCCAGGCTAGAGTTCAGTGGCATGATCTTAGCTCACTGCAACCTCCACCTCCCAGGTTCAATCGATTCTCCTGCCTCAGCCTCCCGAGTAGCTGGGACTACAGTCACGCACCACCACACCCACCCAATTTTTTGTATTTTTAGTAGAGATGGGGTTTCACCATTGTTGGCCAGGCTGGTATTAAACTCCTGACCTCAAGTTATCTGCCTGCTTCTGCCTCTGTAATTTTATCTTAACAGCTAGACATGATGTACTGGGTAAAAAGAGTACTAATGGGTCTTTTTTTTCCCCCTTGGTTGTAGTATCACTTGGTTGCTGTGGCTTCTTAAATGGTTTCTAGAATTCCCACAAAACATTGTTCCATATTGTGTTGTTAGTTGGTGTTCCTGTTGGGGATCTAGGGCTTGGAGCTTCTTTGTCAGCTATCTTACTGATAATCACTCTCCTCACTGTGATCTTGATGTGCATTTCCCTAATGGCTAATGATGTTGAATGCCTTTTCCTTTGCTTATTGTTCATTTGTAAACATATATATATATATATATATATATATATATTTTTTTTTTTTTTTTTTTTTTTTTTTTTTGAGACAGAGTCTCGCAATGTCACCAGGGCTGGTGTGCAGTGGTGCAATCTTGGCTCACTGCAACCTCCGCCTCCCAGGTTCTAGTGGTTCTCCTGCCTCAGCCTCCCGAGTTGCTAGGATTACAGGTGCCCACCACCACGCCTGGCTAATTTTTTGTATTTTTAGTAGAGATGGGGTTTCATTATGTTGACCAGGCTGGTCTCGAATTCCTGACCTCGTGATCTGCCTGCCTCAACCTCCCAAAGTGCTGGGATTACAGGCGTGAGCCACTGTGCCTGGCCTTGTATGTGTTCTTTAGAGAAATGTCTATTGTGATTCTTTCCTCATTTTAAAATTGTGTTATTTTTCTTTTGCTTATTGAGTTGTAAGAGTTCTTTATATATTCTTGATACAAGTTGTTTTAATCAGATATATAATTTGCAAAATTTTCTCCCATTCTGTAATTTGTCTTTTCACTTTCTTAATGATATCATATGCAGCACAGAAGTTTTTTATTTTGATAAAATCCAATTTATTTTTTCTTCAGTCACTCAAAAGATAAGAAGGCTTTGTCTAACTCATGGTCACTAAAATTTACTCCTGTTTTTTCCTAATATTTTTATAGTTTATCCTTTACATTTAGTTGTATGACCTACTTTAAGTTCATTTGTTGTATGGTTTACAAAAGGCATCCAACTTCAGTCTTTTGCATATGACAGTGGCTTTATTTTTATTTAATTTAATTTTTTTTTTTTTTTTGAGACGGAGTCTCGCTCTGTCGCCCAGGCTGGAGTGCAGTGGCGTGATCTTGGCTCACTGCAAGCTCCACCTCCTGGGTCCACGCCATTCTCCTGCCTCAGCCTCCTGAGTAGCTGGGACTACAGGCACCTGCCACCATGCCCGGCTAGTTTTCTGTATTTTTTTTTAGTACAGACCAGGTTTCACCATGTTAGCCAGGATGGTCTCGATCTCCTGACCTCATGATCCGCTCGCCTTGGCCTCCCAAAGTGCTGGGATTACAGGCGTGAACCACCGCGCCTGGCCCCCCCTTTTTTTTTTTTGAGACAGAATCTCGCACTGTCATCCAGGCTAGAATGCAGTGGTGTGATCTCGGCTCACTGCAACCTCTGCCTCCCAGATTCAAGTGATTTTCCTGCCTCAGCCTCCTGAATAACTGGGACCATAGGTGTGCGCCACCATGCCCAGCTAATTTTTGTATTTTTAGTTGAGACAGGCTTTTGCCGTGTTTCCCAGGCTGGTCTAGAAGTCCTGGCCTCAAGTGATTTGCCTGCCTCAGCCTCCAAAAGTGCTGGAATTACAGATGTGAGCCACCATGCCCAGCCATTTTTATCAAGGTACCAAATCAGCCTATTTGAAAAAGAAAAATATTTTCAGCAAGCAGTGCTGGAATAGCTGGGTATCAGAAAAAGAGCCTTGACCCTTCCCTCACACCATGCTAAAAAATGAGTCAAAATGGCTTATAGACCTCAACAAGACAGCTAACACTTTAAAGCTGTCAAAGAAACCATAGGAAAATGCCTTTATTGCCTTGAGGTAGGGAGGATTTGAAAGAAGACACAAGTAGCTGTAACTATAAAGAAAATATTGATCAATTTTACTTGAACAAAATTAAAAGTGAAAGCTCATCAAAAGCCAACATTAAGAAAATAAATTGGCAAGGTATAACCTGGGAGTAAATATTTGTAATTCATTTATAAAACAGTGGACTTGTACTAAATGCATATTTAATCATGTATAAATTGATAATAAAAAGATACGCAAACAAAGAAAATGAGCAAAAGACTGGAACAGAACTTCAAAATCATCCAATGACAACCTGAAAAGATTCATTATCAATTGTGATCAGGAAAACATAAATTTAAATATGCTACTACATCACATGCACTATGGTGTCTGAAATTAAAAAGACAGACAACAGCAAACATTGGTAAGGATATGGAGCAACTGAAACTCATCCATTGCTAATGGGAGTGTGAAATAGTACAACCAGTTTTGAAAACTGCTTTGTACTTTCTTAGGCAGTTGAACGTAGGTCTACCCTGTGACTTAGCAATTCCATTTCTAGGTCTTTACCTTGGAAAAATGAAAATATAGATATGCTGTAAGACATTTAAAGGATGTTTGTAGGAGCTGATTTATAATATTCAACTATTGAAAATGATGTGAAAGTCATTTTATCAAAAGGAAAATGGATATACAAATTGTGGTATATGCATAAAATGGAATACTATTTAGCATGAAAATGGAATACTATTTAGCATAAAAAGCATGAACTGCTCTCACAGTCTCTCACACACACAAACATAGATGAATCTGTAATACATATGTTGAATTGAAGTCAGACAAAGGATTCCAGACCTAAAAGTTTCATTGTTTTTTATGAAGTTCAAGAAGAGATGAAATAACCCATGCTATTACAAATCAGAATAGTAGTAGCCTGTGGAGATTGGTGCAGACTGGCTTAAGAGGGGGTACCAAGATATTTTCTGGTAGAAATAGTCTACATCTTAATTAGGGTGGTAGTAACAGAGATTTATAAATTTGTCAAAAGCCAATCAATTCTACACTTAAAATGTGTGCATTTTACTCTATGTAATCTTACCTGAAATAAAACCCCTATAAAATAATAATTTGGCTTATAAGGTATGGTTAAAATTTCAGAAGTTCCCTGTTTAATACATTTTTTCTTTACTCCTGCATCTTCTTTCCTCTGGTTTGTGTGCTTTCTTTTTCCTGTGTGAAATCTTGGTGTCTTACTACTTTGTCTTTCCTTAATTTGGCCTCCCTTGCTTTACTGTATTGCTGCTGTGATGTAGTTGGTCCTGACCCTAGGTTAATGTGTGTGTTTTTGTCTTTGTTTAAAAAAAAGCTTAAATAGCAAAAATAAAAATTTGAAGACTAGAAAAAGCTTATAGAAAGAAGATACAAAGAAAGAAAAGATTTTTGTACATTTGTACAATGTGTTTATGTTTTAAGCTGCTTATTACAATAGTCAAATAGTTAAAACAAATTAAAAGTTTATGAAGTAAAAAAGTTACAGTAGGCCAGGCACAGTGGCTTACTCCTGTAATCCTAGCACTTTGGGAGGCCAAGTCGGACGATCCCTTGCATCCAGGAGTTCAAGACCAGCCTGGGCAACATAGTGAGACCCCTTCTCTACAAAAAATGCAGAAATTAGTTGGATGTGGTGGTGCGTGCCTGTAGTTCCAGCTCCTGCCTCGGGAGGAGCTTGAGCCAAGGAGATTGAGGCTGCAGTGAGCTATGATCATGCCACCACACTCAGCCTTGGTGACAGAGACCCTGTCTCAAAAAAAAAAAAAAAGTTACAGTAAACTAAGATTAATTTTTTATTGAAGCAGAAACATATTTTTTATAAATTTAGTGTAGCCTAAGTGTACAATTTTTATAAAATCTATAGTAGTGTACAAAAATGTCCTAGGCCTTCACATTCACTTACTCACTCACCCAGAGTAACTTCCAGTGCTATAAGCTCCATTCATGGTAAGTGCCCTGTACAGGTATACCATTTTTTATCTGTTATACCATATTTTCATACCTTTTCTATGTTTAGATGCACAAATACTTAACATCGTGTTACACTTGCCTACAGTATTCAGTACACTAACATGCTGTCCAGGTAGCTATACCATATAGCCTAGATGTGCAGTAGGCTATACCATCTAGGTTTGTATAAGTACATGCCATGTTTGCACAACAACAAAATAGCCTAATTATGCATTTCTCATAATGTATCTCCATTGTTAAGCAATGTATTCCTGTATCGTGAGTATTAACCAAAATGTGACACAGACACACCCAATGAGCACATGCTATTGGAAAAATGGCATCAATGGATTTGCTTGACACGGGGTTGCCACAAACCTTCAATATGTAGAAAACATATCTGTAAAATGTAATAAAATGAAGCTACAGTATGCCTATAGCTATTTTTTTGTTTTATATTTCTAAAAAGAGCGTTCTGATTTTAGCAAGTATGCTAGCCTTAGAATGTGAAATTAAAAGGTGAGAAATATTTGCTTAGGCTGTTTTCATTAGTTTACCATAGACATTGTTAGGAATGAAGGAACTGGGTTAAAAGGTAATAATTCTGTATATCAGCTAGTTCCTTTTTTATCTTTGTTAAGTATTTCCTTGTGTCAGACCTAAGTATTACTTAAAAAATATCTGTATCTCTGTTTGTTCAAAGTTCTAATATTATTTTTTAAATTTTTTTTATAAGTTTAGATGGGGTCTCACTGTGTTGCCCAAGCTGGTTTTGGATACCTGGCCTCACGTGATCCCTCCTGCCTCAACCTCCCAAAATGCTGGGACTATAGGCGTGAGCCAACATCTCTAGCCCAAAGTTCTAATTTTAAAATATCATTAACTTTTTCTGTAGTTCTAGCTGTTTGAGTTCCTTTTGCTATTGTACATGTATACATACAGTAAAAATTTGTTGACAACTGATTTATACTGCTTGAATTTGAATCCTGCTTATTAGCTACTTGACTTTAGAGGAGTTATTTATTATTCTTTCCTTTTGATTTTTTTCTCTTCAAAATGGTATAATAATATCTAACTCATAAGGCACACATCAAGATTAAATAATTTAATACATATATTTGGAACAGGGCCTGGTGCACACTTATTTCTCACCAAGAGTTGATTGACTATCATAAATAATATGCATGTTGGCTGGGTGGAGTGGCTCATGCCTGTAATCCCAGCACTTTGGGAGGCCAAGGCGGGTGAATCATCTGAGGTCAGAAGTTCAAGACCAGCCTGGGCAACATGGTGAAACCCCATCTCTAGTAAAAATACAAAAATTAGCTGAGCACGGTGGTGTGTGCCCCCCAGCTATTTGGGAGGCTGAGACAGGAGAATCGCTTGAGCCTGGGAGGGAGGCGGAGGTTGCAGTGAGCTGAGATTGTGCCATCGCCCTCCAGCCTGGGTGACAGAGTGAGACTCTGTCTAAAAAAAAAAGCATGCTAAGAATTATTCTGAAATACATGCAAATCACAATTTTTTTTTTTTGGAATCTCGCTCTGTCACCCGGGCTGGAGTGCAGTGGTGCGATCTCGGCTCACTGCAATCTCCACCTCCTGGGTTCAAGAGGTTCTCCTGCCTCAGCCTCCCAAGTAGCTGGGATTACAGGGATGCACCACCACGCCTGGCTAAGTTTTGTATTTTTAGTAGAGACAGGGTTTCACCATGTTGGTCAGGCTGGTCTCGAACTCCTGACCTGGTGATCCACCCTCCTCAGCCTCCCAAAGTGCAGGGATTACAGGCGTGAGCCACCGTGCCTGGCCGCAATTCACAATTTTTTAAATGAATAGCTTTTTATGAATACAGTTAACATAATAATCTTAGATAGTATTACGAAGAATGATAATAGCACAGCTTACTAAATAAATAGCTATACATCTTGGTATCTTTAATAATTTTAAGTTCACTCATTTTTCTTTGTGACTTAAAATGTTCCTTCAAATTAGTCTTTTATGGATAATTTAATAGTTTAAAATATGAATATAAATTACTATATTATTAAATCTCTAGTTATTTATTTTAATATAGTATTTTAGGATTGTTTATATGTAGTTAAAATATATATTTATATATATGTATAAATATATAGAAACATGTCATTGCATGGCATATATTGCCTGGTGGGTGCTGATATGTTGCCTAATGGATGCTCAATAATTATTTATTGAATAAATTAGTTATGTTATATATAAAGTATAAATATACACACATACATATCAGCTGTAGTGTATGTGGTTTCAGAGATTCATCCACTTAATTTTTGGTATTTGTAAACCTCTTATTCTTGTATAAGTATTCATCTAAATTAAATTGTTGATATTTTGCCAGAGTTTGAAGAAACAAGTTACGTTTTCAAGTTTAAAAAAACTCTTTATTCCAAGTTATTGTAATGTGGAAAAAGCATTGTAATTATTATTTCTACATCTAAAATGGAGTGATTTTTAAAAACTCTTCTAAATGAAAAGGAATAAAAACTTCTATAGTCGTAAGTACTTTCAAACATCTGCAGTTCAGTGTACATAATTCACATTGACACCAAAGTTTGGTTTCTGTTTTGACTGGAAAAGTCTAATATTATTTTTGTCTGCAAAGGAAAGAGTTGTATCACATCCAAGTGGGAAGATGTTTGATTATAATATAATCAAGATGATTTGTGACTCAAAGCAGATTGTGCAGGAGGAAAACCAGCAGCTATTAAAAACTTAGACGATGTTATGGAACTTTTTTGTTAGGAACTTAAGGCATGTTTATCTTTCAGAAAGTAAAGAACATAGAACAGAATCATTACGATTTTCTGCATGATATAATTCTTCAGAATTCATATGATCAATAAAAGGAAATTGCAGATCATATAGTAAATATTGGCTAAATTTATTTTCTAAAAATTTGTCATGGATTTTATTAGTTCACTAGCATTGTAGAATTAGTTTCTGTTTGTTTTCAGTGACAAATTCCTTCTTAACAGTGAGCTTAGAGAGCTGGTATCATGAATCCTTATGGTATTTTCAGCCTGCTGCAATGTTCCATCTTTTTAAAATATATGTCTCCCATTCATTTACTCCTATTATTTTGAAGGAAATCCAGACATAACATTCTTTTCATCTATAGCTTTTATAGTGTATCTCAGAAATATATAGACTCTTGTTTAAAGCATAACTACAGTATCATTATCACACCAAAAGGAGTAACAATAAATCTATAATATTGTGAAGCATCCAGTTTAATTTTCAAATTCCAATACCTCATAAATATTATAATTTCACCTCTTTCTTTTGAATCTATAAATAAGAATCACACATTGCAAATGATCAAATTGACTCTTAACTGTCTTTTAATTTATAGATTCCCCTTCATCTTTTTTATTCCCCTGGAATTTATTTTTTAAATAAATTAAAAATAAAATAAAGTCAGTTTTCTTTTCGAGTTTTCCAGTTTTTTCATTGCATCTCTGTAGTATCATTTAATATGTTCCTTTGTTTTCTTTTTTTCCGTATATATACTTTTTTTTCCGAGTATCCAAATATGGATACTTGACCTAGAGACTTAACGAGATTTAGATTTGTTTTTATTAGCAAAACTACTTTATAGGTGGTTTTGTGTTCTTTCATCTGGAAGCACATGTCAAGTTGTGTTTCTTTCTATGTTGTTAGCAAATCTCAATGCCTAGATCTGTTACTATACTAATAATTTCAAAATTGTGATATTCTAAAGATAACATTCCTGTTATCTTTATTAGTTAGAATATTTCTCTAAAGAGAGCTATCTTCTTATCTATTGTTTGATTAACCATTGGTAAAATTTATATATAAAGAGTGAGCCAGGTATGTTGGCTCACACCTGTAATCCCAGCACTTAGGGACGCCCAGGCAGGAAGACTGCTTGAGGCTAGTAGTTCGAGAACCAGCTGGGGCAACATTACAAGTCCTCATCTCGACAAAATTTTTAAAAATACCCGGGCATGGCGGTGTGCTCCTGTGGTCCTAGCTATTCCAGAGGCTGAAACAAGAGGATCGCTTGAGCCCAGGAGTACGAGGCTGCAGTAAGCTGCGACTCCAGCCTGGGTGATAGAGGGAGACTCTTATCAAAAAAAAAAAAAAAAATAGTGGACAATACTTAAATAATTGGTTTACCAATATCCTCCAACATTAACAATTTGATTTTTAGTTTTTTATTTTATTTTTTTGAGGCAGGGTCTTGCTTTGTCACCAAGGCTGGAGTACAGTCATACAGACTGGAGTGCAGCTCACTGCAGCCTTGACCTCCTGGATGCAAGCAATACTTCCATCTCAGCCTTCTGAGTAGTTGGGCCTGCAGGTGCACGCCACAATGTCTGGCTAATATTTTTTCATTTTTTGTAGAGACAAAGTCTCGCTACATTGCCCAGGCCGGTCTTGACTCCTGGACTTAAGTGATCTTCCTGCCTTTGCCTCCCAAAGTTCTGGGATTACAGGCAAGAACCGTTGTGCATGGCCAAGTTTTTAAAATTTTTAAATTGTCATTATACACTCAATAATTTTATTTGTTCAGTGCACTTCAGTTACTATCAGTTATTGATACTGAAATTGTATTTTCTTTAGATAGCAGGGAACTTTTTCAAGTTGGCCTCTGAGTTTTTTCTAAGTCTCTTCAATAGTTTCTTGGTATCTGCTATGACTAAATGTTCCCAGATCATTCTGTACACTCTTGTTCCAGATCTGGAATCA
Organism: Homo sapiens; assembly: GCF_000001405.40. Classification (NCBI taxonomy): domain Eukaryota; kingdom Metazoa; phylum Chordata; class Mammalia; order Primates; family Hominidae; genus Homo; species Homo sapiens. The sequence continues at coordinate 37,345,636 of NC_000014.9, forward strand.
GCCAAACATCCATGGAGTTCTTTATTTTCAGTAGGTAATGATACTTGGAGCCCATATTCCAGGTGCTAGGGGTCCTCATTGCTACTGAATTTCCTGTTGTTTTTTGTCTGTTTCAGTGGGCAGAACTAGGAAGTACATACACATAAACACTCGTATTTTTTAAAAATAAAACTTATGTGTGTTCATACTGATATTTCAAATTCTGAACTGCAGAATTTTTACTTAACGTATCTTACATGTGTATCTTTTGTCTCCTATGGTGAGAATCTTAGTTCTTCAGAATACTATCATATATACAATTGGCATTTACTTAAAATACATTACTTGATTTAGGGACACATATCTTCTCTAGCATTTGTCCTGTCTCTTTTTATTTGTCAAAGTAGGGGAGATCATTAAAATACCTGAATGTGGATGAGCACGATGGCTCACGCCTGTAATCCCAGCACTTTGGGAGGCTGAGGCAGACAGATCAATTGAGGTCAGAAGTTCAAGACCAGCCTGACCAACATAGTGAAACCCCGTCTCTACAAAAATACAAAGATTAGCCAGGTGTGGTAGTGCACACCTGTAATCCCAGCTACTCAGGGAGCTGAGGCAGGAGAATTGCTTGAACCCAGGAGGCGAAGGTTATAGTGAGCTGAGATCGTGCCAATGCACTGCAGCCTGGGTGACACAGTGAGACTCCGTCTCAAAAAAATAAAAAAATAACTGAAGGTGTGGCCCTTTCAGATACTTGCCACTTTGGGTATTCCTGGGCCTTACCTTCTATTCCTTTTATACTGGTAGCCATGGAAACAACCCAAATATGCAAATATGGATAAATACCCTCAGTGTAAAACAGCTTTATTATTTTTATATTATGCTTATCTCTTTATTTACAATTTTTCATGTAAAAATTGGCCTGAAAGTCCCCCTGCCAACACAAACATACACACACAGCCTTTCTAGAAAAGTTGAAGAAAGAGAAAGACCATGAGGATTAAAAATTGAGAGGAAACCTGAAGAGCTATAGACATACTGGGTAAATAGTGATATAAGAGCAGATATTGATCCCAAGGGCTAGGAACTTTGATTTTTATTACTGTTAGAAGGAGTGATGATATGGCCATGCGAGGTGAGAACTGAGTGGAGAACCTTGAATATAGCCAGACCATAGAAAGAATACCTCTTCAGCGAAAGGAACTCTAGAAAAAAAATAGACAACTTACTGGTTCAGAGAAGTGATAATGAAGCTTGTCTCTGGCCAAGACATAGCAAAGGGGGAAAAATTATCCTGAGAAATTAAAGAGCCACACCTGCTTCATATGGGAGTATAGTGAACACATTACATAACTGTCATGGTGAGAAGCCACAAAGTCATTAAGATGTAAACCTGACCTAGATTAATAAAACTTTAGGTCGTCCAGCAGCAAGAGATACAAAACCAATCTGGCAATTCATCTACACACACAAGTTAATACCGAAAAAGGAATGTCTACTAAAGATGGGCAAAGTGAAAATGTATATGCCACATAAAAAATCCACCATGAAAAATAATTAAAAGGATTATACTACCAACAAAGTGAGATAACAGCAAAATATGAAAGCATATACCATATATACATGTAAACAGAGAAACCATTGAATAGGCATATAAAAAAGGATCACTGTGAAAAAAAGACGGACAGAATTGAAAAAGCATACAAGAAGAAAGAAATGAAAACTATAATCACTGAAATTAAAAAATATGTGAATAAATGAAGAGTAGATACGGCTGAAGATAGAATCAAGAATCTTGAATCACTAATGATAGATGCTCAGAATTCACACGTAGAGATTGAAAATAGATTAAAAGTGATTAAATTAAAAATGAGTTGTAGATCTAATATGGCCAATATGAGTTTCAAAATGGGAGCAAGATAATATTCCAAGAGATGATAGCTGTGGATTTTCCATCTTTAACAAGCACAAAGAGTATGAAGAAGTTAAAAGTAAGTCCACTCCTAGAGATATTGTTGTAGAACTGTAGAACATCAAAGTTAACCTATGGAAGACGTTAAAGCAACCATTGAGAAAAAACATATCAACCTACAAAGGAATTACTGTGAAACTCATAGTGACTTTATGTTAACAACAATCAATGCCAGACTAAAATGGGATAATATCTTCAAAGTGCCAAAGAAGTACCATTTATCATAGCAGTTCTATCCAGTAAAGAGTGTGAGAACAAAAGAATCGCATTTTCAAAGACCGGATGTCTCAGTAAAATAACTTTTTTTTCTTCGTTAATAAAACTTTTTCTTTTATTTTAGATTCATGGGGTACATGTGCAGGTTTGTTACATGGGTATACTGCGTGATACTGAGGTTTGGGGTATAATTGATCCCATCGCCCAGTTAGGGAGCACAGTACCCAACAGGTAGTTTTATACCTCATTCGCCTTTCTGGCTCTTCCCCCTCTGGTAGTCCCTAGTGTCTTGTTATTCCCATCTTTACGTCCATGCATACCCAATGTTTAGCCCCCTACTGATAAGTGAGAATATGTGGTATTTGGTTTTCTGTTTTTGCATTAATTTGCATAGGATAATAGCCAACAGCTGCATACATGTTGCTGTAAAGGACATGATTTCCTCTAAATTAACTTTTAAAAACTGTACCTCTGAAAAAAAGCGTTCAGCCTGGAAGGAAAACTAGATGGTTTGATAAAGGATTTCTACTGATTATTCTAGAAATAGATTATATATATGGTCCCAGAGAATAAAATGATGTGATGATCAATTAGGACTCATCACAGTAATCAAATGATTGTTATACATTAGAAAATTAAGATAATTCACCATATTAATGCAACACATTTGGAAAAAGCATGCAATAAAATTAAACACACTAGTATTAATATTACAGAAGGGGAGTGGGACAGGTCAGCAAACTAGGAATAAAAAATAATGTCCCTAATGTGATCAGAATACCAACAAAAATGCCTCTTAATGGTTATATATTATAACCATTATATATTATATATTAAGGTCAGAAACAAGAGAAGGATGACTACCACTAAAAGGAAAATTTTCTTATTACCTCCACTTCTACCATCCTAGTCTGAACCATCTCATCTCTCTCCTGGATTAACTACTCAACAACCTCCAGACTAGACTTCTTGCATCTTCCTTCTCCTTCCCTTCCCTTAGTCTATTCTTTTTTCCTTTTTTTGTTTTTTTTTTTTTTTTTTGGACAGAGTCTCACTCTGTCACCCGGGCTGGAGAGCAGTGGCACGATCTCAAGCTCGCTGCAACCTCTGCCTCCTGTGTTCAAGGGATTCTCCTGCTTTAGCCTCGTACAGGCGGTGCCACCATGCCCAGCTAATTCTTTTTTTTTTTTTTTTTTTTTTTGAGATGGAGTTTCGCTCTGTTGCCTAGGCTGGAGTGCAATGGCAGAATCTCGGCTCACTGCAGTCTCCACCTCCCAGGTTCAAGCGATTCTCCTGCCTCAGCCTCCCGAGTAGCTGGGACTACAGGTGCCTACCACTACACCTGGCTAATTTTTGTATTTTTGGTAGTGATGGGTTTTGCCATGTTGGCTAGGCTGGTCTCGTACTCCTGACCTCAGGTGATCCACCCACCTCGGCCTCCCAAAGTGCTGAGATAACGGGCGTGAGCCACTGCACCCGGCCACTGTGTCTATTCTTAACAGCAGGCAGTGTGAATGTACAGTAATGTCAAACAAATTATGTGGCTTCTCTACTCAAAACCCTTTAGAAACTTTCCATCTCACTCAAAGTAAAAGCCGTAGTCTTTACAAGAATCTCAAGGCTCTGCTGTCCTCATCTCCCACTCTTCTCCTCCCGCTTGCTTACTTCATTCATTCCTGCTACAGGATTCTCCTTGCCATTACTCAAATATGCCAAATGTTTCCACCTTGGGGCCTTTGCACTTACTGTTCCTTCTGCTTCAACCACTCCTTCCAAAGATATGCAAGATTTACTGCTATATCTTCTTAGACTCTGTATTCAAATATCTTCTCAATTATGTCTTTTCTATGTGAAATTGCAATTTCTTTACTCTGTTGGCACTCTGTATGCCTTTAACCTGTTTTTCTTCAACATTTTTCACCTCTATCATTCTATATATTTCATTTACTTATTTCGTTTATTGTCTCTTTTCCCCAACTAGAATGTGAACTCCATGACAGTGCATTTTTACCTAGCTTCTTAGATGCTGTATCCGCAGCCATATACAGCTGCCTGGAACAGTCATTGCTTAATATTGGTTGAAAAAAATGCACTTCAGAATAGACGTTCCTTGGAGGAGAAAAGAATGGTGATATTTAAGCAGGGATAAATTAGTTACATAGTTCTAATATTTTTTTTTAAATCTGAATTATTAAAGATTAATTTACATTTGGTAAACATTGGTGATAAGTATAACAGTTTGTATTATTTCCTGTCTCTTTCTGTATTCTTTTTCCTCTTTTCAGAAACAGGGTCTCACTCTGTCGACTAAGCTGGAATGCCATGGCAAGAGCATAACTCACTGTAGCCTTAAATTCCTGAACTCAAGTAATCCTCCCACTTCAGCCTCCGTAATGGCTGGGACTACAGGTGAAAGATTCCATGCCTGACAAATTCTTTAATTTTTATTTTTGTGGAGGTGTGGTGTCTTGGAAGGTTCCCTGGTTGGTCTTGCACTCCTGGCCTCAAGTGGTTCTCCTGCCTCAAACCCCAAAGTGCTGGGGTTACAGGCATGTGCCACTGTGCCCAGCCCATTCTGCTTTTTCTTTTCTTTTCTTTTTCTTTCTTTCCTATTTTTTTTTTACTTTATGTATTTAACAATTTTTTTTAATTTTTAATTTTTGTGGGTACATAGTAGGTGTATATATTTGTAAGGTACATGAAGTGTTTTGATATAGGCATGCAATAATCTTGGGGTATCCATCCCTTCAAGCATTTATCCATTGTGTTACAAACAATCAGTTATATTCTTTTAGTTATTTTTAAATGTACAAGTTATCATTGATTATAGTTACCCTATTTTACTGTCAAATATTAGGTCTTATTCATTCTTCCTAACTCTTTTTTTGTACCTATTAACCATCCCACTTCCCTCCAGCCCTCAACTACCCTTCCCGGCTTCTGGTAGCCATCCTTCTAATCCCTGTGTCCATGAGTTCAATTGTTTTGATTTTTAGATCCCACAAATAAGTGAGAACATGCGATGATCTCTTTCTGTGCTTGGATTGTTTCAGTTAACATAATGATCTCCAGTTCCATCCATGTTATTGCAAATGACAGGATCTCATTTTTTTAAATTATACTTTAAGTTCTAGGGTACATGTGCACATTGTGCAGGTTAGTTACATATGTATACATGTGCCATGCTGGTGCACTGCACCCACTAACTCATCATCTAGCATTAGGTATATCTCCCAATGCTATCCCTCCCCCCTCCCCCCACCCCACAACGGTCCCCAGAGTGTGATATTCCCCTTTCTGTGTCCATGTGATCTCATTGTTCAATTCCCACCTATGAGTGAGAATATGCGGTGTTTGGTTTTTTGTTCTTGCGATAGTTTACTGAGAATGATGATTTCCAATTTCATCCATGTCCCTACCAAGGACATGAACTCATTCTTTTTTATGGCTGCATAGTATTCCATGGTGTATATGTGCCACATTTTCTTAATCCAGTCTATCATTGTTGGACATTTGGGTTGGTTCCAAGTCTTTGCTATTGTGAATAATGCCGCAATAAACATACGTGTGCATGTGTCTTTATAGCAGCATGATTTATAGTCCTTTGGGTATATACCCAGTAATGGGATGGCTGGCTCAAATGGTATTTCCAGTTCTAGATCCCTGAGGAATCGCCACACTTACTTCCACAATGGTTGAACTAGTTTACAGTCCCACCAACAGTGTAAAAGCGTTCCTATTTCTCCACATCCTCTCCAGCACCTGTTGTTTCCTGACTTTTTAATGATTGCCATTCTAACTGGTGTGAGATGGTATCTCATTGTGGTTTTGATTTGCATTTATCTGATGGCCAGTGATGATGAGCATTTTTTCATGTGTTTTTTGGCTGCATAAATGTCTTCTTTTGAGAAGTGTCTGTTCATGTCCTTTGCCCACTTTTTGATGGGGTTGTTTGTTTTTTTCTTGTAAATTTGTTTGAGTTCATTGTAGATTGTGGATATTAGCCCTTTGTCAGATGAGTAGGTTGTGAAAATTTTCTCCCATTTTGTAGGTTGCCTGTTCACTCTGATGGTAGTTTCTCTTGCTGTGCAGAAGCTCTTTAATTAGATCCCATTTGTCAATTTTGTCTTTTGTTGCCATTGCTTTTGGTGTTTTAGACATGAAGTCCTTGCCCATGCCTATGTCCTGAATGGTAATGCCTAGGTTTTCTTCTAGGGTTTTTATGGTTTTAGGTCTAACGTTTAAGTCTTTAATCCATCTTGAATTGATTTTTGTATAAGGTGTAAGGAAGGGATCCAGTTTCAGCTTTCTACATATGGCTAGCCAGTTTTCCCAGCACCATTTATTAAATAGGGAATCCTTTCCCCATTGCTTGTTTTTCTCAGGTTTGTCAAAGATCAGATAGTTGTAGATATGCGGCGTTATTTCTGAGGGCTCTGTTCTGTTCCATTGATCTATATCTCTGTTTTGGTACCAGTACCATGCTGTTTTGGTTACTGTAGCCTTGTAGTATAGTTTGAAGTCAGGTAGTGTGATGCCTCCAGCTTTGTTCTTTTGGCTTAGTATTGACTTGGCGATGCGGGCTCTTTTTTGGTTCCATATGAACTTTGAAGTAGTTTTTTGCAGTTCTGTGAAGAAAGTCATTGGTAGCTTGATGGGGATGGCATTGAATCTGTAAATTACCTTGGGCAGTATGGCCATTTTCACGATATTGATTCTTCCTACCCATGAGCATGGAATGTTCTTCCATTTGTTTGTATCCTCTTTTATTTCCTTGAGCAGTGGTTTGTAGTTCTCCTTGAAGAGGTCCTTCACATCCCTTGTAAGTTGGATTCCTAGGTATTTTATTCTCTTTGAAGCAATTGTGAATGGGAGTTCACTCATGATTTGGCTCTCTGTTTGTCTGTTGTTGGTGTATAAGAATGCTTGTGATTTTTGTACATTGATTTTGTATACTGAGACTTTGCTGAAGTTGCTTATCAGCTTAAGGAGATTTTGGGCTGAGACAATGGGGTTTTCTAGATATACAATCATGTCATCTGCAAACAGGGACAATTTGACTTCCTCTTTTCCTAATTGAATACCCTTTATTTCCTTCTCTTGCCTAATTGCCCTGGCCAGAACTTCCAACACTATGTTGAATAGGAGTAGTGAGAGAGGGCATCCCTGTCTTGTGCCAGTTTTCAAAGGGAATGCTTCCAGTTTTTGCCCATTCAGTATGATATTGGCTGTGGGTTTGTCATAGATAGCTCTTATTATTTTGAAATATGTCCCATCAATACCTAATTTATTGAGAGTTTTTAGCATGAAGGGTTGTTGAATTTTGTCAAAGGCTTTTTCTGCATCTATTGAGATAATCATGTGGTTTTTGTCTTTGGCTCTGTTTATACGCTGGATTACATTTATTGATTTGTGTATATTGAACCAGCCTTGCATCCCAGGGATGAAGCCCACTTGATCATGGTGAATAAGCTTTTTGATGTGCTGCTGGATTCGGTTTGCCAGTATTTTATTGAGGATTTTTTCATCAATGTTCATCAAGGATATTGGTCTAAAATTCTCTTTTTTTGTTGTGTCTCTGCCTGGCTTTGGTATCAGAATGATGCTGGCCTCATAAAATGAGTTAGGGAGGATTCCCTCTTTTTCTATTGATTGGAATAGTTTCAGAAGGAAAGGTACCAGTTCCTCATTGTACCTCTGGTAGAATTCGGCTGTGAATCCATCTGGTCCTGGACTCTTTTTAGTTGGTAAGCTATTGATTATTGCCACAATTTCAGATCCTGTTATTGGTCTATTCAGAGATTCAACTTCTTCCTGGTTTAGTCTTGGGAGAGTGTATGTGTCCAGGAATTTATCCATTTCTTCTAGATTTTCTAGTTTATTTGCGTAGAGGTGTTTGTAGTATTCTCTGATGGTAGTTTGTATTTCTGTGGGATCAGTGGTGATATCCAGTTTATCATTTTTTAATGCGTATATTTGATTCTTCTCTCTTTTTTTCTTTATTAGTCTTGCTAGCGATCTATCAATTTTGTTGATCCTTTCAAAAAACCAGCTCCTGGATTCATTAATTTTTTGAATGGTTTTTTGTGTCTCTATTTCCTTCAGTTCTGCTCTGATTTTAGTTATTTCTTGCCTTCTGCTAGCTTTTGAATGTGTTTGCTCTTGCTTTTCTGGTTTTTTTAATTGTGATGTTAGGGTGTCAATTTTGGATCTTTCCTGCTTTCTCTTGTGGGCATTTAGTGCTATAAATTTCCCTCTACACACTGCTTTGAATGTGTCCCAGAGATTCTGGTATGTTGTGTCTTTGTTCTCGTTGGTTTCAAAGAACATCTTTATTTCTGCCTTCATTTCGTTATCTACCCAGTAGTCATTCAGGAGCAGGTTGTTCAGTTTCCATGTAGTTGAGCAGTTTTGAGTGTGATTCTTAATCCTGAGTTCTAGTTTGATTGCACTGTGGTCTGAGAGATAGTTTGTTATAATTTCTGTTCTTTTACATTTGCTGAGGAGAGCTTTACTTCCAAGTATGCGGTCAATTTTGGATTAGGTGTGGTGTGGTGCTGAAAAAAATGTATATTCTGTTGATTTGGGGTGGAGAGTTCTGTAGATGTCTATTAGGTCTGCTTGGTGCAGAGCTGTGTTCAATTCCTGGGTATCCTTGTTGACTTTCTGTCTCGTTGATCTGTCTAATGTTGACAGTGGGGTGTTAAAGTCTCCCATTATTAATGTGTGGGAGTCTAAATCTCTTTGTAGGTCACTCAGGACTTGCTTTATGAATCTGGGTGCTCCTGTATTGGGTGCATATATATTTAGGATAGTTAGCTCTTCTTGTTGAATTGATCCCTTTACCATTATGTAATGGCCTTTTTTGTCTCTTTTGATCTTTGTTGGTTTAAAGTCTGTTTTATCAGAGACTAGGATTGCAACCCCTGCCTTTTTTTGTTTTCCATTTGCTTGGTAGATCTTCCTCCATCCTTTTATTTTGAGCCTATGTGTGTCTCTGCACGTGAGATGGGTTTCCTGAATACAGCACACTGATGGGTCTTGACTCTTTATCCAATTTGCCAGTCTGTGTCTTTCAATTGGAGCATTTAGTCCATTTACATTTAAGGTTAGGATTGTTATGTGTGAATTTCATCCTGTCATTATGATGTTAGCTGGTTATTTTGCTCGTTAGTTGATGCAGTTTCTTCCTAGTCTTGATGGTCTTTACATTTTGGCATGATTTTGCAGCGGCTGGTACCGGTTGTCCTTTCCATGTTTAGCACTTCCTTCAGGAGCTCTTTTAGGGCAGGCCTGGTGGTGACAAAATCTCTCAGCATTTGCTTGTCTGTAAAGTATTTTATTTCTCCTTAGCTTATGAAGCTTAGTTTGGCTGGATATGAAATTCTGGGTTGAAAATTCTTTTCTTTAAGAATGTTGAATATTGGCCCCCACTCTCTTCTGGCTTGTAGGGTTTCTGCTGAGAGATCTGCTGTTAGTCTGATGGGCTTCCCTTTGTGGGTAACCCAACCTTTCTCTCTGGCTGCCCTTAACATTTTTTCCTTCATTTCAACTTTGGTGAATCTGACAATTATGTGTCTTGGAGTTGCTCTTCTCGAGGAGTATCTTTGTGGCGTTCTCTGTATTTCCTGAATCTGAACGTTGGCCTGCCTTGCTAGATTAGGGAAGTTCTCCTGGATAATATCCTGCAGAGTGTTTTCCAACTTGGTTCCATTCTCCCTGTCACTTTCAGGTACACCAATGAGACGTAGATTTGGTCTTTTCACATAGTCTCATATTTCTTGGAGGCTTTGCTCATTTCTTTTTATTCTTTTTTCTCTAAACTTCCCTTCTCGCTTCATTTCATTCATTTCATCTTCCATCGCTGATACCCTTTCTTCCAGTTGATCGCATCGGCTCCTGAGGCTTCTGCATTCTTCATGTAGTTCTCGAGCCTTGGTTTTCAGCTCCATCAGCTGCTTTAAGCACTTCTCTGTATTGGGTATTCTAGTTATACATTCTTCTAAATTTTTTTCAAAGTTTTCAACTTCTTTGCCTTTGGTTTGAATGTCCTCCTGTAGCTCAGAGTAATTTGATCGTCTGAAGCCTTCTTCTCTCAGCTCGTCAAAGTCATTCTCCATCCAGCTTTGTTCCGTTGCTGGTGAGGAACTGTGTTCCTTTGGAGGAGGAGAGGCGCTCTGCTTTTTAGAGTTTCCAGTTTTTCTGTTCTGTTTTTTCCCCATCTTTGTGGTTTTATCTACTTTTGGTCTTTGATGATGGTGATGTACAGATGGGTTTTTGGTGTGGATGTCCTTTCTGTTTGTTAGTTTTCCTTCTAACAGACAGGACCCTCAGCTGCAGGTCTGTTGGAATACCCTGCTGTGTGAGGTGTCAGTCTGTCCCTGCTGGGGTGTGCCTCCCAGTTAGGCTTCTCGGGGGTCAGGGGTCAGGGACCCACTTGAGGAGTCAGTCTGCCAGTTCTCAGATCTCCAGCTGCGTGCTGGGAGAACCACTGCTCTCTTCAAAGCTGTCAGACAGGGACATTTAAGTCTGCAGAGGTTACTGCTGTCTTTTTGTTTGTCTGTGCCCTGCCCCCAGAGGTGAAGCCTACAGAGGCAGGCAGGCCTCCTTGAGCTGTGGTGGGCTCCACCCAGTTCGAGCTTCCAGGCTGCTTTGTTTCCCTAAGCAAGCCTGGGCAATGGCGGGCGCCCCTCCCCCAGCCTCGCTGCCGCCTTGCAGTTTGATCTCAGACTGCTGTGCTAGCAATCAGCGAGACTCTGTGGGTGTAGGACCCTCCGAGCCAGGTGCGGGATATAATCTCATGGTGAGCTGTTTTTTAAGCCTGTCAGAAAAGCGCAGTATTCGGGTGGGAGTGACCCGATTTTCCAGGTGCCGTCCGTCACCCCTTTCTTTGACTCGGAAAGGGAACTCCCTGACCCCTTGCGCTTCCCGAGTGAGGCAATGCCTCGCCCTGCTTCGGCTCACGCACGGTGCGCGAACCCACTGACCTGCGCCCACTGTCTGGCAGTCCCTAGTGAGATGAACCCGGTACCTCAGATGGAAATGCAGAAATCACTGTCTTCCCCGTCGGCCACGCTGGGAGCTGTAGACCGGAGCTGTTTCTATTCGGCCATCTTGGCTCCTCCCCCCAGGATCTCATTTTTTTATGATTGAATAGTACTCCACTGTGTATACATGTGCCACATTTTCTTTATCCAGTGATCTGTTGAACACTTAGGGTGCTTCCAAATATTGGCTATTGTGAACAGTGCTGCAACAAACATGGAGGTGCAGATATCTCTTCAATATACTGATTTCCTTTCTTTGGAGTATATACCCAGTAGTGGGATTGCTGGATCATATGGTAGCTCTATTTTTAATTTTCTGAGGAACCTCCAAAATTTTCTCCATAGTGATTGTACTAACTTACATTCTCACCAACAGATGGGCAGTTTGCAAGTATTTTCTCCCATATTGTCTCTTCACTTTGTTGATTGTTTCCTATGCTGTGCAGATTTTTAACTTGATGTGATCCCATTTGTCCATTTTTGCTTTGGTTGCCTGTGCTTGTGGGATATTGCTCAAGAAATGTTCACCCTTTTCACCCTTTTTCCACATGCTCACCAGCATTTGTTATTACTTGTCTTTTAGTTAAAAGCCATTTTAACTGGAGTGAGACAATAATCTAATTGTAGTTTTGATTTGCATTTCGTTGATGATCAGTGATATTGAACACCTTTTCATATGCCACTTTGCCATTTGTATGTCATCTTTTGAGAAATGTCTATTCAATTATTTGGTCTTTTTAAAAAAAATCAGGTTATTAGATCTTTTCCAATAGAGTTGTTTGAGCTCCTTATATATCCTGGTTGTTAATTCCTTGTCAGATGGATAGTTTGCAAATATTTTCTCCCATTCTGTAGGTTGTCTCTTCTCTTTATTGATTGTTTCCTTTGCTGTGCAGAAGATTTTTAAGTTGATGGGATCTCATTTGTCCATTTTTGTTTTGGTTGCCTGTGCTTGTGGGGTATTGCTCAAGAAATATTTTTTTCTTTTTTTGTTTTTTTAATTATACTTTAAGTTCTAGGGTACATGTGCACAATGTGCAGGTTTGTTACATAGTTATACATGTGCCATGATGGTTTGCTGCACCCATCAACTCGTCATTTATGTTAGGTATTTCTCCTAATGCTATCCCTCCCCCAGCTTCCTGCCCCCTGAGAGGCCCCCGTGTGTGATGTTCCCTGCCCTATGTCCAAGTGTTCTAAGTTTTCAATTCCCATCTGTGAGTGAGAACATGCAGTGTTTGGTTTCCTGTCCTTCTGAAAATTTGCTGAGAATGATGGTTTCCAGCTTCATCCATGTCTCTGCAAAGGATATGAACTCATCCTTTTTTATGGCTGCATAGTATTCCATGGTGTATATGTGCCACATTTTCTTAATCCAGTCTATTATTGATGGGCATTTGAGTTCATTCCAATCTTTGCTATTGTGAATAGTGCTGCAATAAACATACCTGTGCATGTGTCTTTATAGCAGCATGATTTATAATCCTTTGGGTATATATCCAGCAATGGAATCACTGGGTCAAATGTTATTTCTAGTCCTAGATCCTTGAGGAATTGCCACACTGTCTTCCACAATGGTTGAACTAATTTACACTCCCACCAAGTGTAAAAGCGTTCCTATTTCTCCACATCCTCTCCAGCATCTGTTGTTTTCTGACTTTTTAATCATTGCCATTCTAACTGGTGTGAGATGGTATCTCATTGTGGTTTTGATTTGCATTTCTCTGATGACCAGTGATGATGAGCATTTTTTCATGTGTCTGTGGGATGCATAAATGTCTTCTTTTGAGAAGTGTCTGTTAATACCCTTTGCCCACTTTTTCACGGGGTTGCCTTTTTCTTGTAAATTTGTTAAATTTCTTTGTAGATTCTGGATGTCAGCCCTTTGTCACATAGGTAGATTACAAAAATTTTCTCCCATTCTGTAGGTTGCCTGTTCACTCTGAGGGTAGTTTCTCTTGCTGTGCAGAAGCTCTTTAGTTTAATCAGATCCTATTTGTCAATTTTGGCTTTTGTTGCCCTTGCTTTTGGTGTTTTAGTCATGACGTCCTTGCCCATGCCTATGTCTGGAATGGTATTGCCTAGGTTTTCTTCTAGGGTTTTTATGGTTTTAGGTCTAATATTTAAGTCTTTAATCCATCTTGAATTAATTTCTGTATAAGGTATAAGGAAGGGATCCAGTTTCAGCTTTCTACATATGGCTAGCCAGTTTTCCCAGCACGATTTATTAAACAGGGAATCCTTTCCCCATTGCTAGTTTTTGTCAGGTTTGTCGAAGACCAAATGGTTGTAGGTGTGTGGTGTTACTTCTGAGGCCTCTGTTCTGTTCGATTGGTCTATATATCTGTTTCGGTACCAGTACCGTGCTGTTTTGGTTACTGTAGCCTTGTAGTGTAGTTTGAAGTCAGGTAGCGTGATGCTTCCAGCTTTCTTCTTTTTGCTTAGGATTGTCTTGGCAATGTGGGCTCTTTTTTGGTTCCATATGAACTTTAAAGTAGTTTTTTTCCAATTCTGTGAAGAAAGTCAGTGGTAGCTTGATGCGGATAGCATTGAATCTATAAATTACCTTGGGCAGTATGGCCATTTTCATGATATTGATTCTTTCTATCCATGAGCATAGAATGTTCTTCCATTTGTTTGTCTCTTCTTTTATTTCCTTGAGCAGTGGTTTGTAGTTCTTCTTGAAGAGGTCCTTCACATCCCTTGTAAGTTGTATTCCTAGGTATTTTATTCTCTTTGTAGCAATTGTGAATGGGAGTTCACTCATTATTTGGCTCTCTGTTATTGGTGTATAGGAATACTTTTGATTTTTGCACATTGATTTTGTATCCTGAGAATTTGCCTAATTTGCTTATCAACTTAAGGAGATTTTGGACTGAGACGATGGGGTTTTCTAAATATACAATCACGTAATCTGCAAACTTTGACTTCCACTTTTCATAATTGAATATCTTTTATTTCTTTCTCTTGCCCGATTGCCCTGGCCAGAACTTCCAACACTATGTTAAATAGGAGTGGTGAGAGAGGGCATCCTTGTCTTGTGCCGGTTTTCAAAGGGAATGCTTCCAGTTTTTTCCCATTCAGTATAATATTGGCTGTGGGTTTGTCATAAATAGCTCTTATTATTTTGAGATACGTTCCATCAATGTCTAGTTCATTGTGAGTTTTTAGCATGAAGGGCTGTTGAATTTTGTCGAAGGCCTTTTCTGCATCTAATGAGACAATCATGTGGTTTTTGTCATTGGTTCTGTTTATGTGATGTATTATGTTTATTGATTTGCATATGTTGAACCAGCCTTGCATCCCGGGGATGAAGCCGACTTGATCTTGGCGGATAAGCTTTTTGATGTGCTGCTGGATTCGGTTTGCCAGTATTTTATTGAGGATATTCGCATCCATATTGATCAGGGATGTTGGTCTAAAATTCCCTTTTTTTGTTGTGTCTCTGCCACGCTTTGGTATCAGGGTGATGTTGCCTCATAAAATGAATTAGGGAGGATTCCCTCTTTCTCTATTGATTGGAATAGTTTCAGAAGGAATGGTACTATCTCCTCTTCGTACCTCTGGTAGAATTCGGATGTGATCCATCTAGTCCTGGACTTTTTTGTTCAGTAGGCTATTAGTTATTGCCTCAATTTCAGAGCCTGTTATTGGTCTATTCAGAGATTCAAGTTCTTCCTGGTTTAGTCTTGGGAGGGTGTACGTGTCCAGGAATTCATCCATTTCTTCTAGATTTTCTAGTTTATTTGCGTAGAGGTTTTTATAGTATTCTCTGATGGTAGCTTGTATTTGTGTGGGATCGGTGGTGATATCCCCTTTGTCATTTTTTATTGCGTCTGTTTGATTCTTCCCTCTTTTGTTCTTTATTGGTCTTGCTAGCAGTCTATCAATTTTGTTGATCTTTTCAAAAAACCAGCTCCTGGATTCATTGATTTTTTTGAAGGGTTTTTTGTGTCCCTATTTCTTTCAGTTCTGCTCTGATCTTAGTTATTTCTTGCCTTCTGCTAGCTTTTGAATGTGTTTGCTCTTGCTTCTCTAGTTCTTTTAATTGTGATGGTAGGATGTCAATTTTAGATCTTTTCTGCTTTCTCTTGTGGGCATTTAGTGCTATAAATTTCCGCCTACACACTGCATTAAATGTGTCCCAGAGATTCTGTTACGTTGTATCTTTGTTCTCACTGGTTTCAAAGAACATCTTTGTTTCTGCCTTCATTTCATTATTTACCTAGTAGTCATTTAGGAGCAGTTGTTCAGCGTTTATGTAGTTGTGCAGTTTTGAGTGAGTTTCTTAATCCTGAGTTCTAAGTTGATTGCACTGTGGTCTGAGAGACAGTTTGTTGTGATTTCTGTTCTTTTACATATGCTAAGGAATTCTTTACTTCCAATTATGTCGTCAATTTTAGAATAAGTGCAATGTGGTACTGAGAAGAATATGTATTCTGTTGATTTGGGGTGAAGAGTTCTGTAGATGTCTATTAGGTCCCCTTGGTGCAGAGCTGCATTCAAGTCCTGGATATCCTTCTCTCTCTTGGTTAACCTTCTCTCTCATTGATCAGTCTAATATTGACAGTGGGGTGTTAAGGTCTCCCATTACTACTGTGTGGGAGTCTACGTCTCTTTGTAGGTCTCTAAAGACTTGCTTTATGAATCTGGGTGTTCCTGTATTGGGTGCATATATATTTAGGATAGTTAGCTCTCCTTGTTGAATTGTTCCCTTTACCATTATGTGATGGCCTTTTTTGTTTCTCCCTCTCTCTCTTTTTTTTTTTTTTTTTTTTTTTTTTTGCCTCTCTCGCAGTCTGAAGGGCAGTGGCTCGATTTCGGCCCAATGCAAGCTCCGCCTTCCCCGGGTTCATGCCATTCTCCTGCCTCAGCCTCTCGAGTAGCTGGGACTACAGGCACCCACCCCCATGCCCAGCTAATTTTTTGTATTTTTCGTAGAGTCCGGGTTGCACCATGTTAGCCAGGATGGTCTCAATCTCCTGACCTTGTGATCTGCCCGCCTTGGCCTTTCAAAGTGCTGTTTGTCTCTTTTGACTTTTGTTGGTTTAAAGTCTGTTTTATCAGAGACTAGGATTGCAATGCCTGCTTTTTTTGCTTTCCATTTGCTTGGTAGATCTTCCTCCTTCCCTTTGTTTTGAGCTATGTGTGTCTCTGCATGTGAGATGGGTCTCCTGAACACAGCACACTGATGGGTCTTGACTCTATCCAATTTGCCAGTCTGTGTCCTTTAATTGGGGCATTTAGCTCATTTACATTTAAGGTTAATATTGTTATGTGTGAATATGATCCTGTCATTATGATGTTAGCTGGTTAATTTGCCCGTTAATTGATGCAGTTTCTTCATAGCATCAATGGTCTTTACAATTTGGCATGTTTTTGCAGTGGCTAGTACTGGTTGTTCCTTTCTATATTTAGTGCTTCCTTCAGGAGCTCTTGTAAGGCAGGCCTGGTGGTGGCAAAATCTCTCAGCATTTGGTTGTCTGTAAAGGATTATTTCTCCTTCACTTATGAAGCTTAGTTTGGCTGGATATGAAATTCTGGGTTGAAAATTCTTTTCTTTAAGAATGTTGAATATTGACCCCCACTCTCTTCTGGCTTGTAGGGTTTCTGCCGATAGATGCACTGTTAGTCTGATGGGCTTCCCTTTGTGGGTAACCTGACCTTTCTCTCTGGCTGCACTTAACATTTTTTCCTTTATTTCAACCTTGGTGAATCTGACAATTACGTGTCTTGGGGTTGCTCTTCTCAAGCAGTATCTTTGTGGTGCTCTCTGTATTTCCTGAATTTGAATGTTGGTCTGCCTTGCTAGGTTGGGGAAGTTCTCCTGGATAATATCCTGAAGAGTGTTTTCCAACTTGGTTTCATTCTCCCCGTCACTTTCCGGTACACCAATCAAATGTAGATTTGGTCTTTTCACATGGTCCCATATTTCTTGGAGGCTTTGTTTGTTTCTTTTTACTCTTTTTTCTCTAAACTTCTCCCCTCGCTATATTTCATTAATTTGATCTTCTATCACTGATACCCTTTCTTCCACTTGATTGAATCGGCTATTGAAGCTTGTGCATGTGTCACGACATTCTTGTGCCATGGTTTTCAGCTCTGTCAGGTCATTTAAGGTCTTCTCTACACTGTTTATTCTAGTTAGTTGTTCGTCCAACCTTTTTTCAAGATTTTTAGATTCCTTGCCATGGGTTAGAACATGCTTCTTTAGCTTGGAGAAGTTTGTTACTACTGACCTTCTGAAGCCTACTTCTGTCAGTTTGTCAAAGTCATTCTGCATCTAGCTTTGTTTCATTGCTGGTGAGGAGCTGCGATCCTTTGGAGAAGAAGAGGCACTCTGGTTTTTAGAATTTTCAGCTTTTCTGCTCTGGTTTCTCCCCATCTTTATGTATTTATCTACCTTTGGTCTCTGATGTTTTTGACCTACAGTTGGGGTTTTGGTGTAGGTGTCCTTTTTGTGGATGTTGAAACTATTCCTTTCTGTTTCTTAGTTTTTCTTCTAACAGTCAGGTCCCTCAGCTGCAGGTCCATTGGAGTTTGCTGGAGGTCCACTCCAGACCCTGTTTGCCTGCGTATCACCAGTGGAGGCTGCAGAACAGTAAATATTGCAGAACAGCAAATATTGCTGTCTGTTCCTTTTTCTGGAAGCTTCATCCCAGAGGGGCATCCACCTGTATGAGGTGTCTGTCGGCCCCAGTGGGAGGTGTCTTCCAGTTAGGCTACATGATTGTCAGGGACCTACTTGAGGAGGCAGTCTGTCCATTCTCAAAGCTCAAATGCCGTGCTGGGAGAACCACTGCTCTCTTCAGAGCTATCAGACAGGGACATTTAAGTCTGTAGAAGTTGTCCGCTGCCATTTGTTCAACTATGCCCTGCCCACAGAGGTGGAGTGTATAGATGCAGTAGGCCTTCCCGAGCTGTGGTGGGCGCTGCCCAGTTCAAGTTTCCTGGCCGCTTTGTTTACCTACATAAGCCTCAGTAATGGCGGATACCCCTCCCCCAGCCAAGCTGCAGCCTCACAGGTCCATCTCAGACTGCTTCACTAGCAGTGAGCCATGTTCCGTGGGCATGTGACCCCCCGAGCCAGGCGTGGGAGAAAATCTCCTGGTCTGCTGGTTGCTAAGACCATGGGAAAAGCACAGTATTTGGGCCGGAATGTCCCATTTTTCCAGGTACAGTCTGTTACTGCTTCCCTTGGCTAGGAAAGGGAAATCCCCCTGACCCCTTGCGCTTCCTGGGTGAGGTGACGCCCTGCCCTGCTTTGGCTTACCCACTGTGGGCTGCACCCACTGTCTAACCAATCCCAATGAGATGAACTGGGTACTTTAGTTGGAAATGCAGAAATCACCAGTCTTCTACGTGGATCACACTTGGATCTGCAGACTGGAGCTGTTCCTATTTGGCTGTCTTGGAACAGAAACCAAGAAATTTTTGCTTAGACCAGCTTAGACCAATGTCCTAGAGATTTTCCCTTATATTTTCTGTAGTAGTTTCATAATCTGGAGTCTTAGATTTAAGTCTTTCATCCATTTTGATTTGATTTTTGTATATGGCAAGGGTTAGTTGTCTAGTTTTATTCTTCTGCATATGGAAATCCAGTTTTCCCAGCACCATTTATTGAAGAGACTGTCTTTTCCCCAGTGTATGTTCTTGGCACTTTTGTTAAAAATTAGTTCACTGTAGGTGTGTAGATTTGTTTCTGGGTTTTCTATTCTGTTCCATTGGTCTATGTGTTTTTATGTCAGAACCATACTGTTTTGTTTACTCTGTCTCTGTAGTATAATTTAAAGTGAAGTAAAGAGATTCCTCCAGTTTTGTTCTTTTTGCTTAGGGTAACTTTGGTTCTTCTGAATCTCTTCTGGTTCCATATACATTTTGGGATTGTTTTTTCTATTTCTGTGAAGAATGTCATTGTTATTTTGATAGAGATTGCATTGAATCTGTATATTGCTTTGGGTAGCACCTACATTTTTACAATATTGACTCTTCCAATCCATGAACAAGGACTGTCTTTTCATTTTTTGGTGTTCTCTTTAATTTCTGTCATCAGTGTTTTATAGTTTTCTTTGGTTAAATTAATCTCTTGGTATTTAATTTCATCTGTAGCTGTGATAAATGGGAGTGTTTTCTAAAATTTCTTTTTCAGATTTTTCACTGTTGTCATATAGAAATGCTACTGATTTTTGTATGTTGATTTTGTATCCTGCAACCTTACTGAATTTATCAATTCTAACAGTTTTTTTGTGTGTATGTGGAATCTTCAGGTTTTTCCAAATATGTGATCATATCATCTGCAAACAAGGATAATTTGACTTCTTCCATTCCAGTTTGGATGCCCTTTATTTCTTTCTCTTGTCCGATTGCTCTGGCTAGTACTTCCAGTACTATGTTGAATAACAGTGGTGCAAGTGGGCATCCTTGTTGTTTTCCAGATCTTAGAGGAAAGGCTTTCAGTTTTTCCCCATTCAGTATGATGTTTGTTGTGGGTCTCTCATATGTGGCTTTTATTATGTTAATGTACATTCCTTCTATACCCAATTTTTTGAGTGTTTTTATCATGAAGGGATGTTAAATTTCATCAAATGCATTTTCAGCATCTATTGAAATGATCATATGGTTTTTGTCCTTCACTCTGTTGATGTGATGTATCACATTGATTGATTTGCGTATGTTGAATCATCCTTGCATCCCAGGGATAAATCCCACTTAGTCATGATGCATGATCTTTTTAACGTATTGTTGACCACGTTTGCTAGTATTTTGTTGAGGATTTTTGCATCAATATGCATCAGAGATATTGGCCTACAGTTTTCTTTTTTTGATGTGTCTTGGTCTTGTTTTGGTATTATGATAATACTGGCCTTGTAGAATGTGTTTGGAAGTCTTCCCTCTTCTTCTGTTTTCCAGAATAGTTTGAGTAGGATTGGTATTTGTTCTTCTATAAATATTTATTAGAATTCAGTAGTGAAGCCATCAGGTCCAAGGCTTTTCTTTACTGGGATACTTTTTATTATGGCTTCGATTTCTTTACTTGCTCTTGGTCTGTTCAGGTTTTAGATTTCTTCCTGGCTCAATCTCAGTAGGTTGTTTGTGTCTAGGAATGTGTCCATTTCTTCTAGATTTGTCAATTTATTGGCATATAGTTGCTCATAGTAGCCACTAATAATCCTTTGAATTTCTGTCATATTGTTTATAGTATCTCTTTTCATCTTTGAGTTTACTTATTTGGATTTTCTCTCCTTTTTTCTTAGTCTGGCTTTTGTTATATTGATCTCTTGTATTTTTTTTCATTTCAAATTTATTCATTTCTGCTCTGATCTTTATTGTTTCTTCTACTAATTTTGGGTTTGGTTTGCTCTTTCTTTTCTAGTTCTTTAAGATGCATTGTTAGGTTGTTTGTTTGAGTTTTTCTTCTTTTTTGCTGTAGGCTCTTACCGCTATAAACTTCCCTCTTAGTACTACTTTTGCTGTATCCTGTAGTCAATGTTGTGTTTCCATTATCATTTGTTTCAAGAAGTTTTTCAGTTTTCTTCTTAATTTCTTCATCGACCCCCTGGTCATTCAGGAGCATATTGTTTAATTTTGGTGTGTTTGTGTAGTTTCCAGAATTCCTCCTGTTATTAATTTCTAGTTTTCTTCTATTGTGGTTAGAGAAGATGTTTGATATTATTTCAGTTTTTTTAATGTTTTAAGACTTGTTTTGTGACCTAACATATGATCTACCCATGAGAATGATCCTTGTGCTGAGGAAAAGAATGTGCATTCTGCGGCCGTTGGACGAAATGTTCCGTAACTGTCTAGTAGATCCATTTAGTCTGTAGTTCAGATTCAGTCCGAAGTTTCTTTGTTGATTTTCTTTATGGAAAATATGTTCATCTCTGAAAGTGGGATGTTGATATATCCAGCTATTATTGTATTGGAGCCTATATCTCTCTTTAGCTCTAATAATACTTGCTTTATATATATATGGATGCTCGAATGTTGAGTGCATATATATTTAAAATTGCTGCATCCTCTTGCTGAATTGACCACTTTATCATTATATAATGACCTTGTTTGTCTTTCCTTAGAGTTTTTGTCTTGAAATTTGTTTTGTCTGATATAAGCATAGCTACTCCTGCCCTTTCTGTATCATTTTAGTGACAAATTTAACAATTAAAAATATAAACATTTTGACAAATGAATTTGGTGAGAATATCAATAAAATTTGAGATGTGATTAAAGGATAGTATCTTTATCTGCTTTATAACTATTTTATGAAATTATAGAGTGACAGTAATTAATATACTATGCCACTTCCTGATGAATAAACTGTTCAATCCCATTGCTTCAAAATAAATTTCAAAATTGCAGAGTTTAATAAAAGTAAAAAGAAACAAACCAGTATAAATTATGCATAAATATGCAATTGTGGGGAATGTGTTAGGATTTTCAAGGATAATGTCAAATGAAGAAATAATATAGGATTACATAAATTTAAATAAACATTTAATGTAGTTAAATATGCTACAAATATTTATTTTACAAGAACACTTAGCATTTATTTCTTGAGCATGAATGAGTGAATTTTTTATGTTTCTACCATGTAGTTTGGAAAAATCCCTATTCCTGGGTGATTTCTAATTTATTTGGAATGAAAATAATAGGTGGTCACACAACTCTTGACCATGCTTCCTCTTTTTCTTCAGATACACTTCTTAAGTTTCTACTTTCATTTCTTTTCTCCTGTATTCTTCTTTCTCCATGTCAGCTTACAAAATCACATTCCCAAAACAAGCCCAACTCAGATGTCAGCAGCTCCATGAAACGTTCTTTCTCCCATAGCCAAAATAATCTGCCCCACCTTTGAATCCTTATAGGTCCTACTTAGTTATTACATTTTAATCTTAATAATTTTATATTAAATTTAATTGAAAATGTAAAGGATAATTTAGTAGAGAATATCTCTACTGTATCGTGAGTACACACGATAGTACAGTTAGTGCTATGCCGTGTTCATTTTCTCGGGTCATAATTTGTGTCCTTAGTAACACACACTGTGATTTGATTGCATTCTGACCAAATATTTTGTTACTGGCTATAAAAGACAGAGACACAGTTTAATATGTAGATCATGTGTCTCCTGAAAATAAATACCACATAATATGTGTCACAAAATTTTCAAGTAAATTTTTAAAAATGTGATAGGTGAATTAAGTTATCATACAGCTGATGATGGAATAGACATGGCAATGTAAAAAAATCTGCACTGAGTCAGTATTTTATCATATTTGGAGAATTTAGTTTCAACAAAACTATCTGCTAAATTAAATTAATGTTGATTAAAAATGCCTTGATATTATGGTTATTTTATTTATTTTTAAGTGTGTTTTGATTTTATAATTGTATTATATATGTATGAAGTGTGTATACTCAATTTCATATTTGTACACAAACATCATTTTGCAATCTAAGTCAATATCAGGAGTCTGGTAAGACTTTTTCTTCTAAAACATTTTGTATACTCAAAGTTGTGAAATATTGATACGTACTGCCTAATATGATTTGGGTCAGAGGCAGAAGAAATCAGAGTAGTAAGAAATGTCATTTTGGATGATAGCTGCGTCATGATTGTAACATAATAAGTAATGATTTTTTATTCATCTATTATGACAACTATCCATTTGTCAAATAATCTAGAAAGAACTTTTTCCAGATCTTAAATCAGTATGTGTCCTTATTAGTTGTTTTGTAAATATTCTAATTTTAAAATAGATAAATTAAGGAATGGTTTTTAATGTTTTCCTCAATGGTGTGTTTAGTACTTTATTTCTTTAATCCCCCATGTGTCTTCCTATTGTCCTGATTTGCAGCACCCCATTTTATAGCCTGTGTAATTATTATGTGAAGTGTTTTACATATTTATATTGAAATCTTATATTCAAATGGCAAGATATTTCAAAAATTTTTTGAACATAGATGCTTCTATTGGCTCATTGAAACTTTAACTTATTATTTTTACTTATATTCTCTTATATTCTTTACTTGTATTCCAAATAGGTGAAAGTGGTCATTTCACATATCTGTTAACCACTTTTACTTAAAAGTAAAATTTGGTCAAAATGGGAGAAATTAAAAACACTCAATTCTTTATCTATTTCCAAGTCTTGGCACTCTTTGGCTATTGCTTTTTTCCCTATAAAATTGTTTCCTTAGATATTTCTAAAATCTAGAAATATTTCTGAACATATACCTTATAATTTTTATTTTTAAATATTAATAAAATGTGATCATACAATATCATATTGTAGTTTGTTTAGAATCCAATATGATTTTTAGAAGCACAGTTTTATTCAACCAACAGATAGATAATCAGAACCATTTGGTCAAAGAAGTAAATAATTTTAAATATGGTTTGACCTTAATTTTATAAAACTATTTTTGTGATTTATATAACATTCAGATTAATAAACTAACTGAAAATTATAATTGAATTTTTAGAATACTGTAAGCAATGTTTTTATTTATTGTATTTAACATTACTTTTACTTACCATTCTTGTTGCAAAAAAAAAACCTTGTCTTTTAGAGAATACAATGATATTATTTACATTAATTCATGTGGCTTGGTGAAAAAAAATGCTATAACTCCTTTACTTAATGGGATTCTTCCCCTGTGGCAGTGCAAACGGTTAGAGCAGGAGCTTCATCATGTGAAAGAGCAGAACCAGACTTCAGCAAACAACATGAGACATCTGACTGCTGAAAACAATCAAGAACGTGCTCTGAAGGTAAATCTCCGTTCCTTCTTGCAGGCAAATTAAGGTTGTAAGCCCTTGGTGCCAGCTTTCTGTGCTGCATATATCAGTTGTGTACATTTCAGCAGAAGTGAGCTGTGGTGTTTGCCAACAACCCCTTCTTTAAACACAGATACAGCACCCTTTTGTTATGGTATTATTTTATTTCACGTATGTGTACGTGAAAACAACACATTTTCTGAATTTTGAGTGGTGGTATATTAATAACTTTTGGTAAATGTTTATTCTGTTTCTTTTTTATATCATTACCTTTTGTAGTTAATAAAAAGTGACCATACTAAAAGAAAAAAAATTAAATCATGGGCCTTTGCTTTGCATCAATATTTATTATAATAATTTTTAAAAGGACTTGTAATATTCACAGAACTGACAGTCCTTGAAGAATATGTGTTTGGGAAATGAATATGTGTTTGAAGAGCGTGTTTGGGAAATGAAGAGGTACTTAGAATGTTACAATAAAAGAGAGAGAAAGATGGTAAATAATAAATTCAACTAGAACTTTAAACAAGTGAAATACACATTTCATGACAAAAAGTTCTGTCTCATTGTATTATAGATCGAGTAATTATGAAAAAGGACATGGTTTTAATTCTACTAATTGTATTTTTTTCTTAAGGTGCTTGTGACTTTTCATTCTACTTTTTATCTTTTGCCTAGTTCCCAGTATAGTGCCTGTACACAGTAGTTGTCTCTACCCTCAAGGTGCTTGCATTCTCATGCTAACCTGTTAAGGTTTAAAAAAAGAAATCCATGAGAAACAGAAAAGATTCATCAGTTTTTATTGTACAATAAGAAAAGATTTGCTACCAAGAATATTATATTCTACTTTGCTGTCTTAAATTTGTTTTTTTGCTGCATATTACAGAGCAATATCATGGCATTAGCTGTGTAATTCACTAAGCTGGAATCATGTACCAAAATTGAGGAAAATGGTGACATTTTAATGTAGAAAATATTTTTAATCTGTCTAAGAAGTACGAGATTTGGTGGAAGTCAGGTTT
Organism: Homo sapiens; assembly: GCF_000001405.40. NCBI lineage: Eukaryota > Metazoa > Chordata > Mammalia > Primates > Hominidae > Homo > Homo sapiens. The sequence goes on from NC_000014.9 coordinate 37,370,653, forward strand.
TTCCACAAAATGTATTTAACTTCATTTTGATATTCTTAGTGGTAGGCTTATAATAACTTTGTTATATTTGTCTAATGCACTTTTCTTCTTTAGATAGATGAAAACAATACATGAGAAAGGAACAAATTATAGATTGCTGTGATTATTTCTAATTACCCCCAAGGAATTTACTATTTTATGAAAACTAATAATAATTTTTAAAATGTATACTTGCAAAATAGAAAACAGTATTTGAAAAGCAGCTTCCATAATGTGTGCTAATTTATTGTCAGTGTTAGGGGACAGATTTAATGGGCTTAATATGATATGGCAGTCTCCATTTAAAACAGCACCTAAGATAAAAATTCTAGTTTGTTAAGTATATATTAATTTCATGATCTTTATTCTGGCACTTCTGGTTGTGTGTTTCTGTTTAATTTAATGAAATGATAGCTGCTATTTATGGAGAGAAATAAAGAAATAGATGGAATAATTTTTTTTTTTTTTTGAGACAGTCTTGCTCCATTGCCCAGACTGGAGTGCAGTGGTGTGATCTCGGCTCACTTCAAACTCTGCCCTCTGGGTTCAAGTGATTTTCCTGCCTCAGCCTCCCGGGTAGCTGAGACTACAGGTGCCCACCACCAAGCCTGGCTAATTTTTGTGTTTTTAGTAGAGTCGAGGTTTCACTATGTTGGCCAGGCTGGAAATAGATAAGTTGAAAACAAATATTAAACCCTCATAAGATAGAAATTTCTGCTAACTGAAGACTACTATCTAATTTAAAACAATGTAGCTATATTTTCACTCTTGACAAATATACTATATTAAAATCTTTTCTAGTTGCTCATTTTTTTTTGCAAAAGTCTGAAATTTTTCTGTTGTCTTTTAATCCTTCATAACATTCATTAATAAGCTAGCTTAAATTCTTGGTGAAGATGAGAGGAAGAATTAATTTTTTAAAACTCATCAACTCAATCTTTTTTAAGCATCTGTGTTCATTTAAGCTTGTTTTAAAATGGTCTGTCTTGCATAACACTGACTGAATAATTTTTTATTAATTTTATGCCATATTTCCTCATGAGAAGCTCTAAAGTTGTTCTGAAAATTAGGTCAATTATAAAACATTTGCTTTATTCTGAATCATTTTTTAAAAATTACTCTTACCTTCCAGGAAGTTTTTGTTTTTTATTTGATGCATTAATTATAGCACTATGTACCTTTAAGTTGTCATATGAGTTATGAATAATAAGTTTACTACCAAGCTATCTGGTGAGAACAGTTTGCCTCCTTTCTGAGCAATATGTTTATCTTTTACAACTTATTTGTAAGTATCATTTTTTGGTTAACTGATTTAATATTTAGTTAGTATCTAATAAGTGTCAGGAACAACTCTTTAAAAACGATTCACTGTCTCTAAAGCTTTCAGTCTGCCAATAATATTTTTAGTATTTTATTATAAATAGTACTGTTATTAATATCACTATTAAATTCAACTTGAGTAGGGTAAAAACTGAGCAATTCATGGTTTATTTTATTGAATTACACTGAAATTCCTAAAGGAATTTCAGTTCTAGAGATATATTTGGGGGAATACAATCACAATTAATGGTCATAGATTACATGGAACTTTCCAAAATAATTATGGCAAAATCAGTTATCACGTAAGGAAATACTTTTTAATAATCTAGTGTCATTTTAATAATAATGTCTTTATTTGTTCTAATAACCAGAGATCTTTTTCTAAATGACTTTTTATGGTAGAGACTAAGATTAGATTTTTGGTGATCATTTATAAGCATTCTTTTTAACATAGGAGGCAATTACACTAGATAATTTTGCAGGCCAGGCGTGGTGGTTCACACCTGTAATCCCAGCACTTAGGGAGGCTGAGATGGGTGGATCACTTGGGGTCAAGAGTTCTACATCAGCCTGGCCAACATAATGAAAACCCGTCTCTACTAAAAAATACTAAAATGAGCAAGGCGTGGTGGTGGGTGCCTGTAATCCTAGCTACTCAGGAGACTGAGGCAGGAGAATTGCTTCAGCCCAGGAGGCAGAGGTTGCAGTGAGCAGAGATTGTGCCACTGCATTCCAGCCTGGGCAACAGAGTGAGACTCCGTCTCAAAAAAAAAAAAAAAAATTGCTAGGCATAGCACTGTTTCTCCTACTTTTATGTTTTCTATTTTCTCTAATAACAAGTAAAACACAGTGGTATCTATAGGATAAGGGACTGAATTATACTGATACTAGTATATATTCTGAAAGTTACTTTTTTTTAAAAAACAGCTTATTTTCTTGTTTAAAGTAAATTTTATCTACTTATGTTAAGAAATTAGTTTCTGGAAGAACATGTTTTTGAACATGTGATTTTGTTTGTTTGTTTCTTCGTTCTGAAACAGTCTCACTCAGTCGCCCTGGCTGGAGTGCAGTGGCTCGATCTCAGCTCACTGCAACTTCTGCCTGCCAGGTTCAAGTCATTCTCCGGCCTCAGCCTCCTGAGTAGCTGAGATTACAGGCATGCACCACCACGCTGGCTAATTTTTGTATTTTTAGTAGAGACGGGGTTTTGTCACAATGCCCACACTGGTCTCGAGCTCCTGGCCTCAAGTGATCTGCCTGCCTCAGCCTCCCAAAGTGCTGGGATTACAGGCATGAGTCACCAAGCCCAGCCTTAAACATATAATGTTTTTAAAATAAATTTGCATTAGATGTAAATATGTAGACATCAAACTTAGTAAGAAAATTCATATATATTGCCTTTCTATCCTTTTTTTTTTTAAATTATACTTTAAGTTCTGGGGTACATGTGCAGAACATGAGGGTTTGTTACACAGGTATACACATGCCATGGTGGCTTGCTGCACCCATTAACCCATCATCCACATTAGGTATTTCTCCTCCCCTAGCGCCCCAACCCCCAACAGGCCCCCACGTGTGATGGTCCCCTCCCTGTGTCCATATGTTCTCACTGTTCAACTCCCACTTATGAGTGAGAACATGTGGTGTTCGGTTTTCTGTTCCTGTGTTAGTTTGCTGAGAATGATGATTTCCAACTTCGTCCATGTCCTGCAAAGGACATAAACTCATCCTTTTTGATGGCTGCATAACATTCCATGGTGTATATGTGCCACATTTTCTTTATCCAGTCTATCATTGATGGGCATTTGGGTTGGTTCCAAGTCTGCTATTGTGAACAGTTCCACAATAAACATAAGTGTGCATGTGTCTTTATAGTAGAATGATTTATAATCCTTTGGGTATATACCCTGTAATGGGATTGCTGGGCCAAATGGTATTTCTAGTTCTAGATCCTTGAGGAATTACCACACTGTCTTCCACAATAGTTGAACTAATTTACACTCCCACCAACAGTGTAAAAACGTTCCTATTTCTCCACATCCTCTCCACCATCTGTTGTTTCTTGATTTTTTAATGATCACCATTCTAACTGGCATGAGATGGTATCTCATTGTGGTTTTGATTTGCATCTCTCTAATGACAGTGATGATGAGCTTTTCTTCATATGTTTGTTGGCTGCATAAATGTCTTCTTTTGAGAAGTGTCTGTTCATATCCCTTGCCCACTTTTTGATGGGGTTGTTTGTTTTTCGGGGGGTAAATTTGTTTAAGTTATTTGTAGATTCTGGATATTAGCCCTTTGTCAGATGGGTAGATTGCAAAAATTTTCTCCCATTCTGTAGGTTGCCTGTTCACTCTGATGGTAGTTTCTTTTGCCGTGCAGAAGCTCCTTAGTTTAATTAGATCCCATTTGTCTATTTTGACTTTTGTTGCCATTGCTTTTGGTGTTTTAGTCATGAAGTCTTTGCCCATGCCTGTGTCCTGAATGGTATTGCCTAGGTTTTCTTCTAGGATTTTTATGGTGTTAGGTCTTATGTTTAAGTCTTTAATCCATCTTGAGTTAATTTTTGTATAAGATGTAAGGAAGGGGTCCAGTTTCAGTTTTCTGCATATGGCTAGCCAGTTTTCCCAACACCATTTATTAAATAGGGAATCCTTTCCCGATTGCTTGTTTTTTTCCAGTTTTCTCAAAGACCAAATGGTTGTAGATGTGTAGTGTTATTTCTGAGGCCTCTGTTCTGTTTCATTGGTCTATATATCTGTTTTCCTACAAGTACCATGCTGTTTTGGTTACTGTAGCCTCGTATAGTTTGAAGTCAGTTATCGTGATGCATCCAGCTTTGTTCTTTTTGCTTAGGATTGTCTTGGCTATGTGGGCTCCTTTTTGGTTCCATATGAAATTTAAAGTAGCTTTTTCTAATTTTGTGAAGAAAGTTCATGTTAGCTTGATGGCGATAGCATTGAATCTATAAATTACCTTGGGCAATATGGCTATTTTCACGATATTGATTCTTCTATCCATGAGCATGGAATGTTTTTCCATTTATTTGTGTCCTCTTTTATTTTGTTGAGCAGTGGTTTGTAGTTCTCCTTGAAGAGGTCCTTCACATCCCTTGTAAGTTGTATTCCTAGGTATTTTATTCTTTTTGTAGCAGTTGTGAATGGGAGTTCATTCATGATTTGGCTGTCTGTCTACCCTTTTTAATAATTATTTTCATTATTATTATAATTTTTTTTAGATGAGTGTCTCACTGTGTCACCTAGGCTGGAGTCCAGTGTCACAATCACAGCTCACTATAGCCTCAACCACCTTGGCTTAAGTGGTTCCCCCACCTCAGCCTCCCACATAACTGGAAGCACGGCATGTGCCACCATGCCCTGCTGATTTTTTTATTATTTGTAGAGACGAGGTCTCAAACTCCTGGGCTCAAGTGATCATTCCGCTTCGACCTCCCACAGTGCGGGGATTACAGACATGAGCTGCCATGCCCAGCCTCCTTTTTAATTTATTAATTTACCTTCCTACTCACACATTTCCTTCCTACAGTTGGAACTGTCCAATGTAATTCCATTGAAAGTGAATCTTCCTTAGATTATAAAAGAGCTCTGATTGTTAATAAAACTTTGATATTTATTATGTATTATCTTTACATCCCAATCAACCTAAGAAGAATAGCTCATTTCAGTCTTGTTGGGTCCCACCCTCTTGACACACTAGTTTTCTTTCCTTTCTTCCTGTTCTCTCTTTTCTCTTCTCTACTCTTCTCTTTCTTTTCTTTCTTTCTTTCATTCTTACCATGTTACCCAGGCTGATCTCAAACTCTTGGGCTCAAGCAGTTCTCCTGCCTCAGCTTGCCAAGTAGGCAGTTACTCCTGTGACTGGCTTTCTGTAGTTTTCTGTCACCATATCTCCATTTTTTTTCCTCTTTGTTTGCTCTTCCTTACTTAGTCTTAATTGGTGGTGCTTATTTTTCCATCTATTTCTAAAGAATAAATGTTCTCTGGGTTAGTTATTTCCTTATTCTTATTTTTTAAAATAAACTTTGCTTTTTAGAGTAGTTTTAGGTTCACATCAAAATTGTAAAACACAGAGTTTCCATATATTCACTGGTCCCACAGACATACAACCTCTCCCACTATCAACATCCTGCACCAGAGTGGTACATTTGTTATAGTTAGTGAACCTACATTGACACATCATTGTAACCAAAAGTTCATAGTTTACATTAGAATTCACTTGGTGTAGAACATTGAGTGGCTTTTGATAAATGTTTAATGTTATGTAGTCATTATAGTATCATGCAGGACAGTTTCACCGCCCAAAATATCCTCTGTGGTCTGCCTGTTCATCCCTCCTGACCAGCTTTTTGCTGTTTCCATAGTTTCGCTTTTTCCAGAATGTCATATAGTTGGAATTATAGAATATGTGGCCTTTTCATATTGGCTTCTATAACTTAGTAATATGCATTTAAAATTCCCATATATCTTTTGATGGCTTTATAGCTCCTTTTTTTAAAGTGCTTAAAATATAGGGCTTTTTTCTCTCTTGCTCAAAAAAAAATCAGGATATAGTTGCTTAATGTTCTGTCAGTGACTTATGGGCTAAGAGGTTTGCTGGTGCTAAACTCTTAGCACCAGCTAAATCACATTTAATTGTGTGGATATACCACAGTTTATTTATTCAGTCATCTACTGAAAATCATCTTTGTTGCTTCCAAGTTTTGGCAGTTATGAATAAAGTTTCTATAAACACCCATGTGCATTTTGTTTGTATGGACCCAGGTGTTTTCAGCTCATTTGAGTATGTACTAAGGAGTGCAATTTCTGGATCATACGTAAAAATATGTTTAGTTTTATAGGAAACTGCCAATTGTCTTCCAAGATAGTTGTACCATTTTGCTTTCCCACCAGTAATGAATGAGAGCTTCTGTTGCTCCATATTCTCACCAGCAGTTGATGTTTCTTTTTTGTAGTCTTCTCAATTTAATCTTTTCCTATGGCATCACCTATCATTTTTGTCCTAATGACTCTATGTCTGCTCTTCCACTTGAATATCTTAATGTCTGCTTAACCACAGCAAATTTGAAACCAAATGCCTAATTTGACTCTGTAAGCCTTCTACCCGGGAAGGAGTCAGGACCTGAGTCAAACACTATTGACTTTATAACTCAACATTTATTTCCAGTCATACTCTCCTTTGCATGACTCTGCTATAGACACTGGAAAAGTTAAATACTTTCTCAGCTTTTCTTTTTACCAGTGAGTCATAAAAGCGAATCTGCAGCAGTAGGGGAGGAGGAAAGAGGGGCATCTTTGTAAAAGTTTTTGTTTTCCTTAGATAAGGGCAGATGAAGTAAACATCACTCCTTCCTCCCTTCTTATTACATGCTGTCTGAAACTGCAGTAGTCATTTTATAGTCATGAGACAAAGGCCAAGGGTAGCTGGCTGTAACACCATTGAACCTCTTAGCCAATGAGCCACTGACAGAACGTTAAGCAACTATATCATCAGCAACTTTTTGGGGGGCAAGATAAAATAGCCCTATATTTTAAATCATTCTTTATGGTTTTCTATTATTTACTGCCAAATTGGTCTATTAACATCTATCAATTAATGGTACTACCATCCTTCTAGGCATGTAGGCTAAGACAGTTGATATAATCTTCATATCCTCTCAAGCTTTCCCCTGCCAAAAAACAATTCAGCATTCAGTCTTGACAGGAGTGCGGTGGTTATTTCTTTCCTATTTTTATGCCTTTTTTTTTTTTTTTTTTAAGAGACAGGCTCTTTCTTTTTGCCCAGGCTGGAGTGCAGTGGTATGATCATAGCTCACTATAACCTCCAATTCCTGGGCACCAGTGATCCTTCTGAGTCCAGTATTACTGAAGCAGAATGTTTGACAAAAGTAGCTGAAATCTTAAACTCTGACTTTACTATTTTTAAAACTTTTTAAAATTAAAATTATCTTTAAAAATTTACAAGTTTATTAAAATCATAATGAGATATCATGTCACACCAATTGAATGGCTAAAATGAAAAAATACTGATATACTAAATGTTGACAGGATGTGGAGAAATTGAATCTTTCATACATTGCTGTTAGGAGTGTAAAATGGTACAGCTACTTTGGAACATTGGCAGTTTATTATAAAGTTAAATTTATACTTACCATATAACCCAGCTATTGCACTCCTGGATCTTTATCTCAGAAAAATGCAAATGTATTTTAACACAAATCATGTACATAAATGATCATAGCAGCTTAATTCATAATTGCCCAAAACTAGAAAGAAGCCAAATTTAGTAGGTCAACAGATGAATGTCCACACAATAGAATATTACTCAACAATAAAAGGAAACAACCTATTGATACACCCATGACTCAGATGGGTCTCAAGGGCATGATGCAAAAGCCATTCTCAAAGGGTTAAATTTATATGATTCCATTTTTATATAAGTCCCAAAGTGACAAAATTATAGTGATAGAGAAAAAAATCAGTGGTTGCTAGGAGTTAGGTTTGGGAACAGGCTATGACTATGGAAAGGTAACAAGGGGGTATTTCTTTATAGTGATGTAACCATTCTGTATTCCCATTGTGGTGATATTAAAATGTCACAGACTTATATGCCGGGGAGGAGGGAAGGAGGAAAGGGAGGGAGGGAGGGAAGGAAAGAATGTAAGAAGGAAGGGATGAAAGAAAAGAGAGGGAGGGACGGAAGGAAAGGAAGAAGGGAGAGGGAGTCAAAGGAAAGAAGGTACTTTCCTAGCAAAATATACAGGCCACTAAAATTGACTTAAGAAGCAGAAAAGTAGACGGATGTATTGAAACAACTGAAAAAGTAATTTAAAATTCACTGTATAAAAAGGCACTAAGACTATATGATTTAAAAAACGGATCCTATTTACTACTTAAGCCAAGATCATTCTAATGCAATCTAAACAAGACCACAGTGAAAGGTAGAAATTTATATCATTCATTAAGCTAGTAATCCTAATATAAAAACTGATACAGCCGAAACAATCTTGAAAAAGAACAAACTTGGATGACTCACGGGTCTTGATGTAATGCCTACTACAAAGCTACAGTAATCAAGATAGTATGGTAATAGCATAAGGACAGACATACAGATAAGTGGAACAGAATTGAGAGTCCAGAACTCAACCTCATACTTATGGTCAATTGACTTTTGAGAGGGGTGACAAAACAATTCAATGGGGATAAAAATAGCATTTTCAACAAATGGTCTCAAGACAACTGGCTATTCATATGCAAAAGAATGCATTTGGATCCATACCTCATCATACAACATACAAAAGTAATTCAAAATTTTTCACAAATCTAAATGTTAAAGCTAAAACTATAAAACTCCTAGAAGAAAAAACATAACTGCAAATTTTTGCGTCCTTCAGTTAGGCAAAGCTTTCTTAGATCGAAACCAAAATCCCAAGCAACAACTAAAAAACAGTTAAGCTGGGCCTAATAAAAATATAAAACTTCTGTGTTTTAAAGTATACCATCAAAAATGTGAGAAAACAACCCACATAATGGGAAAATTATTTACAAATCATATATCTGGCAAGGAACTTATATCTAGAGTATATAAATCTTATAACTCAGCAAAGAAAAGGCAAGTAACCCAATTCAAAAATGGGCAAAGTATCAGAACAGGCATATTTCTAAGGCAGTGGTAGCTTTGTCATTGCAATTTCAGTTCATTGGTGGTAGTGGAAGCCTTGACTCTTGTAAATGGAAAGTTTAAAAGTAGAAAAATGTAAATTTTTTTTGAGGAGCTCAGTTATTAAGTAAAAGTGGGAAGGTTAGTGTATAATGTGTATGTAATACTGAGGAAGATTTGTTTTAAAGAATGAAGAGTGTAACAAATCTTTTTTGTTGTCTACTCAAATTCATTTACCCATCCTTCAACCATTCTCTTTCTATAAGAAATCTGATGCATGGCCGTGTAACCCAAAGCCACCTAATGACCTTGAGCTATATGGCCTGGTTTGAAAAGGTAGTAAGTCAGATTACTCCTTCAATAATTTGGAATTGGGATACTGAAAGGGAAGGGAGCTAAGTCAGTTTTGAATGCTAAACCAAATGATCATGAAGTAGGCCTGGGTCCATGTAGACAGCTGTAGACTATGGGCAATCTGAAGTTATGAAGCAGTCAGTTGGAAAAGCGGAGAGAAAGAAGTCAGTATATAAAGAAAACACCAATTTTTGAACAAGGGAGATGGGGAGAAATTCTGCCTTGGTTTCTAACAGCGTTCTGTTCCCTTGCCAGCCTTTGTTTTCCACAGAATAATTTTTTTCTCAAGAGAATGTCTTTCTTTACAAGCAAGACTCTCAGCTAGACCAGGTTTACAGTCTTTGCATACCAAATGTGGAATTGCTCTAACAGCATTCATTGTGTGCTGTCTAAAATGAACAACTACAGTGAAAGGTGATTCCATGGATTATAACACCAGGTATAGTCAAATCATTATAGCCTATGCAGGTTCATCAAGTCCATCAAGACACAATAAAGACTGATGAGATGCAGATGAAACAACTGTGAACTATAACCTCTGCCATGAAAGGAATACTGAATTACTGTGAGAAATTTCTGTGGAGATTATTTATGACAAATGTAAATGTAATACTTATGATACTTGCATATAATTGCTTTTAACATTGGTTACTAATGATGTTTTTCTAATTGGGAGTTTCATAGTCAGTGTTGTTTTAGGAATTTGATACTTTATTTTGATAAGTAATGATAGAAATATAAAATTACATTGCAAGCTTCCTTACAGGAACTGTTTTATACATTTTGTAATATGCCACAAATTTTAAAAAATGAATACTTGAATGACGGCACAAATTTTTAGTAGGAGGCTGAATTTTAGGCCCAACAGGCAGATGTATCAGTATGTTAACTGACTTTGGATAGATCCTGGAATGCTTTTCCAACCTTTGTGTCACCTGGTCTTTGTATCCAGCATTTTCTCTGATGGAAACGCTCTATATCGTCTATTCCCTTACTTTGTTCAGCTAATACCTACTTATCCTTTTTTCAGTTTGGCCACAGTACTTCAGGGAGAGGAATTTGGGTGGTAGAATGAAATTGTTTTCATAAGAAAATGTTCACTGACCTGGAAAAAAATTGAATATGTAAGACTCTCAGTGTTCCCAGGTCTTCCTCCTAGGCCTTTCCTATCTCTGCCCACATCAATAGTAGGTACCTTCATTACTATCTTCCTCCTTACCTTCTACTCTCATTGGTGATAGTGGAAGCCTTGACTCTTGTAAATGTAAAGTTTAAAAGTAGAAAAATGTAAATTATTTTCTAAGGAGCTCATTATCTTCTCCCTTCTTTTTCTGACCCTATTGACTTTTCGTATTACAATGGCCAAAAGGGTGTAGAAGAGCAGGTGTCTCTGATATATTTTTGGAAACAATGTCCTGGATAGCTTTAAAGACAATACCTAGCAGAGGTCAGGTTAGGTAATAAATATAGGTTAAAGGTTCTTTACAAAGGCATGTATTTGAATAATCAAAAAAATGTTTCCAAAATAGTAAAATCTGGCCCAACCCAAAGTCTACTGAATTGGAATTTTTTTTTTTTCAAGACAGGGTCTCCTTCTGTCACCCAGGCTGGAGTGCAGTGGTACAGTTGTAGCTCACTGCAGCCCCAATCTTCCAGGCTCAAGTGATCCTCCCACCTCAGCCTCCTAAGCAGTTGACACTATAGGCACACACTTCTGTGCCCTGCTAATTTTTTTTTTTTTTATTTTTAGTAGAGATGAGATCTCACTATTTTGCCCAGGCTGGTCTGGAACTCCTGAGCTTAAGCTATCTTCTCAGCTCAGCCTCCCAAGGTACTGGGATTATAGATATGAGCCACTGTGCTTGACCTGAATTAGAATATCTTACTCTGAATTTGAAAACTTGCCTAGTGTAGACTTTGTGTTTGGAAGGTAAAGTAAGGACAAAATAGTTCCTCAACCTTAGTTTTGTTTGATTTTCAAGTTGATTTTTATATTAGGATGATGTCAGTATTTTGGAAGCATTATCAGTTTTATGTCTTTTTAGTGCTTTCTTGGTATTTTAGGGGGAAGAATTGGTTGAGGCTACATGGTGAATGCTGGTCAAATGAAATTTTTTCATTCTTTGAGTTTTAACTATTTCCAGTAACTGAATTCTATGTAAAGTTGTGCCCTAAAGTGATTTGGAATAAGTGATATATTAAATTCTTTGATGAATTGCAGTGTAGTAATGCTGTGAAAAGCATAGCATAAAGTCCAGATTGGTTGTTTGAAATACTATGAAATTTAATTTGTTAGATCTTAAAACTTAAGCGTTCTTTCTTAACTAAAAATATATTTTTAATAAATAAACTTACTATTGTCAAATGCAATTAACTTACTTTACTAAGTATTTCTGCTTTGAAACATGATATGGAAAGTAGTTGAGACTTTCATTAGAGATTACATAAAATTCTCAGTAAAAGTAATTGCATTTACCAATGTAGTTTTCATACCAAACTAATCTTTATTTTAATATTTTTGACATGAGTATTGACGTTTAGACATACGGTTTTTACCAGTTCATCTAAAGAACTTTAGCATATATATTTCTTTTCAAAAAAATAACATTCACAGACTGACATAGATATGTCCTCTATAACAAAATGACTTTATTGTGTTGTTCAGTGTTGGTTAGTTTTTCTGTTATGTTGATGCATTAAAACAGATATTAAATTTTATCATTAATTCAGTGCCTGGTCTCTCATCAAATCCCCTTAATTACAAATTGACTCCAAGGATTAGATAGCATGGATTTTAATTTTAACTGAAACAAAAAAAGGCATCTTGGAAAATCACTCTTGCCTACTGACTCATAGACACATTTTATAGATCCTATAATTTATTACTTAGTATTTAAAATTCGATACAAAAAGCATATTTCCAAGATTTTTATTCTTTTGTATTTATATTAAATTTTTTTTTAAGAATATATTTCACAGTCTTGAAAAAAATTTCATGTATCTTCAGATGAATGTCACCCTCTTGGAGTTTTGATAACTTACAGCCTTTTCTTTAGAAAATGTTAACTTTGAATCGTGTACAACCATAATCGTATCTAAATGGCATTTATATTATCTTTTATTTGTACGTTCTTAATAATTTCACAAAATCATGCAACATAGTTTTACATATTCCATGCAAGTGTTTTCAGTGTAATCCAGTATCTTGTTTCAGGTATTGTTTGTGATTTATGACTATTTAATCTTCACTTTCTTTTGATACTTGCTATTTTAGGTTTAAGTCCAGAGTCATTTTTGTGTATTTTATTCTCAACTTGTATCAGCATTTTTGTCCTTCTTTCTTAAAAGTGACAATTTTTTACATTGAATTTTAGTACATAAATTACTCATTTTAAATACTAGAAAGACTATTATTTTTACTAGAAAAGGAGGATAGTGAAATTAAGTCATGATCACAGCCATCAAAAAAGTACATTTGTCCATTGTGTTTTTGCTCCGTTATATGATGGTCAGGTTTTAAGTCTGAGGTGCCTCTTTTAAAAATTTTCATACTGTAATAGTTGCTGGAATCTTACTTGTGTTAGTCATTTACTGGTTTTTATCTAGATCTACAAGTTTTCAGATAAGTACTTTACTTTTAGAAAGACCAAGAAAGAATTACCAAGAAAACTTGAGTATTCTAAGATATATTAATATCATTTGTTTTAATAAATTCTGCTGTGTTAATTACCTTCACCTTTTGAGAGGTTGTAAAATGTAAGTAGTAATCTTCTTTCTAATTAAGCAAATGTTTTATATCTTATATTTTTGTAAATTTGATTTTTAAATGACATTCCTTTACTGGCTTTTGTTGCTGTTGCTGTTAAACTGGATTTTTATATGCTGAAAGATATTTAACATACAAATGAACTCAGCTCATCATGGCAGAGGAAGAAATTCATTGCCTAGAAACAGATTGTTTGTGTACTATTAGATGGTAATATAAACCAACAAAAGCAAGGAAATTAACTTCAATACTGACACACTGCCCTTTCCTTGCTCTTTTGTGCCCATAGATAACATGCATATTTTATAATACCAGAGTATAGTGGACTCAGTTAAGAATTGTCAAACTTAATTCTAAATGTCTTTACTTCGTTGGTTTGTCACAACATTATTATTTTGTCTCAATACTATATAATGTCGTTCACATTTGAGATGAAGCAATGCATGGATGGATCTGAAAAAGATGGCAAAACTTTACTTTTCTCTTATTTATTATTGATTGCTTCTGCTTAGCCAAATATTATATAGCTCTGATATTAGTTCTTCACAATTTTTAAAAAGGTAATAGAAAATGATAAAATATCTGAGGAAATTTTGGGAAAAATATAGCTACTGATATAAAATTGTCATTCAGTTTTATTTTTATTCCTATTCATTAATTTTTATTTTATTATTTAAAAAGGCAGACATCTCTTTATTTAAAGCTTACAGCACAAAGAAACTACCAGTTTTTTAAAAAAAATTATCAAATATACAAACAAGTGTGATTTCAGAGAACATTTCTTACATGGATTGCACAAAGGAATTATTTGTGAAATTCTGAGGGTAGGACTAAACCTCTCAAAATAACCTCCAAGATTAATTTGGGAACTGATTGATACTTACTTGGCCATTCCCTTAACAGTACCTGTTTCTTGATGTATATGGTGAAATATAAAGAATTAATTTTTCTTTAGTTCTTATATTTACTAGTTAGGTTGTAACTTATCAATTCCTAATGAATTTTATCCCTGTTTTTTAAGGGCAATTTTATACAATTATAAGTAATAGATTGATATTTCAGTGTTTGAAAATTGATTCCATATATGAATTGATTCCAAAACCTGAGTTCCATGTTTTGTAGCAGTTTGGGAATTATTTTACTTTCTGTCTTCTATTTTTCTCTGTAAATGATTTCTACTCCTACTTAGGTACCTATTAGGATACAGTTTTCTAAAAGAGAATTACATATTTCAGTTAAAGCTCTGCATTTTTCTGAGTTGTACGTTAAACTTTCCAAGAAAAAATCAGATATTTTCTGTAAAAACTATACGATAGAAGAAATAATCTAAATGTGGTCAAACAAAAGATTTTGCTTTAAGAACTAAAGAAACTGCTGTAAAATATGGTGGAAGAGGGAGGGTGTGTAAGGTTGGGGTGGTGGAAATTTTTAAAGAAATTCCACTTTTTATCTTATGTAATTAATATTTAATTGGCTACATTTAAAAGTAGTGAAAAAGTGATCTATTTGCTAGAGATTACAGAACAACACTTTAAGCTCTTACTTATTCTGAGGTGTTGAAAGGTGAAACATTTGACATTTTCTTTTCGGGTATTGCTTTAAAAAACAGAGGGCGGGAAAGAGGCGTTGCCACATCAGAGTTAAGGGTGTTTGTGGTTGTCCGTGACAGCAGCTCTAGTTTTAAAACACCTGTGTTTACTTTCCAGCTTTTCAGAATCTGCCTGAAAGTGGCCTAAGAATGGCACAGGCCTTCAGGATGGCTGGTTTTTTTATAGTACAGAAAAAGAACTAAACTTTACACTTTTATTTTCTGTTGCAAGCATTTGGTTCTTCTATTTTATACATTTTATCCCTATACATTCTTATATATGTCTGTAAGATAATGCATGATTTATATAATCTATACATTATACTATAATGTAACCATTTTTTAAAAAAAAGATTTCTTCTCAGCCTTTTGTTCACTGACTAGAAAAAGTTGATGAAAAACTGCTTTTTCCTGTGCAAATGTATTTTCTTTCTTAATTGAAAGAAGTTTGTGAAAAATAAAAATTGATATACCATTTTAGAGAGAAACAAAAGAAAATTGCATGAACCAAAGTGGCCTAACATATAGCTTTGTTAATTTTTTATCCTTTATCCTTTTATCATTTCTCAAGTTTTCTTTTTATATCTTTTGCTTTATAGGAGTGGTTTTTAAAAATATGTTTATAAACCTACAAATGTAATTTTCCCTTTAAGTTGATTTATGTCTTCTTTAGTGGTTTGGAAATAGGTTGAGTTTCAGCCTACCTGTCATCTCTTAGCTGGTCATTGTTTCCAATTTATAGACTTGTGCTTTTTAAATAATTATATGGTACATTTTTATTATTTTATGACATTCATATGACTCTGAAATATTATATAAACTTTATTCTCAATTTGAGATGTTCCTAGCTATGATATTTTAGTTTAATAAAATTGAGGTTCCTTTCTGATTTGTTTCAGTATTTATTTTCAAACCTCTTTAATTCTTTAGTACAGTAGACATAGCAAGATGTCATATATTCTGTGATGCATTCCTTCTACATGCAAATTCTTGATTACAGTAGCAGACATTTCCATGAGATTACAGTTATGTCAAGCCTGGTTGATGCAAAAGAGGAATAATTCTGTCTTTTGACAATAAATTGATCTTGTTTCTCCATATAACTGGATTTTTAAACACTTTTTGTGTAGTTGAAACCCTTTTGAGAAGCCAATGCAAATGTCGAGTCTTCTCCCTAAAAAAAAAATACAAGTTTACAGAAATTTGCATAGAATTCAAGGAGTTTATGTCCTTCCCAAGCTCACTGATGAGCTCTAGGTTAAGAACCTGTATTCTAGGTCTTATTTTATTTGGATAATTGTTAATTGTTTAGATAGTTGCTTAGACAGTTGTTAATGTAGTAGAGAACAGATAAATCACTGAGTCAAATACAGAATTAAGTGCTTAGTTAATTAATATGTCACCATGTTAGGTGTTAAAAGGCATAAAGCAATAATTGATCTTACTAGCTTTAAATATAAATAGTATTTTAACAATATCGTTCATACTCCATAATGGCTACACATATATCTGTGTTCTAATCCCAGCTTTTCAATGGATTTGAAATACAAATTATAGTTATCTCATTTTTCCCAACAGAGCCAATTGATAATATGGCTATTATCTATTATACCTATTATCTCAAAATAAATTCAACAAGTGTCATTGCATAAAAGCTATAAAAATAATATTCAATAATATTCCATTCAAAAACCGTAAGTTTGGTGTTGATATCCATCTAGGTGAAGAATGCTCAGCTGCAGACAGTACCTTAAAGGAATTATATATGACAATGTGTATTACCTAGAAGATAATGAAACTGTGAGGAAAATTACTAAAAACTGAATTTTTAAACTATGAAAGTATTTAGGAAACATTTTTTGAATATAAGGAAAGTGGTAAATTTATTTTAAATGGCATAAATTACATAAAAATAACTATAATATATTAATAAGGATTTATAATAGTTCTGTATTGTATGTAGTTTAACATGGATCAGAAGAAATATTTTGATCAGATGAAACAACTACTAAGGAAACAATAATTTTATTTCAAGTGTTCCATTTTCATTATTTTCTGTGACTAGGAAGGAAGTAAAGGGGAGGAAGGATTCTCGTAGGGCTATTAAGACTTTGTTTCCAGAACCTCAGATTGTTGAACTTAAATCATGAAACCTGATACAGTATTTCCATTGAGTGTATCAGTTTTGTCCTGGTAACAATTCCCATTTGGTAGTGCTATATACCTGTGACCTAACTTTCAGCCTAATTTACATATATTCACTTTATTGTATAATATGAAATTTAAGATTCTCTAACAAAAATGTGATACACGTATCTGTCTCAAGGACATTTTTAACTTCCCTATTTATAAGACCATAGTTTTCTCTATGGCAGGTTTTTTAAATCTGGAAGCTATCAGTCTTGTTTTTAGAATGTATTTATTATAAAATATTGGGTGTTTTACAATCATGCTTCTCTAAAACTAATATTTTCCTATGTAATTCTAAAGAGAAAATGAGAAAACTTCTAAGATCCAAAAGATGTATTAAAATAAATAAATAAAGGAAACTTGAGGTAGAAATTAAGATAATTGAACCAAGAGAAGGGAAAAGCAAAGATGTGACTTAAAACGATGCAAATGTTTGATGATGCTACTTGGAAAATTATATATTATTTCTTGTCCAACTATAAGTGCGAACCAGAAAAAAATGTTATCAGTGATTAGGAAAAACATTATGTAACAATTCCTAAACAATATAAGAGCTTAAGAAACATCGTCAGACTCTCATCTTAGAAAGGATAAAAAAAAAAACTTGAGGTAATCAGCGTTGTTGAAGAATTGTGGGGTTTTAACAATTATTTGTTTAAAAGAAAACTGAGACTTTAAGCACCTGTAAGCCTTTTTGTTTCAACTGTTATTGACTGTCTTTCAAAAATGCATTAATACATTTGCTTGCCATGGTAAATTTTGTAAAATGAATGTATTTGTATTGGATAGTATTTGCTTGTTTCAAGGGTTAGAAAACCACACCCCAAATTGCTCAAGCATAAATGAAACTTATCGTTCACATAGTTGAAAAGACCAAGGACAGGGCTAACTTCCAGAGATTATTTTTGGGTTTTTTTTGTGTTTTTTTTTTTTTTTTACTTTTTTCAATCAATTTTGTTGACAGTAAATTTCATCCATTTAAGGTATACAGTTCAATGCATTTTGACATATATGTCCACCGTAATGAAGATACAGAGCATTTCTATCATCCCACCAAAATATTTTTTTTGTGCTGCCTCCCAACCTCTATCCCCAGCCCAAACAACCACTCATCTGCTTTTTTGTCACTATAAATTCACTTGCATTTTCTGGAATGCTATGCAAGTAGAGTCATATAATACCTACTCTTTTGTGTCTGGCTTCTTTCAACATGATGATTTTGAGATTCATCCATGTCGTGTGTAATAGTAGCTCATTTCTCTTTTAACTTCAGCAAATTCTTGCGTAGGACCCCAAAACTTTTGTTCTGTATCTAGGTTTTGTTTGCTCTCCTCTATGTATTGGCTTAACATTCATGAGGTAGAAGCTTCTGCCTTCTCAACTTACCAGTTGAAGGCTAGAAGGAAAAAAAAGTTTTTTATCAAAAATAAAAACAGAAATTCTAGAATTGGGTCTTTTAAACTTGAATTGGACTACTGGAGGTCATGTGCTTATTCATTTATCTCTAAAATGATTACTGTGACCAATGGAGTGAAATATACTGACCGCCTTAGGACAATCTAGGTCTGCTTCTAAGGATATGTCATGAATAGGGGAAGAATGATTTTCTAAAAGAAATTGGAAATATTTTCCTACCAGAAACACTAAAAAAGAATGAAGGGTGGTAAAAAAAAACAAAAAACAGATTTTTACTGTAATAATATGTCTTCTTCATAAGACTAAAAAATGTATGCTGGCATGTAGTAAAACACACTTCATTTCTATTTCTTATATTTTCAACTCTTGAAGGAAGAAAGATAATCCCAGAGTTAACATGTATGTGTAGATAATATTTATATACGTAAATGAATATTGCACCTAATCACATGATTGATATAGATTAGATCTCTTGTTTTCCAGCTGGATTTCCTGACATTCTGGTAATCTGAGACTTTCTTTACTCTTTTTCCTGTCAATTTTTATATTATATATTTATTGTTCTATCTTCTGAGGCTTGATTTTGGATTCTCGAGAATCTTTTATTCATTGGAGTAAGAAGACTAGAGAGACTAAAACAGTTGAAGTGAAGAACCTGAAAGGAGAGCTTATTTTTGCAGCCACTTTTATCTCGTAGGCATGTGTTGATTATCTGCAGGCAGAAATCTGAAAATTCTAGCTTTTTACTCATGGAGAGCCATTGTCTGGTATTTAAAGAAAAACAACAGATTTTTGGTTGATACTGAGGGGAGGGAGCATTAAGTACACATCCAGTAGTGCCTTATGGATATCTGTGACTGCACAGGTTTGGAGATTAAAAACAAACAAAAAGTCTGAAAAGCAGGATGGATTTTGCAGCTGTTTTATAAGAACTAGAGGCTGGGCACGGTGGCTCACACCTGTAATCCCAATACTTTGGGAGGCCAAGATGGGTGGATCACTTGAGGTCAGGAGTTCGAGACCAGCTGCTCAACAGGGTGAAACCCTGTCTCTACTACAAAAATATATATATGTATATATACAAAAAATTAGCCAGGCATGGTGGTGGGCACCTGTAATCCCAGCTACTCCGGAGGCTGAAGCAGGAGAATCACTTGAACCTAGGAGGTGGAGGTTGCAGTGAGCCAAGTTTGCACCATTGCACTCCAGCCTGGGCAACAAGAGCAAAACTCCTTCTCAAGAAAAAAAACAAAAAACAAAAAACAACTAGAGGCTAACTGACCCCCATATTCTGCAGTTCTTAATTAAAATGATCAGCCCCACTTTATCTACCTGGCAGAGATGAAGGTTAAACCTCAAGACTAAATAATATCTGGAATGTCACTTATATATTATATACAATTGAAGACATTCCATTGAAAATTACTAGATACACAAGAAGATAAGACCACAGGCTCAAAACAAAGAGAAATACACGTTGTATAAACTGACTTAAAGTTGATCCAATATTGGCATTAGATGACAGGGACTTTACAATAGCTATAATGAAAATATTCAAAAAAGTAGGAGAAATAAGAGAAAATAAATGAAAATATTAAGCATTTCATTATAAAATTGTAATCTCTATAAAACAAATGGAAATCAAATAGAAATTCTAATCGTAATGAGCACAATATCTGAAATTAGATGAGCTTAGCAGAAAACAGGATTAGTAAACTAGATAACAAATCAACAGTACATTTTTAAATTATAGCAAAGATAAAAAGGAATTTGGGGAGAGGAGATGTAGCTGAGAGACAATGAAACTCAAAACAGTACAATATAGGTATAATTAGAGTCTCTGAAGGAGATGAGAAAGACAACGTGACAAGCAGAAGTTGACAAGATAGTAGCCAAGATTTCTCCAAAAACTGATGGAAATTTCAAACCACAAATTCTTGAAGCTCTTAAGTACACCAAGTAGGATAAATAAAAGAAAATGACACATGGACACAATACAATTAAGGTAATAAACTCAGAGATAAGGAGAAAAATTTTAAAGGCAGACTGAGGAAAAAAAGTTGTTCAAAGAACAGCATTACTGACTGCTGAATTCTCAATAGAAATAACAGAAGTCAAAAGAGATTAGAATAACATTGTTAAAGCTCCAAAAAAAAAGCCAGTGTAAAATTCTATACCTAGTTTAAATATCTTTCAAAGTGGAATGTGACATAGTGGCACATAAACGTAGTTCAGACAAACAAACTCCAAGAGAATTAGTCACATGCAGATGTGAATTGAAAAACATAGTAAAGGGGTTTCTTAAATCAAATGGAAAATGATACCAAACACAAACACAGAAATGTAAGAAGGAATTCAGAGCAGCCAGAAGGATAAATGTGTTTGGAAATATTAAAATATTGATCTAATGAAGCCTAATCTTTTTTTTTTTTTGAGATAGAGTCTCACTCTGTCACCATGCTGGAGTGCCGTGGCGTGATCTCAGCTCCCTGCAACCTCCACCTTTCAAGTTCAAGCCATTCTCCTGCCTCAGCCTCCCAAGTAGCTGGGACTACAGGTGCATGCCACCACGTCCAGCTAATTTTTTTATTTTTAGTAGAAACGGGGTTTCAGCATGTTGGCCAGACTGGTCTGTATCTCTTGACCTCATGATCCACCTGCCTCAGCCTCCCAAAGTGCTGGGATTACAGGCATGAGCCACCGTGCCCAGCCACTTATTCAAAATTAATAATAATGTCTTATGCCATTTCAAATCCATGTAGAAATTAAAGTCCATGAGAAAAATAACCCTTAAGCCTAGAACTGGGTAATGGACTCAAAATGTTCTAAGGTATAGCATTACTGGAGAAGTGATATATTTATATTAGACTGTTATAAGGCAGGAAAACAAGTTAGAATCTCTAAGATAACCATGAAAAGGACAAGAATTTGAATTTAGGAACTAATGAAGGGGGAAAGTGATATAATAGGATATACTTAAATAGTCTAAATTAAATATTAAAGTAATAAACAATCCTGAAAAAAGAATAATTTATTAAACCAAGTGGACTAAATGTTCCAATTACTCCAATTTTGTTTTTTTTCAGAATTGTTTTAGCTATTCTACTTTCCTTGCTTTTATTTGTTTTAAAATCAACCAGTCTGTATTTACAAAAAAAATCCAGTTGGGCTTTTGATAGGAGAAATGACATCTTTACCATTGAGACTTCTGATCAAGGAACAGTGTATGTGTCTCCAGTTATTTAGGTCTTCTTTGATTTATTTAATAAACATTCTGTAGTTTTGAACATATGGATTTTGCACATTTGTTGCATTTACACCTAAGTATTTAATATTTAGCACTATTACAATGGTATTAGTATTATTTTAACGTTTTGCTTTCCAGTTTTACATTAATAGTATCCTACAGCTTTGATGGACTGACTTACTAGTTTTACAGTTGTTTTTTAAAGATTCCTTGGGATTTTCAATGTAATCATGTCATCTACAAATACAGACATTTGTATTTCTTTCCATTATGTATACCTTTTATTTCCTTTTCCTTCCTTATTGCATGGGCTGTAAGTTATTTAGGTATATTAAATAATAGTGATGAGAACAGACATCATTGCCTTGTTCTCTATCTTGAGGAAAAGTATTCAGGATTTCACCTTAAGTACATTGTTAGCTGTGGTTTTTTTGTAAATATCCTTTATCCCTGTGAGAAAGTTTTAGGCACTGACTAGTTTGCTAAAAGTTTTTATTGTGAATGGATGTTGAACTCTGTAGAAGGCTTTTTCAGCATCAGTTGGGCACAAAGGTAATTTGAACTTATGAAATCAAAAATAGATATCAAGTAAGTTATAGTTTATTAAAGAAATTAAAGTCTTGTGCAACCTGGCTGCCTGTAGTGGTTAGAATTGTGTGCCCCCAAAAGATATGTTCAAATCCTAATTCCAGTATCTCTGAAGTGACTTTATTTGGAAATAGGATCTTCATAAATGTAATTGAGTTAAAATAAGATTATACTGGATTAGGGTACCACCTAATCCAATGACTGGTGTTCTTATAAGAAGAGAAAAATTTGGACACAGATACAAAAGACACAGGAAAAAAAGCCATGTAATGAGGCAGAGATTAGTGTGTCCACAAGCCAAGGAATGTGAAAGATTGATGGCAACTACCAGAACCTGGGAGAGAGGCACAGAAGATTCCCTCTCAGACCTTCCATAAGAAGGCAACTGTGCTGACACCTTGATTTTGAACTTCTGGCCTCCAGAAATGTGAGAGCATTTCTGTGGGTTTTAAGCCACCCAATTTGTGGTTCTTTGTTTCAGTAGCCCTAGGAAACTAATACAGTGCCTTTTCTGGTAACATTTTTTTGAGTTCTAAAACATTCTTATTTTCCAAAAAACTAAGGTTTTGTTTTGTTTTGTTTTGTTTTTGTGTGTGTGTGTGTGTGTGTGGCGGGGGTGGGGGTGGGGGTTTGTTTTGTTTTGTTTTTACTATATGAATACTTGTTGCAACATACATATAACATCAAACCTGGGTGGTTCATTCTTCTTTTTCTAGGCTCCTTGTAGTGTTTTTTAGTGATCATCAAGCAGGTTTAAAGAAAAGCATATAAATTACTTACCTTTATTGTGTTTCTAAATTAAAGAGGACTTTTTTTGTCCTATCCTTTGAAAATACAATTTTATGGCAGGCCAACCTTTTATTTATTTATTTACTTATTTATTTATTTTAATTTTTCCATAGGTTTTTGGGGTACAGGTGGTATTTGGTTACATGAGTAAGTTCTTTAGTGGTGATTTGTGAAATTTTGGTGCACCCATCACCTGAGCAATATACACTGCACCCTGTTTGTAGTCTTTTATCCCTTGCCCCCTCCCACCCCTCCTCCCAAGTCCCCAAAGTCCATTGTATCATTCTTATGCCTTTGTGTTCTCATAGCTTAGCTTCCACTTATCAGTGAGAACATATGATGATGTTTGGCTTTCCATTCCTGAGTTACTTCACTTAGAATAATAGTCTCCAATCTCATCCAGGTTGCTGCAAATGCCGTTAATTCATTCCTTTTTATGGCTTAGTAGTGGCATATATATATATATATATATATATATATCTCCATGTTCTATCATATATATATATCCACAGTTTGTTTATCCGCTCATTGATTGATGGGTATTTGGGTTAGTTCCACAATTTTTGCAAAAATTGAATTCACAAAATTCAAGATTTTGTGAATTTTGCTGCTATGAACATGCGTATACAAGTAAATTTTTCATATAACTTCTTTTTCTCTGCATAGATACCCAGTAGTGGGATTGCTGGATTAAATGATAACTCTACTTTTAGTTCTTTAAGGAATTTTCACGCTGTTTTCCAAAATGGCTGTACTAGTTTACCTTCCCACCAGCAGTGTAGAAGTGTTCCCTGATCACTGCATCCATACCGTCATCTACTGTTTTTTTGATTTTTGAATTATGGCTATTCTTGCAGGAGTCAGGTGGTATTGCATTGTGGTTTTGATTTGCATTTCCTTGATCATTAGTTATGCTGAGCATTTTTTTCATGTTTGTTGGCCATTTGTATATCTTCTTTTGAGAATTGTCTATTCATGTCCTTAGCCCACTTTTTGATGGGATTGTTTGTTTTTTTTCTTACTGATTTGTTTGAGCTCGTTGTAGATTCTGGATATTAGTCCTTTCTAAGATGTATAGATTGTGAAGATTTTCTCCCACTTGGTGTGTTGTCTGTTTACTCTGCTGACCGTTCCTTTTGCCATACAAAACCTCTTTAGTTTAATTAAGTCCCAACTATTTATTTTTGTTTTTATTGCATTTGCTTTTGGGTTCTTGGTCATGAAATCCTTGCCTAAGCCAGTATCTATAAGGGTTTTTCTGATGTTATCTTCCAGAATTTTTATAGTTGCAGGTCTTGGATTTAAGTCCTTAATCCATATTTAGTTGATTTTTGTATAAAGTGAGAGATAAGAATCCAGTTTCATTCTCCTACATGTGCCTAGCCAATTATCCCAGCATCATTTGTTGAAAAGGGTGTCCTTTCCCCACTTTGTTTTTGTTTGCTTTGTTGAAGATCAGTTGGCTATATTTGGGTTTATTTATGGGTTCTCTATTCTGTTCCATTGGTCTAAGTGCCTGTTTTTATACCAGTACCATGCTGTTTTGGTGATGATAGCCTTATAGTATAGTTTGAAATCAGGTAGTGCAATACTTCCAAATTTGTTCTTTTTGCTTGGCTATGCGTGCTCTTTTTTGGTTCCATGTGAATTTTAGAATTGCTTTTTCTAATTCTGTGAAGAATGATGGTGGTATTTTGATAGGGATTGCATTGAATTTGTAGATTGCTTTTGGCAGTGCGGTCATTTTCAACAATATTGATTCTACCCATCCATGAGTGTGGGATGTGTTTTCATTTGTTTGTGTCATCTATGATTTCTTTCAGCAGTGTTTTCTAGTTTTCCTTGTAGAGGTCTTTCACCTCCTTGGTTAGGTAGATTCCTAAATATTTTATTTATTTATTTATTTTGCAGCTATTGTAAAAGGGGTTGAGTCATTGATTTGATTCTCTGCTTGGTCACTGTTGGTTTATAGAAGAGCTACTGATTTGTGTACATTAATCTTGTGTCTAGAAACTTTGCTGAATTCTTTTATCAGTTCTAGGAGCTTTCTGGAGGAGCCTTTAGAGTTTTTGAGGTAAACAATCATATCGTCAGCAAACAGTGACAGTTTGACTTCCTCTTTACAGGTTTGTGTGCCCTTGATTTCTTTCTCTTGTCTGATTGCTCTGGCTAGGACTTCCAGTACTATGCTGAAGAAGAGTGGTGAGAATGGGCTATAAGAATAGCTACCCCTGCTCACTTTTGGTGTTCATTAGCATGAAATGCCTTTTTCCACCCCTTTCCTTTATGTGAGTCCTTATGTGTTAGATGAGTCTCCTGAAGGCAGCAGATAGTTGGTGAATTCTTATTCATTCTGTGGTTCTGTGTCTTTTAAGTGGAGCATTTAGGCCATTTACTTTCAATGTTAGTACTGAGATGTGAGGTACCATTGCATTCATCATGCTATTTGTTGCCTGTGTACCTTGTTTTTTTTTTGTTTTTTGTTTTTGCTTTCTAATGAGGTTCTGTTTTGATGTGTTTCCAGGATTTGTTTCAAGATTTAGAGCTCCTTTTAGCAGTTCTTGTAGTGGTGAATTCTCTCACCATTTGTTTGTCTGAAAAAGACTGTATCTTTCCTTCATACATGATGTTTAGTTTTGCTGGATACAAAATTCTTGGCTGATAATTGTTTTGTTTGAGGAGGCTTAAGATAGGGTCCCAGTCCCTTCTAGCTTGTAGGGTTTCAGCTGAGAAATCTGCTGTTAATCTGATAGGCTTTTTTTAATAGGTTACCTGGTCCTTTTGTCTCACAGCTCTTAAGGTTCTTTCTTTCATGTTAACTTTAGATAACCTGATGACAATGCGCCTAGGTGATGATTTTTTGTGATGAATTTCCCAGATGTTCCTTGTGCTTCTTGTATTTGGATGTGTAGGTCTCTAGCAATGCTGAGGAAGTTTTCCTCGATTATTCCCCCAAATATGTTTTCCAAACTTTTAGATTTCTCTTCTTTTTCAGGCACACCAGTTATTCTTAGGTTTGGTCATTTAACATAATCCCAGCCTTCCTGGAGGCTTTGTTCATATTTTCTTATTCTTTTTTCTTAGTCTTTGTTGGATTGGGTTAATTCAAAGACCTTGTCTTCAAGCTCTGAATTTCTTTCTTCTACTTGTTCTATTCTATTGCCGAGACTTTCCAGAGCATTTTGCATTTCTGTAAGTGTGTCCATTATTTCCTGAAGTTTTGATTGTTTTTTCTTTATGCTATCTATTTCCTTGAATATTTCTCCCTTCACTTCTTGTATCATGTTTTAGATTTCCTTTCATTGGGCTTCACCTTTCTCTGGTGCCTCCCTGATTAGCTTAATAACTAACCTCCTGAATTCTTTTTCAGGTAAATGAGGGATTTCTTCTTGGTTTGGATCCATTGCTGGTGAGTTAGTATGATTTTTGGGAGTTGTTTAAGAGTTTGTTTTGTCATATTACCAGAGTTGGTTTTCTGGTTCCTTCTCATTTGGGTAAGCTCTGTCAGAGGGAGAGTCTAGGGCTGAAGACTGTTGTTCAGATTCTTTTGTCCCACGGGGTGTCCCTTGATGTAGTACTCTCCCCTTTTCCTATGGATGTGGCTTCCTGTGAGCCAAGCTGCAGTGATTGTTATCTTTTTACTGGGTCTTGCCACCCAGCAAGCCTACCCGGCTCTGGGCTGGTACTGGGGTTATCTGCACAGAGTCCTGTGATGTGAACTGTCTATAGGTCTCTCAGTCCTGGATACCAGCACCTGTTCCAGTGGAGGTGGTGGGAGTGGGGAGGGGGGAATGGGTAAAATGGACTCTGTGAGGGTTTTTAGCTTTGGTGGTTTAATGTTCTATTTTTGTGCTGGTTGGCCTCCTGCCAGGAGGTGGCACTTTCCAGAGAGCATCAGCTGTGGTAATATGTAGAGGAACCAGCAGTGGTCAGAGCCCTAAAATTCCCAAGAGTACATGTATGCCCTTTGTCTTCAGCTACCAGGGTGGATAGGGAAGGCCCATCAGGTGGGGGCAGGGCTAGGTATGTCTGAGCTCAGACTCTCCTTGGGTAGGGGATCAGGGCGAGGTTCCCAGGTCAATGGAGTTGTGTACCTAGGAGCATTATGGCTGCCTCTGCTGAGTCATGCACGTTGTCAGGAAAGTGGGGAAAGCTGGCAGTCACAGGCCTCACCCAGCTCCCATGCAATCTAAAGGGCCGGTCTCACTCCCGCTGTGGCCCCTCTAACAACCCCAAGTCTGTTTCCAGGCAGTGAGCAAGCCGGGCTTAAGAACTTACCCCAGGCTACCTGCCTCTGAGTTGCGAAAGAAAAGGGCTTGGTTCTTCCCCAACCTGTGGAGTCTGCACATTGAATTCATGCCCTCCTGTGAGTTCTGGCCAGGAGGCTTCTTGCCCCATTTAAATTGATACAAAGTTCAGCTGGAGATTTCCTTCTCCCTGTGGTGTTTTCTTCTGTGCCTTTGGCCGCCCTCTCGTTGGATCCCTGTGGTGCCAGGCAGGAATGGCCTGCTTGGGGACCCAGCAGGCTCCCAGGGCCCTTCTGCTGCTTCCTCTACCCCTGTATTTTGTTCAGCTCTCTAAATTGACTCAGCTCCAGGTAATTTCGGAAACTTCTCCCACAAAGTAGACCTTCACTAGGGGCACGGTGGTGGTTGGTATTTGCGAGCGGATTATCTCCTTTTCCCACTTCCGCAGTTGGGGCACTCACAGTATTTGGGGTGTCTCCAGAGTCCTGCAGGAGCACTCTACTTCCTTCACAGGGTCTGTGGGTCCTCTTAGGATTCCTGGTTTGTTCTTGCAGTTATTCTGGAGCTAAAATTCGCAATGTGAGCCTCTGCATGCTGCTGTGTCCATCCGAGTAGGAGCTGCAATGTAGTCCTGCCTCCCATCTGCCATGATGATCTCTCTTCCCAGGCCAACCTTTTCGTATCTTCTCTGGCCATCAACAATAATAGCCATTTTAGGCACATTTCTAGGGAGACTACTTCAGTTTCTATAGAATAAAGAAAAAACATTAAACAGTTTTGCGTATTTTGGGAAACTGAAAAGTGACCAAAAACTTATAATATGAAAACCACAATATCACAGGTAAGCAAATCACACCCCTTCTAGCAGTGCTATGTACAAGGTGTGCAGGACATTGAACGAGTAAGATCTTTTCGTTTTTCTTTGATATGAAGTTTATAGACTAAATGGAAACTCCCAAAATTTACTTACATGTTATGTACCCCAGAAAAGGCAGATAAATGAGGAAAGTCTAGTCTTTATTTGGACAAGATGTCAATAGTCTTTTTTATGATTTCTTGGGTTTTATTTAAACCATAGAAATCAAGATGATAATGTGAAACCTCATTTTTGAAATAAGAATACCTAATAAGTAGGGAAATATTTGTTGCCATATTTTGACACATCACTTGATATACTATAGAAAGCAAGATTGCAATTAAGTGCTGACAGAATCAGCTCTACACTATAAGGGGCCAACGCATCTCTTATCAAAATTTTCATTTTTGTTTGTCCATAAGACAATTTAGTTGCAACCTCTGAATGAATATGTGTATTAATAACTTCACTCAGTTTCATAGACCAATCATGGAAACCATACAATAATGTGTGTTTCATGTGACCCAAGGTAACAGAGCAGCTGCTAGTATTGGTGCCATTTTGGGAGGAAAAATAAAACAATCCTCTGACTGATTAAAAATACTTGCCCTATGAGATTCCATCTTCGTATATGCTTTCACATCTCCTTCTCCAGTATGTCCAATCCCAGGTTCTTTTCTGTACAGTGTACAGTATATTCTGTTTTTGTTGTTTATCTCCCTAAGCCAGTGATGCGTTCTTCCATTTAGTGTTCATTTTTTATGATATCTGGGTCATGCTGGCATTGGAGTTATCATCATTCTCATTTTCATTATCTGAGCTCTTAGAAAGGATGGTGATAATATTCACAATGTTAAAAATTAAACTAGCACTCTTTTGATACAAAGCACAATAGTTAATCCACAGAGAAAGTCAAAGATGGGTTGTTAACTTTCATATTTACCATGCACTTAAGTTGTACACTTAAGTCACATCACTAGGAGTGATGCAACAATGGATGATCCATTATTGTCAACCATAAATTATGCTTGCTCACATTAATGGTCAGGAAAAACAGCAACTGCAGAAAGCAGATAATCTATGCCATGTCCATTAGACACTAACACCAGTATTGGTTTTAGCTCTATTTTTTGTACCACCATATGGATTTGTACATTTTCCCCCAAACCTGGTCACCTATTGCCAAAGACTGGGACTTTTTACATCCCATGGAGAAGTTTCCCAGCATGATTGATCACCCACTGGAAAACTCTAATATTGTACAGTGGGCTCTTGAAAGTGAAGCAAAGATTATTCTTGGTGAAGGAGGAATTGGACAAGCCCTGAAGATAAAATTTTGCCTGGAGAAGTGGTAATATGTATAACTTGATAATATGAGAGTCAGAGGACAGTAATCTCACACGTTTTAGTGGCATTAATTAGGGCAGGCATAGGAAGATAGGAAAGACTGACTTGGAGGCTGTTAAAGTATTTCATGAATGAAGTAAAGAAGATTGCAGGGGGCCCCTTAAATAACAGCAATAGGAAGAGATAGGAAAGAATGTGAGGCATTTTGAAATAAGTAGCAAAACTTATTGACTCGCTCACTGGATATGGGAAATGGAGGAGATGTTTGAAGATAACTTCAGGTTTTTAAGACTAATCAGAGAAATAATGTCACTAACAGACAGTGAAATTGAGTTTATTTGAGTTTTCTAAACAAGTGAGTTAAGTTTAGAAAGTGCCTTACTTAAAGCATAAGTAAGATATATGATTGGTATTTGAATATACTGGGACTGAAGCTTGTTGATAAGGATAGTACAAAGCCTAGTTGACCATTCTGTGGAACCAATATAAATTCCCTATGGAGTCAATATTATCCAAAAGGAGGACTATTTTCCACTTGTATGGAAGGAAAACAAATACAATTTTTAAACGTTTGAATGAATAATAGAGAAGAAGCAATGGAATGGAGGTTATTTTTACTCCAACTACCTAAACTCCAGGTTTTCTTAGATCTTGGGAAGAAACTACCCCTTGTCCTGTTAATGGTTGTGCCCTACAGAAAGTTGCCAATCTACCTAATGAAGAAACTGCTTACTACTCACTTCTTTGCATCAACACCATTCTAAATATGCCGGTTTTGAAATGTGCTCAGGGAACCCATACCATCTGATATGAATAGCCTTGAGGAACCATATGTAATTCAGGGAATTTGATTGGTTCATGAAGAAAGACCACATCTACCACATAGTTGGCTCCAATTAAGTCTTTTTTATTTAAAGGAGAAGAAAATGTTAAAAGCAAAAATAAGACTTCTTATAGAGAACCAAAGATATTTTGAAGGAGTGATAAAAATGACCATTGGTTAAAAAATATAATAGGTGATTTTAATATCAGTGATCAGGGACAAAAATATAAATAATGATTTGGAACAGCAAAGGGAGAAACACTAAGAAAAACACAAGGAAATGGAGTGAAATGATCAGAAGCAAAACATAATTTGTGGAAAATGGAGTAAGTGCAGGAGCAAAAGGAGTAAATGTAAGAGAAACCCTATTCAAAGAAATAATAGAAGAAAACTCATTTGAGCTGAAGGAAAACTTGAGTTATCAAAATGAAAGTCCATAGCAATGACTGAGTAGAATAAGTAAATTACATCTTTGCTCGTGTAAATTTATATACATATGCTAAATATATAGACATATCTAGGCAAAATATCTGTACACTAATGGTGAAGAGAAAATGTTATACCTTTATAACATTTGTTATAAAATTGTATAGAGCTGATTATTTACAAAAGAAAGAGCATCACAGCAGCATAGAATTCCTGACTTGCAATATTGGAAAACAAGACAGTGCAACTATGTTTATAAATCTTAGAGGAAAAGACTGCAATTTAAGGATCCTATATTTAGCCAAAATATCATTTATAGAGGAGGGCAAAACAAAGACTTTTTTAAAACAATTAAGACTATGAATATACCCATTCATTCTTCCTGGAGGAATTACTTGAAGAAGTATTATAGCTAAAGGAAAATTAAAACAGATATCCAAAGAGGATAAAACATTGTATAAGAATCAGTGGAAGGTAGTCTATCTGAAAATTTATAGATAAATTTAAAGCAGTGATAACTTTAATTGTGATGTGTGCTAAGGAAGAGTTCTCAAAATATGTTACATACAATAAGAAATAAAAAATATGGCATGGAACTACAGTTTTAAATTATTCCAAATACACTATAGGAGTAGGAGTATGGATAGAAGAGGTTTAAAAATCTTATTTTTGCTTTAAAATTTTTTCCTTTGTTGATAGGGCATATCACTTATGAGATGGTGCAAAACTGGAATTAGTGTCTTGAATATGACATTCAGTAAAGCAAAGATGATTATTTCCGTTAAGAGAATGAATTTTCTTATTCATAGGGATATGCATGCTGGGTAAAGCTAAATATCTTTCTGTGATATGATTATATATCACATGATTTATTAAAATGTACTTTCAGAACAGTTATTGAAGACATCTTCCTGATTTTAAGGTATACATTTATATTTATTATTGAAAACATTTAATGAAAGCTTACGTACTACAGTCCGAAAACACAGGAAGGAAAAGGAAAAAATTTGCCACCTTTTGGGGAGATAAACGTACCCCAAAATGCATATAAAATTAGATCAGTACTATAATAGATGTATGCAGAAGCTGAAATGAAATAGGAAAAAGATGTGAAAGACTTAGCTGTGAGGATGTTTATGAGTCTGCCAATGAGCAAAATAGGAAAGGCATGCTGAACAGTGGGCATCTGTGTTATGGATGAGAAAATGCAGGTGTTTATCCCAGGTAATTAAGCCATCCAGTGAAATTCTTAAATTGAAATGCATTGAAATTGGTGTGAAAATGAGATATCTTACGTGCAGCCTATTGAAAGCAGTTCTGAATGCTTGAGTCTTGTTCCAGTATTTTTAAATTTTAGAGGAATTGTGGCCTAAGTATTTTTAAATTTCAAAAAGGCAGCATTTAGAAGAATTGTGTGTAGCAATCAGATGTTCATTATATATTGCCATTAGTTTTTTCCAAAGGAAGGAAGACATAGATTTCCTGGCTTATTTTTAAACAGCAATGAGCTTAGGAACTGTGACTTTGAAACAGGTTTCACTTCTCCCTTCCCTGTTTAGGTCACCTAGGATCTAATGAGGAGAGGGCAGCCCTCTTGCTTCAGTAGTAGCCATGGCTGCTCTGCATGGTTATATAAGATGGGTAGGCTTGTTAGGCGGTAGCCACAACCTGTTCGTTTCCACAGAGGAGAGAGAAGCACGATTAGCTGTTACATTGCTTGTGTACTTTTCCAATATTCCTGCCTAGTGCGAAGGGAAAGGAGGGCTTCCCAATATCAGGGTGGAAGATATTTACTCTCACTGCTACCATGCTGAAAGTTAGATCTTTTTTTAAAATTGAGAAATCACAGAATAATTATATGGCCTAATAGAGATTTTCAAACATAAATTCTAATGTTTTGTTCCTCTGTTTACACATTTTGTTAGCTTCTATATATCAGAGGATTCCCTGTAAATTACAGAATCTTAAATATTACAAATTCTCATGGGAGGTTGGTTTTATAGAGATGGATAATTTTTTTTTGGTTTTGGTAATGTGCTTATCTCTTTTGTTTTATAATTATGTAAATGTTGAAATTTCTACTGTAGGAGCCATAATTACATAGAATGTGATAAGAGAGGTTTCTAGCTTTTTTTTTTTTTTTTTTTTTCAAGTAGAGATGGAGTCTCGCTGTCTTGCAGAGTCTGGTTTTGAACTCCTGGCTGCAAGCAATCCTCTCACCTTGGCCTCCTAAAGTGCTGGGAGTACAGGCATGAGCCAGTGTGCTTGGCCTCTGGCTAATATTTTTTATATCAGACACCCATAATACTTTAGTGGCAACCTATGTAGTATTGCTTTAGAAAGTTTGGTTCTGTTCATCGTTTTTTATTACAACCTTTCTTGGTGAAATGATTTATTTACATGTTATTTACAGTTTCTGTCCCTGTTAATTGTCCTGATGTCTAACTGAGGTGTTAAAAACTGATAAGCAGTAGGCTTTTCTATTTAATGCTGGAAGAACAAGCTGCTTGTGATGACCCAACAGGGACATGAGGAAGGTTTGTGAAAGGGGTGCATTCATCCAGCTCTAATCCTTGTTTTCAGAAAGGCAGTGTCTTTAAGTGTTCTCTAATTAGTGAATAGATATGGTTGTAAATTCTTGTAGACACCTCTTTTGTAGGACAGAGATGGTTTTCCTGGCTTGTCTAAATCTTTGTTTTGCATTTCTTGTTAGTAAAAATTTAAGATGAATATTTAAAATAGGAAATATAAAAGTAATTTAAAAACATGTAATTAATGGTATTTTATCAGTATGGTCCAACATGGTATTTCTTTTTTAACATCCTCATAATTAGAAACTTGAATATTATATTTCAGAAAGTGGTGTCTACAAACTAAAATGTT
The DNA here is from genome assembly GCF_000001405.40 of Homo sapiens. Classification (NCBI taxonomy): domain Eukaryota; kingdom Metazoa; phylum Chordata; class Mammalia; order Primates; family Hominidae; genus Homo; species Homo sapiens. The sequence continues at coordinate 37,404,188 of NC_000014.9, forward strand.
TTTATTTTTTGTTTGCTTGCTTGTTTTGCTGATTTCTTTGTATACATGAAATGTTTACTGCAATGAAATAAATTCTTTTTTGGGTTTAGTAAAATTGCTTCTACCAGTCACCTAGGAAATATAAGCTAGGGAACAAGACACTGGTATTTAGTCATACCAAGAGGAAATATATTGCTTCAGTGAACTGAATATAAAACATGATCAGTGAAAACACCTGGAAATCAGAAAGAACAGATTTTAGTTATGCTTCTCTTTTTCAAAGAACTTAAGTGCTTAGCTATTATTGTTAGTGCTGGAGAAGTAAGTTGGCAGTGACATTTGAAATATGATAAATAAAAGCCTGCAGAATGTCTGCTTCTACTTGTAGCACTTGTCTGATTCCTTCTCCAGAAATTGCATAATGGAAACTACCATAGATTTAATGCCACTCTAATATATCACCGTTACTTGTTTTAATAAATGCATTCTCTATTGCTTTGTAATGATAAAGCTATAGTTACTGAAACTGTCAAAGTTACAGAAAGAGAAGGATAGGAGCTTTTTGTCTTTATCACCTGTATTAATAATTGGAGATAATTACTGCAGAGCAGCTGGCTGTTGGTTTTAGGGAGCATCAATTGTTCTTCTTACCCAGCTGTTGACTAATAAGGATAGTCAACACATCTGTTTCAACAGCTGGTAATTAACAAAAGCCTAATTGCTGCAACTCTTTTAACATCCAATCTGTGAAAAAGAAGGGATGTAGAAGAATATTATTTACTTTGTGCTTTGCACTTTCTGAAACCAGTTTCTCTTTTTTCTCTCTCCTCACTTTTTTTTTCTTACTTTGAACACCACTGCCTTTGTATGAAGCATTGAATGGCAGGAGAACACAATATGGTAATCCAGAGCTTAACTTTTTTAGATCTTTGTTGGTGTTTCTTATTGCAACATTTCTTTGCTAACTTGCAAGATAAAATGGATCAAAAGCATTTTGAGTAGTTCTATACAACAGTTAAAATCCGCAGCAGTGTGCCCTAGGCTGTGCTGCTGTTGTCTGAAGCATCCAAAAGGAAACAGGGGATTCTTTTTTCTTATGCTTTTCACATGCTTAGACACTACTCCCAAATAATTTCCACATTCATATACAGAATTTTTGTTTAAATTACTGCATATGTGATTAACATAAATGAAGTCAGGTTCATCAAAGCCTCTTCCTTTGGTTAAAAACCATTTTAATTGTCATCTCTTAAAAACTTCAGTTTACTCGTTTTAATGTCTATATGCCAACTAAAAGTGTTTAAGAAAACTTAGTGTATTTGTGAAATCTTGCTTGGTTTATTTTACGTTAAAATGTGGTTTGGTCTTTTTAAAAAGTTGCTTTTAAATTAGATAACTTTGATAATTTCTTGTTTATTTTTATAATAAATGAATAAGATATTTGCTGGCTTGGACATGGACACCTGAATAAAACTGTTCATAAATGAGAGACTTATAAATTAATATTTCTTTTATTTGAATACTTTTAGTACTTTCATTTAATTGTGAACTGTTTCAGTAAAAAAAAAGTCTTTCATATAGCCTTGATTATAAATCTTAATGTGTTTCTGCAGTTATAATTCTTTGCTAGATATGAATTAATGTGTACATGCCAAAAATTTTGCTAATTTTTCTCCAATTTAAAAAGTTTCCTTGTAAAACAATATTGATTAAAATATTTTCCTTTTTTAAGAGTTTTTTTTTTTTCAGTTTTCATGGCTGTTTTTTCAAGTCATTTTCATATTCTTTTATACTTTCTTTATAGCCTATGCACCTAAAAAACTTTTTGATGAATGAAAAATGTGTTTGTATTAATTAAAGATAACATAATCATACTGATTTTCCTTTTAATACATTCATAAAATTTTAGAATAATTTTATGGTTAATTTGATAGACAATTATTATGGTGCTTATTTGAGTATCCAGCAAGTCCTTAGCTAAAATGATAGACAAGTTCACTTGATTAAACCTGCTTCACTAACTTTTCATTTGGCAATATTTCTATGCAGGCAGTTCTTTAATTGATGTTGAAATGGTATAGAAGAAATTCTACCCAGGTGCTTGTCATGGACTGAATTGCAGATTGCATAATTTCAAAATTTTTTGCTGGCAAGACAAGTTTGGTTCAGCATGTGTTCAGGTGATGAAGTGTACTGTAGATGTAGTGAAAAAACATACACGATCCTGAACAAATAAACAAAATACTGCTTGCTAAAATTCTAACTAAATAAAAGGGCACTGGCATGTAGAGAAATGTTTACGACTCAAGTGTAAAGGAGGGAAATAGTGTCATTTTGAGAAATGTTTGCTTCTTGAGTTTAAATAAGAATTTAATTTTCTCTGTGTGCTCATGTTCTTAGGTAGTACCAGAGAGCTTAGTGAAAGGAATGTATCATGCCATGAAAAAGGAGAGTGGACTTTTTTGAGGAACCCACATTCCATCTGATGCTTTAAGTATTTTCTTGTGCGTAATTTGTTTTTATTTCCTGAGAAAATGACCTCAAGAACAGTTGGCTTGGTAGATGAAAATTCAATAATTTAATAGATATTTTCTGAAGACCATTAAATACTATGTGATTAGTCTCTGTTCTAGACATTAAAAGTGGTAAATCTCATTAAATGATGAATAGACTACTAGTGAAACCAGTGAAATAGTCAGTGGTTTTTACATATAGGTAAGAGTGGCTTTCAGAGTTGGAGTCAAGAAGTCTCAGTATTTAAGTAAAGTAACGGGCATCTAACTAGCAACAGATTTACGATTTTAGTATCTTTTGAATTAGGGTTCTTTCAACTTAAAAGTTACAAAGAAAAGATAAAGTCTCTACAGTCTAAATTAATGCACTAAGAAATGGTTCAAGACAAATATTTTAAATTGCAAAAGGCTTAAGTAAATTATATCAGACACTAAAAATAAAAATATAGAGTTGTTAAAATAAATGATAGTAAATGGACAAGAGCTAAAAATTGGACTAAACAGTGTCACCTCTGGAGTTAATGACAATAGTATATAGTGGCACATTTGAGGTCAGAGAAGTTGGGAGAGTAGTTAATGCATAGATAGACTCACTACTAATCCAAAGTCTAATTCTGGTTCTGCCACTGACCTTTCTATATAACTTTAAACACTGAGTGTTTAAATAGATCATTTCCTAGTGAATGGTTTTCCTACACCATGGATTTGTTTCCCTAAAGGATTCACATTGTCAAAGGCAGTTGGGAGGAATATTTCAATTTCTATTTTTGAACATTTTATCAATTATATAATTAGTCATATTTACCTTTTAAAGAGTGACACTATGATAACCTCTAACTATGTGTAAGTTAGAATATGTGGCCGTTATTGGATATCAGAGACTTATAACACACACCACTCAACTGAACCACACCAGCTGCTTTAGTGATTAAACTGCTTTAAATAGTTCTTATTTAAATAATTATTATGTAGTGTTTAATGTAGTACATGAGAGACCATTGTTTAGACAGGAAGGATATTGTCACACAGGTAATACTGAGCTTAAAAGTGATAATATTGGAAATTTACCTTGTACTATTCTTAATCATTTAATCAAAATTCTTATCTAACCAATCTTTATATCTCCCAGTATGCTTTATTTTTTCTTTTCTTTCTTCTTCTTCTTCTTTTTTTTTTTTTTTTTTTTTGGAGACAAGGTCTCACTCTGTCACTCAGGCTGGAGTACAGTGGTGTAATCATGGCTCACTGCAACCTGGAACTCCAGGACTCAAGCAGTACTCCTGCCTCAGCCTCCTGTGGAACTGAAACTACAGGTGTGCACCACCACGCCTGGCTAATTTTTTATTTATTTATTTATTTTATTTTTTATTTTTTGTGGAGACAGGCTCTTACTATGTTGCCTGGGCTGGTCTAAACTCCTGGCCTCAAATGGTCCTCCTGCCTCAGTCTCCCAAAGTGTTGGGAACACTGGCGTGAGCCACCACACTCAACTCTCCTAGTATTTCTAAAAAACAATGTTAAGAGAAAACAATATTATTAGAGTGATTATATCCAAAATTTTATTTTACTTTTCATATATTTTTATTTTAGCCTAGAAAACCCCACATTAAATACTTGAAAATGTCAATCTGAAACTTTGCTTGTTGTGTACTTTTTATTTAAAAACAAGGTCAGGTGCAGTGGCTCACACCTGTAGTCTCAGTACTTTGGGAGGTCAAGGCAGGCAGGTCACTTGAGCCCAGTAGTTCGAGACCAGCCTGGCCAACATGGTGAAACCCCATCTCAACAAAAATTACAAAAATTAGTTGGGTGTGGTGGCATGTACCTATAGTCCCGGCTACCCAGGAGGCTGAGGTTGCAGGATCGTTGAGCCCCAGTGGTCGAGGCTGCAGTGAGTTGAGATTGCACCACTACACTGCAGCCTGGGTGTCAGAGGGAGACCCTGTCTCAAAACAAAACAAAAAAAGTCAGGAAAATTATTTAAATAAATACATAAACCAAGCTAATCTACCAAATGTGAGAATTATAAACAGTTTCATCTATTTTTGATGGTTGTGATATGTGTTAACTTTCAACATAGACTTCTGCTTCCTACCGTGTGGCAGGCAGATACTGCAGGGACCCTCCTGTTGCTAAACTGCTAGGTCCTGGATGAAACAGTTTCATCCATGCCAGCATTGCTGGTTTCACAAAAAGTAGATGAAATGTGTAAAGATTTTACTTCACCAAAAAATGAGAGTTGAACCAGAGGCAACCCCCTTCCCCATGATAAGCACACAGAAGGGCCACAGCTGCGCTAAGAAAACACATCTATAGGAATATTTTGTATCTTCATTTTGGTCCCAATCCTTGATAAGCAGCAAGGCTAGGGAGCTGAACCAGAAACTCCTGCATTATTTCAGGCCTCTCTTGGCTCCCTCATGGAACAGACACAAGTACTCCTTGGAGGAAGGCACCCCCAGTTTAGTCCAGCAGGATTCCCAAGATTATTATCAGGAAAATATGATTTCAAAGTTAAAGATCAATCAAGCACATCAGGAAGAAAACCATCATGAGTGACAGCAGACACAACACAACAAAAACAAACAATAAAGTCATCTAAAGAATATAAGTAGCTATGTATGAAATGCTTAAATGATATTTAAATAAATAGAGTATGAACCACAACCCTGAGTTATCCACAGGTGCTTTCTAGGAAACATTAGGCAAATCTGGAAAAAAAAAAGTTGCAAGTTCTTACAAAAAAAGACAAAAAAATTATTTAGAACTAAAACACTCTGTGAGACATTGACCATCAGATTATACACAGCCAAAAAAATAATTTGTGGCTGGGCGCAGTGGCTCACACCTGTAATCCCAGCACTTTGGGAGGCCACCGCTGGTGAATCACGAGGTCAAGAGATCAAGACCATTCTGGCCAACATGGTGAAACCCCGTCTCTTATAAAAATACAAAAATTAGCTGGGTGTGGTGGCACACGCCTGTAGTCCCAGCTACTTGGGAGGCTGATGCAGGAGAATGTCTTGAACCTGGGAGGCAGAGGTTGCAGTGAGCCGAGATCGCATTACTGCACTCCAGCCTGGCGACAGAGCAAGACTCTGTCTCAAAATAATAATTATTATAATTCATACATTAGAAGACATATAAGTTGGAATATATCTAAAAAATTACCCATAGTTCAACACAGATGGATGAATCAAATATTAAGAGATTTACAGTGAGATGGTTCAACAAGCATTTAATTGGGCTCCGAAAAGGAGAGAATACAGGCGATCCAGGAAAAGCATCATTAGAACTGAAAATGACTGAGATTTTTCTAAAACTAATGGAAGATATCTATCCACAGCAAGATAAGAAATCTAAACCCAATCACACCATAATCAAATTGAGGAATTCTAACATGAAGGAATTCTAAACATCTAGCATTCTAACATAAAATTATAAAAGTAGCCAGCCAAAGGAAAAATACAGATTCCTTTCAAATGAGCAACAATTAGACTTGAAGATGACCTCTACATAGAACTGTGGAATTCAGGAGACATTAGAATAATGCTTTAAATATACAAAAGAAAATAACTGATGACGAGTTAATGGGTGCAGCATACCAGCATGGCACATGTATAGATATGTAACAAACCTGCACGTCGTGCACATGTACCCTAAAACTTAAAGTATAATAATAATAAAATTTAAAAAAAGAAAATAACTGCCTGTTTAAAATTACATACCCAACATGAATAACCCTCAAGAATGAATATGAAATAAAGACATTTTCAGACAACTAAAAACTGAATTTTTACAATTTCAGAATTGTATTAAAGAAACTTCCAGGAGCTGTTGTTTAGACACAGGTACATGGTTCTATAAGGAACCTCCCAACCAGGAAGGAATCGGAACACAAAAGAAAAGTGACTAATATAAATGAATATTCGGTCAACAAAATAGTAATATTTTGGGTGGTTTAAAACTATGTAAAAAGAATTAAAATACATTTTAAAAATAGCAAATAAATTAGGAGGCAAGTAAATAGAGTTAAAGGATTTTAAGGTCCTCTTATTGTCCAAGAGTATTAATATTAAATTTTTGATAAGCCAAGCTATATCTTGTAATTTCTGAGGTAACCGTTAAAAGAATAGAAAATGAATGTATGGCATTCAGAAGTAAATAGGGGGAAATGGGATGATAATAAATGAATCAATTCAAAAGTTAGCATATTTTTTTATTTTAAAAATATAACATAGAACTAGCGAGGAAAGTAGAAAGCATACAACAAGATGATAGATTTAAAGACAAATTTATTGGAAATTTCTTTAAATGTCAAAGGATCAAATGTTCCATTTAAAAACAAAGATTGTTTAACTGGAGAAAATATGCTGTTTACAGGAGTCACATCTAAACCTAGGCATATAAAATAGATTGAAATTTAAAAAATATAAAAAGCATATCAGACAAACACTATTCAAAAGAATGCTGTTATAGCTATATTAACATCAAATACAATTTGAAGCTATGAGGTCTTAACATTTTGTTTATTTTGCATTATATTTAATAGCTGAAGTCATGTCTCCCTGACAGAATGGTTTCCTGTTGCAATGCAGTGATGTTACACAACACATGATTTCTTTCACACAACCACTATGAATTTCTTTTTTCCTCATTCTACCATTATTTACTCTAAAGAACCTGTTCTAGAAAAGCGTGTATTTTAGATATTTTCTTTCATTGTCCCTAGAAATATGTTCATTCTAGACAGGACAAGCGTATTGAAAATGTGCTCAGTTTTTCCATTCCTCATGTTCTCAGGTATCTGGCAACTAACCAAAAGCTTATAAAGATCATCAGAGATTCTGGGTAGTATGTAAACCTGTGGCCACTCTAGTTCTCTATGGTTGGTAAACTATGGCCTCTGGACCAGCTGCCTGTTTTTGTAAATAAAATTTTATTGGAACACAGCCACATCTGTTCATTTACATATTGTCTATGGCTACTTTCTTGTTACAATAGCAGTTGTTTCTTGTCCTAGAGACTGCGTGGCCCACAAGCCTAAAATATTTATTTTATGGTCCTTAATAATTTATTTTATGGTCCTAGTCTAGACTACCACATGGCTTGAACTTATAGTTTAAGCTAAGTCCTTTCTCACCTTATTCGCCTATCACTTAGTAGAGTGCTGTTCCTTACAGACATCAGTTACTTCATAATAATATCACATCAAAGGTTCAATTGTGCCTCTTATATAGCTTACATATTCACTTTGATATGGCTATATGAGATAGTAAGTTATCTCTTTTTATCATTGCATAATAATCCTGTGAGATGGATATTATCACTTTCATGCTACCAATGAGAAAATTTAGGTTCAGAAGCCTTAACTTGTTCAGTCATAGAGCTGATTCCTGGTAGCCTAACCCAAGCTTGCTTAACTCCAAAGACCTTGCTCTTAACCACCTCATGGTATTACCTCGTATCATCTCAAATGAAACAATGTATGTGGAAGCTCTTTGGAAATGTGAAATACTAATCTGTTTTAATTGTGACATAATATGTAATACTATACTTCAACAATATCTACCAATATCTGGTATGTGCTGAGCATTGTATTCATGTTTTGGGACTACTATATAGTCCCTACCTTGACACGTATGTATGTAAATAACTGTGGTGTAAGGTAGGTTGAGATAGTTGTCATAAAAAAAAGGCTTTAAAAATCACTAAGGCAAAAACAACCCAAAGGTTTATCATTGGAATGGAATAGATAAATAAATTGTGGTATATTTATGTTCATTATATACTGTACAGCAATTATAATTGTATACAATAAGGAACAAGAAACAACATGGGTGAATCTCACAAGATTAATGTTGAGCAAAAAAACAGAAAAGAATATATATTATATTATTGTATTGATATAAGTTTCAATAACAGGCACAACTGATCTATGACAGTAGAAGTCAAGATGATGGTTACCTTTAGTGAAGGTGAAGATTAGGTAGAAGCATGAGGATATGTGAGGGTGATGGAAATAATTCTATTTATTTATCTAGTTTCCTGTTAAACAGGTGTGTTCACTTCATGAAAATTCATTGAGCCCTGAACTTTTCTGTTTGTATATTATACTTCAATGAAACATTCATGTAAAATAAAATAAAATTTAAAAAATATTACTAAGGATTTAGCAGGTGAAAAATTTTCTGGAGTGGGGAAGATAATCAAGAAAGGACTTTATGTAAGAAGTAATAATTAAAATGGGGCTTGAAGGATTGATGTAGATTTGATAGCATGGCATAGATTTGGTGTTCTAGGTGGAGGGAATATTACAATTAGGCAGAATTTATGGCAGGTCCTTGGCTAAAGTGAGTGTGAAGGAATAAAAGAGAGTTCAATGCCACATTGTGGAAGGCCTTAAATGCCAGCATGAATGGTTTATACTAACTTCAATATTATCAAATACTTAATACACATCTTTATTTGTACCATGTATAAAAGCGTGCATATGTGTGTAGTTACAACTCTCAAGGAGCTCATAGTTTAAAAAGGAATATAAATATTAATGTATTATTTTAATAGTATTAAATAATCATTTAAATATAAATGTTAATGTAAATATTGAAACAAATAGCAATAGCAGAAAAAGAACTCCATAAAGAAAGTGAGAAGATATGCCTAAACTTGTCTCAAGTTTTCCAGCTTCTAGAAGCTATCCATGTTCCTTGGCTTGTGGCCCCCTTTCATCTTCAAGGTGAGCAATGGCCAGTTTAATCTTTCCTACACTCCCATCTCTCTGGTTCTTATTCTTTGCCTCCCTCTTCCACTTAAAAGGATACTTGTGACTACATTGGGTTTACCCAGATAATCCAGGGTAATCTTCATCTCAGGGTCACCTGATTAGCAACTTTAATTCCACCTGCAACCTTAATTCTCCTCTTTTCATATAACCTAACATATTCACAGGTTCTGGGGAATAGGATGTGGGCCACTTTGGGAGACATTATTCTGCCTGTTATGCCCAGGATAAGATCTCCTCCCAGATTACATGTGGGCATGAGACCACAGGTAGAATCAAGTAGCAACATCTGGTTGGAGTGAGGGATTGGGAAACAAGGCAGTTCCTAAGACACCTTAGTTTAAAAGGCTTTTTTACTAGGCTGTTTTATCCCATAAACGTAGTGCCTCAAGGCTACGGGCTTTTCAAAGGCCTGCAACAATGCGGGGGAGTCAAATATAAGTTAAAAACTAACCAAACACAGTATTTCTGCAACAAAATGTAAATATTTACAATTAGTGAGATAAAGGAAGACCATAAATAGCTTTACATCAGTTTACCTAGGTTTAACATCAATTGATTTCAGTACCAAAAATTTTTTTAAAGTTCTTTTTTGTTTTCAGAAGTGTTGGAGTTTTTGTATTGTGAATAAAGGATTATTAACCTATATAATTTTAATGACTTTATTAAAAATCAAATCTAACATAATATAATCTTTAATAATACCCATAATACTTGAGAAAAGATAAGTTGACTTCTCCCAGTTTAGTGAATGACATATTTTCATAATAGGCCATCCATTATCAATAGTCCAAACATTTCCTAAAGGCATGAAACTAATTTATACACCCACCCAAAATGTAAGAGATTTCTAGTCATTTTACATCTTAGCCAGTATATCCTACTATTATTAGTCATTGTAATTTTACCTCTTCAATTGTGGGTGAAGTGACAGCATATTGGAATTTAAATCTTATGTCCCTGAAAACTAGTGATGTTGAGCATGTGTATCATGTTTGTCAGCCATGTAGATATCTTCCCTTGTGAAATATCTCTTCATGTCTTTTCTCTCATTACTTCAAATATTCCATCTTACTGCCCCTGGCCTCCATGGTTTCTTATAAGAAATTCACTGTTAATCTTATTGAGAATCCCTTTTAAATAATCATTTACCTTTTACTGCTTCAAGGTTTCTTCTTTGTTTTTGCTGATATAGAAGCACAATTACATGTTTATGCCTCTATATCTTACTATTTGGTGTTTTGAAAAAGCCAAAGTGATACAATACTTTGGAGGGTATAAATTTAGGCAGAAACCGAATCCAAGTAAACAGGCACAGGTCTGGATTCAAGATTAAGCCAAGTACTAGGAAACAAGCACAGGAATGGAACTCAGGCTAGTTGACTGAGAATAGTGTCTTAAAAACACACTTGTAAAACAAGCAGAATGAACACTTGCTGAATCATTGCTAGATCCAGCAGAGATTTTTTTTCCCTTTACCTTACCTGCATATGTGTAAATGGATAAATGCTTGGAAACTTGTGCCACCCCTGCCCCCAAAACAGAGTAGTCTTCTTTGGGAGTTAGTTATTGCAGTAGAGAGAAATCCTTATCATTATTATTCCTTAAAAATAAATTATATACTATTACTAATATTTCTGAGAAGCTGTAATACTACTTTTTTGCCAGGGGTCTGTAAAGTTGAGGGAAACACCATAGATGACCTTTTGTCACTAAATGGACTAACATCCAAAAACTATATATGTGCCTCCAGGAAAGGTTTGGATGGCATCTTAAAATAAACTATATGAGTTATGTTTAAAAAAATAATTCTTGTACCAATTTATTTAAATCAAATTAGATAATATAATTCACTGATAAAAATTAGCACAGATTTTGGCCGGGCATGGTGGCTCACGCCTATAATCCCAGCACTTTGGGAGGCCGAGGCAGGCGGATCACGAGGTCAGGAGATCGAGACCATCCTGGCTAACACGGTGAAACCCCTGTCTCTACTAAAAAAAAAAATACAAAAAATTAGCCAGGCGTGGTGGCGGGCGCCTGTAGTCCCAGCTACTCGGGAGGCTGAGGCCGGAGAATGGCGTGAACCTGGGAGGCGGAGCTTGCAGTGAGCCGAGATTGCGTCACTGCACTCCAGCCTGGGCGACAGAGCGAGACTCTGTCTCAAAAAAAAAAAAAAAAATTAGCACAGATTTTTTAAAGCACCAAATTTTGTCTAGTATTTATAGCATAGTAGTTAAAAGGAGAGACTTGGGCCATAATTCCTGAGTTCAAACCCTTGCTCCACCATTCATTAACTGGCTGACAAGTAAGTGATGTAACATTTTCCTCATCTACATAATAGAATAGTAATAGTAGCTACTATACAATATCTTGTGAGAAATGATAATATGAATATAGAATGCACTTAGAATAGTGTCTGGCATGTCTTCCTATTTTGCTGTGTCTATGTATAACTGTAGTACCATATTGTTAGGACTTGAAAGAAGACCAGGATTTGCCCCCTTATTAAGAGAGAATCTAAGTAGTTGATAATCTCTCTTTTATTTTCCTCTCTTCTAAAACAATAGAAATAGCATTTATTCATTCATTCATACTTGAAAGTATTCAAGCTCCTACTATCTGAAATTAGATAATATAGTATAAGTCTTATACGTCACACATCACTATACATATTTAAAGTATTATAAATTCTGGTATTGGTTGTTAATGATAAAGAGAATTCAACTTAAACTATACTTAACAAAAAATATTAAAATCAAGTCTTTAAAATGTATTCTCTTTTTACAGGTGATCATTGAAATCCTATGACATACAGTAAAAGGAGATTCTTGAGGAATATGACATTTTGTATACAGTCATGTATCACTTACAGTGGGGATACATTTTGAGAAATGTATCCTTAGGTGATTTCATCATTGTATGGGCATAATAGAGTGTATTTACACAAACCTAGGTAGTATAGCCTACTACACACCTAGGTTATATGGTGTAGCCTATTGCTCCTAGGCTACAAACCTGTACAACATGTTCAGCTGTGACACAGCAGCAAGTATTTATGTATCTAAACATGTCTACACATAGAAAAAGTACAGTAAAAATATAGGTGTTGTATTCTTATGGAACTATAGTCTTATATGTGGTCCGTTGTTGACCAAAGCGTTGTTATTCTGTGTGTGACTGTACTAATTTTGTTGGGAAGGAAAATTACATGATCTATGACAAAGAAAAAGAAAACTCTCCTAGTTACCTTGGTCAACAAGACTTTCTGCTGAAGATAGAATCATGAGGAAGACCGTAAACAGCAAGACCTCTCAGGGACTTGGACATCTTTCATTATGTGGAAAGGTTTTCAGGGTACCAGCTAGATCCACACTAGATTTTATTTTCTTTACTTGTTTTGCAGCACATCTTCTGCTTCTTCATCTGCTGAGCGATCCAGCTAGTTTTTGTTTTCCTACTGTTTATTTAATAATCACTTATTAAAGCATTTACTATGTCCCAGGCACTGTTACGTTTTACAGATTTTAACTTAGTTCTTCCTAACATCAGCCCTCTAAGATATAAAGTACAGTTACCCCATTTTGTAGGTGAGGAAGTTGAGGCACATAAAGATTTGCTAACTTGCCAAGATAGGGGAGTTTGTAAGTGGTGAAGGCAGGGTGGGACCCCAGCCTTTCTGGTTCCATAGACTATGCTTTTAATCACCATTGCTGCACTGTCTTTCTGGCATACATCTCTCTCCCCTGCCTTTCTCTCCTCCATGGCTTCTGCTCACTGCCCATGAATCAGTTTCTGCCTGTGAATGTTTTGAGTTCTGCTTCCACCACAAACTCTTTTCTTCTCTCTCTCATCATGTCAGACTATCTCATATATCACTCGACAGTGTATATATGACTACTTTTGACTGAGGAACCTCATTATCTCTGGTCTGATAAACAGAGAGACATGACATCAGGACAAAATAGAACAACCTCTAAGGAATCAGCTGTAGGGAACAATATACTATGGAAATACACAATGGTAAGCAATCCAAGCCTTCCTGTGAAGTGGAGGTTTAATTGAAACCTGGTCATTTTTATCCTTTTGAAAATAGCTTTTAACTTTTTGGGTATCGTTACACAAGTTACTTAGTTATGTTTCTTTTTACTAGGTTCTTAACCTTCTTCTGAGGTTAAAAATTAAAATCCTAGTAGGTCTATGGTCATGTTCTTTGAGAAATCATCTAACTTGATGTATTGTTTGAAGATACCCAATTATATATTTTATAGATGTGTTTAATAGTGCTAGCTTAATCATATATATTTATGGTTACTCTGGAAATAACTCTATTAAAATAACTATCACACATATTAAATTATACCATATTGAAATGTGGTCTTCTATGGTAAAATAAGCAATGTTTTCTGGATACTTGTTAGTTCCAACTTTCTTTCTAACCATCTATGAAACCTTGGACAATTTCCAAATGTTTCCCTGAACATGTTGTATTAGCAACAATTTCCTCCTCTATAAAAGTAAGGTTCCGTATTACCTCTGAGATCCTTTCCAAGTCTAAAATTATTTGCTTCTGTGATTTAATTTGTACTGTATGCTTCTTTATTTAGCAGATATCACACATAACATCAGATGTCTCTGTTCTAAGATAAAAACCAATTTCCATTCATGGTCTTGGAGTTACTAAAACAAGGCTTAACTGTATCAGACTATAACTATTAAAAACACATTTAAACCAAACATAACAAGATCTCAAGGAGAGATAAAAGTGGTTTATCCACAATACTGGTTAAGAATAGCGCTTAGTGATGTGAACAGTGTGGTCTTTTCTTTGTCATTCTGAGTTACTAGATTAAGCTCCAGTGAAACAATGTAGTTCATTTCTGATACAGTCCCAACACAAATGGCTGTCCTATTTAGATGGCATTGGTCAAGACTGATATCAAGATAGGTAACTATAAGACTAACCTTAGTTAACCAACCCATTTTTCAATCACGTAAGGTATAATAAAATACACTCTGATTATTCTGTGAACTTTGATTATTGTCATTAACTCTGTTATCAAATGATCATTTGATTCCATTATGTCACCTGGAATTATGTAATTTATATATAATGTATACAGTGGTATAAAAAGAAAATATGTATTTTGGAACAAATGGGTCTGAATTTCTATTTGAGTTCACTAGCTCTGTTATAATTAGAAATTACTTAAGCTTTATGAACCTATGTTTTATATCTTGCAAAATAGGGATAATAGGAACTACCTCATAGGTTGGTTATGAGAATAGAATATAGTAATATATTTTAAACACTCGAAAGAATGCCTAACTGATAGTAGGTGGTCAAAAAGTGGCATTGATTTGTAGTTAAGCTTGGATGTTTTAAAGCGATATCATTATAGGCAGAAAGTTTGGGCATTTTAAAATAAAGTATATAACTTTATTATCCATATAAAACTTTATATAGCTATATATATCTATATATAGTGTAAATGCACACTTACCACAGGACTCAGCAATTTCACTCTTAGGTATTTACCCAAGAGAAACAAAGTTATATTTCCACAAAAATGACCTCTATGTCGATATTTATAGCAGCTTTATTAGTAATTGCCAAAGAACTAGAAATCAGCCAAATGTCTAACAGGTAAGTGGATGTACAGATTGTGATACATTCATACAATTGAATACTACTCAGTGGTATAAAAGAATAAACTACCAGTACATGAAATAATATGGATGAATCTCAAAAAATTATGTTTAGGTAAAAGAAGCTAGACTCAAAAGACTGCATACTGTGTGATTCTATTTATATGACATTCTTAAAAAGGAAAAACTGTAGGGACAAAAATCACATCACTGATTGCCAGAGGCTGAGTGTGAAAAGAAGGCATTGACTCCAATGTTGCACAAGGACCATTTGGGGGTAACAAGAATATTCTGTGTCAAGACTGGATAACTTTGTCAAAATTTACAGAACTATATAGTGAAAATGGGTAAATCTTTACCTTATATAAATTATGACTCAATAAGTCTGACATTGAAAAATCCATATGTGTACTTACTTGCATATATGTTTACTTTGATAAAATTTTACCTAAAATATGAGTATAAGAAGAAAAAGTGTTATACTTGTGTAAAATGTTTATACTATAGTAAAAGTATAAAATATACTTGTAAATAATGAACCCAAATTCATAGAAGTGTTTTCTTTGGCGCTGGGAAGGAAGAAAGGGATGTGACTGATGAGTGTGATACGTGGAATGGGGTAGGGGATTTTTTTTTTTCTTTTTTAGAGACAGGGTCTCACTTTGTCGACCAGGCTGGAGTGCAATGGTGTGATCCTAGCTCACTGAAGCCTTGAATTCCTGGGCTCAAGCAATCCTCCTGCCTCAGCCTTCTGAGTAGCTGGGTCTATAGGTGCATGCCAGCCCACCCAGCTAATTTTAAAAATTTTTGTGGAGATGAGGTCTTGCTATGTTGTCCAGGCTGATCTCAACCTCCTGGGCTGAAGTAATCCTCCCACCTTAGCTTGCCAAAGCACTGGGAAATGAGGCATGAGCTACCATATAGGCATGAGCCACTGTACCTGGCTGAATTTTTTTTTTATGTGACGCAAAATAGCAATTTTTGAAAAAAAAAAAAGCAAGGTGTGTATAACAGTGTGTATAAAGCGCTATCAATTTTGTAAATCAGGGTAATTTATTTGCAAGTATCTATATATGCTTATATATGTACAGACTATCTCTGGAAGGAGGTACAATGGACAGATAACTAGTAGTCTCAGGAGAAGGGATTTGTAGTACTGAGGGTAGGAGGTGGGAGATTTAC
Source organism: Homo sapiens (assembly GCF_000001405.40). NCBI lineage: Eukaryota > Metazoa > Chordata > Mammalia > Primates > Hominidae > Homo > Homo sapiens. Next base: position 37,420,295 of record NC_000014.9, read on the forward strand.
TTTACATTGTATATTCTCTTACACTGAGTTTTGTTAGTTTTTGTTTAATGCATGCATTTATTTTTGCAAGTATACACGTAAATGAATGCATGCAGTTTTTATAAAAGTAATTGCCAGAAATATGGGAATAGGATGCCTGAAAGAAAAACAGGAAAAATATCTTGTTTGTTAATTTCCTTGATATTTTTGATAAGAGACTTATTTTTGACATATAGTATGATAGGATTATATGATATAAATATCAATCTAGGAAATACTATAGAAGTAAAGAGCACATTTAAATTGGTTGAGTGTTTCAACAATGCATGCAACAGATACCCAACTCAGACTAGCCTAAGTCACCCTCCAACTTACCCCCCAACAAAGGATTTATCTACCCTGGAAGTCCAGGAAGCAGATCTGGATCTGTTTTCTGGCATATGTGAATCCAAGAGTAGAAATGATATCATCAGGACTTGGTTTTCTTCTGAGGCTAGTGGGATGCAGTACTTCAATTAGACAACCTGGATCTTATACCCGAGGTGATGGGGGATGAAGTTCATTGTAGCCACAGAGACTGAACAAGATCACTGTAGCATAGGATAAGGGTATTTCTGAAAAAAGAAATGCTGCTGGATAAGCATATATCTGATAAAGTAAGGATATCGTAAAGCCAGAAAGTTTATAATAGCTTTGAACATAATCACTAGGGCCTAGGAAAAAAATTAGATACTGGGAATTAAGAAATTGAGTGAATTGAGTGAACTGTTATAAAGCAACCAAGTCTTCATAGTCAACTAAGTGTGGGAGGAGAAAGTGAAATTTTCAATAGTACCTTAAGCATGGGAATTTAAATTTATCACAGTCCCATTTTCATTATGAAAATTTCTAGGCAAAAACTACATTTCAGTGTTTTCCTACAAGAATTTTTGTTTTGTTGGTTGGTTTTGGTTTTGTTTTCTGTGCACAGGTACCAAGTAAAAGACTTCAAAACAATCATTTTATTTCAGCATTTGTACATACGTAGCACTGGCACATATTTATTTAGTAAAATCTCTATTACCCGTTCAGTATTTGATATTCCTTAAATGCATGTCTGAAGTCTGAAGTTTTTAAAGTTGAATGTGATATTTTTGATTCTTTTTGACCTGCCATTAGTCACAGTGGGTATCTGTGTCTTCTAAGTTACCATTTTAATCACATTTTATGGTATACTGAAAATTGGAAAAGCTTGCATTCTTTGACGTTAAGAATCAGCCATCTATTTTTACTTTAGATGCTTTTCCCTAGTTTTTTAGAATGTTTTATCTCTAATTATGGACTATGTCATGTTAAAGCACGCATTCAAACATCTTAAATTTAACTATAAAGTAACACTTGGATAGAATTTACCAGTTCAGAGAACAGATTAATCTTAATGCTAAAACTTACATGCAAAGGTCCAAACTGCTGCATGCTTTTAAAATTATTATCAAAATAGAAAAGTAGCATTCTGTAAAGTTCACTTTTATTACATTGATTAATTTTCCTATAATCAGGGTTTTACAATTTTTCTTATGACTTCTTATACAATAAAATAATTCCATTGAAATTATATGAATTCAGCAAAATTCTGAACCTGTGGCTCCAAACTTTCTATTACTTTTTAATTGTTGGTGGTGTCCTACTTTGTGAGGTTTGTGACAACAATTTGCTCTGTGTTACCTTTCAAACACCATTTAAAGCAAAGTGAAAGATAACCATTTTATGAAAATTTAACTTTGAATAAACAATACTAAAACCTGACTTACCAGTGCCAGATTTTCAAAGTTACTTGAAAACTGTTTTTGGTGTTGTTTGAAATCCTATGGGAATGATGGTGGGAGGGTGGCAAATTCTTTTTAAATTACTACGTTGAACCTCATTGAAAAAAACTGATTACCTGTTCTTTAAAACTCAAAAATTATAGCAGGAAGGAACAATAATGCCCCTTTAATAAAGTATCACTAGCATTTACGGTTGCTGCCGTTCTCCCCTTTCGGGATTTGTTTTTCTCCCACAGAGAAGGAATTGAAAAGGTTAAATCATAACTGTAAGAATCAGTCTGTAGCCTGCTGTATTTTTTTCACATTCAATATCAAAGATGGCTTGACAACATATTTAGAATTTTCTGAGTTTTACTATTAATAAAGTTAAAAGAAAATCTAGTATGTTCAGGCAGTGGAGCCACATTAAATTTGTATGTGAAACACCCATTGTACTTATCTCTACTGTAGATATTGCTCTGAAACCCATGTTCCACTTTCTGAATTCTGTGTATAAAGTTAAACATTGCAGAAGGGCATATATCTGATGGTACAGATAAATAAGGTTGAAGTTTAGTAATGAGCAAGATTGCTAAATTTAATATGTTCAAGTTTTTAGTGTTTGTATTATTAATGCCTTTAGACTATTTTCTGGTAACTTATGAGACACTGCTAAAAACATTCATAGGTTTTTTTTTTTAACTGTCAGTAATTTAAGACTACTGTTCTTACCGTGGTACTGTATTTTATCATACCAAAATGAATACTGAATTTCTTAAAATATTAATTACTTTTAGGCAAAGTTGTTATCTATGCAACAAGCCAGAGAAACTGCAGTTCAACAGTACAAAAAACTGGAAGAGGAAATCCAGACCCTTCGAGTTTACTACAGGTAAAATTCTTTTTAGCCTGGGGTTAAGTAAATATTGTTAGTTTGGGAAATGTTTCTACCTGATTTTACAATAGTGAATGAGGAAATACCTCAATGAAATTAAATATTATGCACTTAAAGCATTTTTATAACTAAAAAAGATTCAGGCTTATAGTATTTATTATTCTACCTCTTCTCTTTACTATATTTGGTAAAGTTTAAATTTCCACTTTCATTGTAACTGAAATTTACATAATCCATTACCAGTTGTCTAAATGAAGCCTGGATAGCTGTTGAGCTATTTGCCCATCTAAATATCACCTCTAAAACAATCGTAAATATAAATATAAAATATACATACATTTATACTTATACATATAAATGTAATATATATTTAAATATATATATTTTAAAACACACATGAGCAGCAATAATAACCTTTCATGTATTTTAATATGACAGACTTATTAATTTATGTTACAGGAGTATTCACAACTACCCCTGTAACATAAATTAATAAGGTAGGTATTTTTTAATGAAAATGAATAGAAATGTCAGAATGCATCTCTTATAGTAATGGTAAACTTTTGTTTCAGGTTTGTATGTGAGAAAGAGAAAAAAGATTTTGTATTGGGTTATGTGTAAAACATATTCTTACAGTGGATCATGGTAGAAAACATTGAAAAAACACACCGATGCACAATGCCATGTATATTCTTTCATTACTAAGTTTAAAAAATCCTCAAGTCTGAAATGTAGGAATTCACTAAGGGTGCTGTTAAGTTTTTGAAAGATTTTTGTTTTAATTTGGACCTTTTCTCAGAATAAAGTTAAAATGCATAAAATGCAATTAAATCAAAATAAGTTTTACTGAAGTACAATTAAGAAAATATTATGTCATGATATATCATGATATACATGCATCATTATTAATGGATAAAGTAACTAGATCTAGCAGCAAGTCCATTAACAACTTTAGTTTCAAGCCAGTGATGACTGTAAGTGGTATTTTTGGATAACTGCAAATGCTGAAATGTGACATGAAAATACCAGTGATTTCTATGGGTGCAAACTCTCAAGAACCACTGATATTACTACTGCAATTTGTTGCTCATGTTCATAATTGTAGGAAATACTGTAGTTCCATAAGAGTTGGTGAAAATAAAGATATAATTCTTTCCCATCCCCAAGTTAAGCACTCCTGCTTTGGAGCAATATTACTAACATCTGCAGTAGTTGGCTATTGTTACAGGTTGAATTATGCCACCCAAAAAGGTTATACTGATGTCCTAACCCCTGCTATCTGAGAATGTGATTTTATTTTGAAATAGGGTTTGTACAGAGGTAATCAAATTAAAATAAAGTCAGTAGGGTGGGCTCTAATCCACTACTAGTGGTGTCCCCATAAAAAGGGGAAATTATGGACACAGAGACAGACATGCACAGAGGGAAGACAATCTGAAGACACACAGGGAGAAGACTGCCATGTATCTACAAGCCAAGGAGGGCCAACAATTGCTGGTAAACACCAAACACTAGAAGAGGCAAGGAAGGACTCTCCTTTACAGTTGTCAGAAAGAACATAGCCCAGCCGACACCTGATTCCAGACTTCTATAGTTTCCAGAACTATGTGATATTAAATATCTGTTGTTTTAAGCCACACAGTTTGTGGTACTTTGTTATGGCTGTCCTTGGAAACTAATGCAGTTATCAAACGTCAAGTATGTTTGGTTGGTCACTGACTGTTGGGAATCATTTGCTTTTGCAATTAGAATTAGTGTCTATAAGTGGGCATACAGGTATCGAAAACCCTGATGGTGAATGAATACATCCTACCAACCTACTTTATTTTGGACTATAAAATGAATATTACACTCTTTCCTCTGTCTTTTACACCAATGACTCTCAACTGTAGCTGCCATTAGAATAACCTGATGGCCTCTAAAAATTCTGACACTTAGCCCACCCCATGCTGATTACATCAGTGTGTTTTTAAAGCTCTCTAGAAAATTCCTTTATGCAGCCAAGTTTGAGAGCTGATGTTCTACATGCATATTTCAGTTAGCTGCATTAAATTAGGATCTCTTCTTGGTAAAGTAATAAAGAGGCAGATATTAAACCAATTATGAACACATGAATGCCATGTGGTTTGTGCCCTGACCATGGACATTGCAATGTGGTAATTAGTAGATTCACCTTATTGATGGGGAAGGTTTTTATGGAACATTCTCCAGTAACATTTATGGGACAAGACAGTAGGTGCTCTGTTGATGAAGTGACAGTGTCAGAGAATTCCAAGAGGTATATGATGATGTTGCATGAACTGACATTACTTCCTAACAAGCAAACCTTGATGCCAGTTCCTGAAGCTCCTTCTCTGCTGAATTGTGGAAGATGATTAAATCATTTTTGAAAATCATAAAGCTAAAATTCTTGTTTTTCAAATACTCTTTAAAATCTACATGAGTCTAGTAGGATTATATGATCTCTTCTAAATAGAGATTAGTAATTATTGGTTGAAAGATATGCTTCACAACTACTTTTCTCACTGCTACTTAAAAAAAATTTATGGTGATGTAATAAAGCCACTGGGATTTGCAATTAGACAGCCATGACATGTGTGGTCGTGTATAAATGAACCTCACCAAGCTCCTTTCCTTTCTTTAAAATGAGAGTAATAGTACCTACTTATAGGGTTGTTTTAGGTATATTCAGTTCTTAGCACAGTGTTTGGTTTATTGTTATTGATCAACCAATGTTAAGATATATTTCTTTTTAAAACAAAAGATCATTGAGGTAGGAGCAGAACCAAAAAATATATCACTGAAACCAAAGAAGATTTCCCATAGGAAAAAAGAGTCAAATGTTACTAAGTGGTTAACTATGATAAGGACCAAAGGTATCCTTTACATTGGAAATTCGGTGGCCATTAGTGACTTCCACAGAGTAGTTTAGTCAACAGAGTATTAGATATAGACATCAGTTTTCTGTGAATTGAAGAGTAATTAGGAGGTAAAGAAGCATAGCAATTTGGACAATAGAGCAGTCCTTGAAGAAACTTGAGTAAGAAAGGTGGTAATGATAATTGAGAAGAGAGGAAACGTAGGTTAAGGATTTTTGTTTTTGAAAAATAGCAAATACTTGAGTATATTTATGGCTAATTTGAGGAAGCCACAATAAAGAATTCTTATAGAGCAAGATTCCAGAGGAGGTAGGAAGGGATGGAATTTAGAGTATCTGCAGAAAAGTTCACCTTGAACAAAAAGCTGGCCAAATTGTGATCAGAGACAGGAGTAAAGGAATTAAGAATAGCTATATTTGTAAATTTGAGGCCACAATTAGTATTAACCACACCTCCAACCCCCTACATAAAGTAGGGGTCAGTGTTGGCTTCTGAACATGAGAGGGTGGGCAGATCACCTGAGGTCAGGAGTTCAAGACCACCCTGGCCAACATGATGAAACCCTGTCTCTACTAAAAATACAAAAAATTAGCCAGGTGTAGTGGCGGACACCTGTAATCCCAGCTACTCAGGAGGCTGAGGCAGGAGAATCACTTGAGGTGGAGGTTGCAGTGAGCCAAGATTGCACCATTGCACTCCAGCCTGGGCAACAAGAGTGAAACTCTGTCTCAAAATATACATATATATATATATATATATATATACACACACACATACATATATAATATGTATATATGTATATATATATATTATATATGTGTATATATATATGCACACAAGTATGTATAATTCAAGAGCTGAAGAGACAGGAGATTGAAGTCGGAAAGTGGAATGTTACTATTTAAGTGAAATGCTTAAATGAAGTGAAGCACTCAGTTCTGAGCATGACCCAAAAACAGATAAATCGTACATATTGAATGAAGATATATCATAAGAAGAGACCTGCACAATGTGTGATGCATGGAAGAATGTTTGGTATCCACTCAAAAATTTAAGGGAAGTTGCATCTTCCAGGGAGATTCCATGTTTCTCCTAAAACAAAAAGATACAGAGAACTTTCCTGCATCGCTGATGGGAATGTAAATTGATGCAGTCACTGTGGCAGACAATTTGGTGGTTCCTCAAAGGTCAAACACAGAATTACCATATGATCTAGCAAGCCCACTCCTAGGTATATACCCAAAAGAATTGAAAGTAAGGACAAGCAGTTACTGTACACCGATGTTTATGAAAGCATTGTTCATATTAACCAAAAGGTGGAAACCACCCAAGTGTCCCTCAGCAGATGAATAAACAAAATGTGGTATATACAGAGAATGGAACATTATCCAGCTATTCATTATTCAAAAACAAATGAAATTCTAATACATGCTGCAACATGGACAAACCTAAAGACATTATGCTAAGCGAAATAAACCAGATAAGAAAGAAAGATTGTATGATTCCACTTATATGAGGTACTTAAAATAGCCAAGTTCATAGAGACAGAAAATAAAATAGAGGTTACCCGGAGTTGGAGAAGGGGAATACGGAGTTATAAGAGTGGGGAATTATATGATTTACATAGAGTGGGATGATGAAAAGTTGTGGAAATGAATAATGGTGACAATTGTACAATATTGTCAGTATACTTACTGCCAGTAAGTTGTGCAGTTAAAATGATTAAAATAGTAAATTTTATGTTGTCATTTTACCACACATTTTTTTAAAGGTACAGAGAACACTCTGTGAGGATATACAGAAATTTATTTTAAATGGGATTAGTTTAAGATTCCTGGGATGTACAACTCTAGGACGGGGGAGGAAATTATGAAAAAAACCAAGCTTAAGTTTCCTGCAAGCTCAAAGTCTACTTTAATTTGATTTAAATGAAAGTAAACAGTATTTCTTACACACCTGGTAAATGGTGCTTACAAATCTGTATGTGAAACACAACTAATTCATAGAAATATTAGTTTTTTCTACTAATTTTCCTATGTTATAGAGGAAATGAAAAGGTTCCATTTTATGTGAAGGAACCTAAAACTAACTGTAATTTTCAGATAGATTAAATGGATAGATAGAACTCATAGATAATGGATTATGTCTGGCAAGCAATACTTACAGCTATCCAAATCAGTTTACATTTACATATACATTTATACATGTATATTGTCATATTAGAGAAAGTTATTTACCAATATTTAAGAAAAAAATAAGGCTGGGAAAATATAGGATTAGGACAGGTAGCTAGAGCCTGGAGTGAGTCAGAATACAGCCGGCATGTATACTGTGAAGCAGCAAAAGAGAAAACTTCAAGTCTGACTCTCAACTCTCCAACAGCCAAAACAATGGAGGATGTATGATCAGCTCTTCGTTTTAGGGGCAGATTAAAATATGATGATGGCTTTCATTCTACCTTTCCTTTGATTTTACTAATTAGTGGCCGGGCATGGTGGCTCACGCCTGTAACCCCAGCACTTTGGGAGGCTGGCGGATCACTTGAGTCCAGGAGTTCAAGACCAGCCTGGGCAACATGACCAAACCCCATCTCTACAAAAAATACAAAATTTAGCAAGGCATGGCGTGTGCCTGTAATCCCAGCTACTCGGGAGGCTGAGGTGGGAGGATCACTTGAGCCCAAGAGGCAGAGGTTGCCGTGGGTGGAGATCACACCAGTGTACTCCAGCCTGGGAAACAGAGTGAGACTCTGTCTCCCCAGTTTTTTTCTTCTTTACTAATTAGTGATACTGGCCTTTTTTTTAAAAAAGTGGGTTTTTTTCCAAAAATCTTTTTTTTTTTTTTTTTCTGGTTTAGTGTAAGAGCTACTGCTGGTAAAAACATTCCATTCCCTTGTATGGAAATAAGGAAACTGGAAATATGGAAATACAGGTTTATGAGTTTCTTTATTCTGTTTGTTTCCTTTGAGTTTTAGAATATTTTGAGTGCTAAGAAAATGAAGTGTTGGTCTTTTGTTTCTTTTGGCAGTTAGGAGCAGTGGCCAGTGAGATGGGAGGATAGAGATATTAAACTTACCACTGTAGCTGATAGCTCTTATGCATTAAAACAGAAAAGATAGCAGGAGAGGACTAACAATACAAAGATTTAAAATAAATTCCACATATTATAAAAGTGCTATTAGTAAATATTAGTACCTCCTGATTGCTATAGCAAATGCTAAATCCATTTGCAACACTTTCATTAATCTAAATCTAGACAGTTTCATCAAGAAAGAATCTTAAACTTGTAGGGATTAGATTTGTATTTAGTAATGATTTTTTTCCTGTTGTTATAAACCTGTAGTGCTGCATTCCTAAGTTCAGGAGGCATAATAATAACAAACTCTTTTCTAATTGAGGGAATGCCTGTTTCGATGTTTGCTGATTTTATAGTGCTTCCTTATATTTTCTTTCACTTAAAGAAAGTGTAAATTAAAGTGTTTAGACAAGAATTAGACCTTGTTGTTTGGAGCCAGTAGTATAGGATTTATTATACATATTATAATTAACAAGTCAGTGTGTTTTAAATTTTTATTATATTTTGTGTGATTCCATGTGTGAATTTGTAATGCCATTCAGAATATGGTAAAGTTGACATTTTAGAACAAAAATGTTGAAGAGAATTCTTCACTTTTTAAGGTAATTTGTTTCCTGTGATTGAACTAGTATTTTTTGATAATAATTATATGAAATACTTACGTGTTTAACATAGTGAAAAGTGGAATAAACATTAACCCTACTTACTGGGTTTGTAGTATACATTTAAAAGTCATAGAAACCATAAAGATAGAGGCCAGATGAAATATACACAAAAAGAAAGTAAAATTCTTTATTTTTTTCTATATTACTTTAGTAAATTTTATTCAGTATAGGTCCTTTTCTCTTTGTGTACTTTTTTTGGTCTGTGTATATACTGTCCTTAACAGTCAGAAATACTGCTGACTGTCACTAGAATCCATGGGGTTTTTTTGTTTTGTTTTAATGGTAGTGATAGTTTTTTATTGGACCATATGCTTTCTTGGTCAGAACTACGAGTTGATAAGAAAAGTCACTGGTGATTATAGCATGCAAACTATAGCCATGAAGCAATATTTTTCTCAATGCAAATCCCTCACCAAGAGTGGGGTTGAACACTCAATCCTGACCTCGTTAGTTGTATATTCTAATCAGTAGTGTCAGTTGGCCTACCCGGTGACATAAATTTTTTGTCACACCTCTGTTTTCTCTAATAATTAACTATCTATGGAGCTACATTATGGTACCATACTGCAACAGCTGTGATTAAAAAGAACACAAGAAGACTTGAATTACACTTCCATCTTTGGCATTAATCAGATTTTTTTTTGATTACCGTAGACAAGTTTCAACTTTGCTTGATTTCAGCTTCTTTAATTTTGACGTGAAAAGCTTTTTCTACTTCTCACATTTTATGAAATTTGTTACCCCTTTATATGGTAGATTAAATTTTTATTTAGTAACATTTAAAGTCAAACAGTCTTTTTATGCCATTAAGTTGTGTCTATTTTCAGGGCCTTTAAATTTAAAAATTTACAGCTGGCTTCACTGTTCAAGTCACTATATATATATTTATTGGTGACTCTGGAATGTAAAACAAAAAGAAAATTAAAATAGTTTTTTTTTTTAAAAAAAAGTATACATTTTCTGTATGTCCAGTGATTTGGACTATATTTATTAAGCATTTGTCTCTTCTTCCTCTCAACTTATAGAATGTGGCATTTACTAAGCTACTTCTGAATGTCGATTGCCTCACCTGTAAACAGCAATAGTATCTAACCTGCTTAATATGAAAATCAGTGAGATGATACATCTGAATGTTTTTGAAAACTGTGAAGCACTGTGCAAAGGAGATATATTAATAAATGTAATTTATAAAATCACTTACAAATGTTTGCTGTCTTGAGACATAAGACAATTAAATTAGTAAAGAGGCTATTGCTACTGAAGTAAATTTGTATCTTCTATAGCTTTCTATCCAGAAGGACGTTTTTTGGCATTATCAGTTTTCACAATTTTCTGCGCCTTATTCAACACAGTAAGCTATAAGAATAAAACTAAATTTCAACATGTATAGCTCTCAACTGCTAATTGTTATTCTACAAAGTGACTCAACCTCCTTTTAAGAGCATTTAACAAAATATTTTGTCACTTAATGGTTGTGCCTAGCAAAGGACCCAGAGTTTGTATTAGAATGGGCTTGCTAATTATAGGTCCTGGAATTTGATGTTTCTAAACGTTGTTTCTATTAGCTTGAGAAAAATACAGTTTTATATTTTGTTAGATTAAAAAAGTGCAGTGTTTCCCTTGGTCTTGGCACTCAGAATCACTATTATTATAGGTCCACAGGTGGCAATTGCCTCCTACATAGGTAATCTTTGATTCATCGCTTTCTTAAATTTAATTTATAACGAGCTTTTGCTAGATTTTTCCTTGCAATCATTGTCACTTTTGCCTTTGCCTACTTAGACTACACCTGAATAATTTCATGCCCAAGCTTTTTTTGCTACTTTGTTTACTTGTCTTCTCCATCCTTACTTCTCTTAAGATTCCTGAAACTTTATTTTCACCCTCTGATTCAGCCATCAATAGTATTTAACAATACCACATTACATATATAATAAAGTCCGAACTCTTTAATGTAACGTTCATGAACTTCCTTGATATTGCTGCCATCTCTGTTTCTTTTTTTTTTTTTTTTTTTTTTTTTTTGAGACAGAGTCTTGCTCTGTCGCCCAGGCTGGAGTGCAGTGGCGCGATCTCAGCTCACTGCAAGCTCCACCTCCCAGGTTCACACCATTCTCCTGCCTCAGCCTCCCAACTAGCTGGGACTACAGGCACCCGCCACCATGCCTGGCTAATTTTTTTTTTTTTGTACTTTTAGTAGGAACGGGGTTTCACCATGTTAGCCAGGATGGTCTCGGTCTCCTGACCTCGTGATCCGCTCGCCTCAGCCTCCCAAAGTGCTGGGATTACAGGCGTGAGCCACTACGCCCGGCCCTGTTTCTAGTTTAGTATTTCACCAATCATCTTTTTGCTTCCCAGTTTCATTCATATTTGTGTCACTGGTATACTGCTTCACACATAGTAAGCGCTCAACAAATATTTGTTACACTGAATTGACTATTTTGTGCACTCCCAAAATAGATTGTTCAATATTCCATGGACACACCCAACAATTTCCCACTTCAGTGCTTTCTCATGTCGTCATTTCCTCCTGGACTACTCCATCTCTGCCTATCCCATTTTTATTGAGGCTTCACATCATAATTTAAGTAACAGCTATTCTATTAATCCTTTTCTAATCTTGTCCGTTAGAAGTGATCTCACTGTGTAAAATTCCTACCATAGTTATTCACAGTGGCTCTCTTGCAATACATACCTCATGCCTTCTAGTCCAATAGTTCTATGAATATGTGTCTTAACTCCCCTACTAGTGCTTCTGTTCTTTATGTATAGCAAGACTTTAGTAAATATATGTCCACAAATGAATAAACAAAGTTAACACTAGATTGAAAGTTTATTCAGATGTACAGTGTCTCCTGCACAATGTTTTTTTGTGTGCATTGCATATAATAAGAACTCATTGATAAATGTGTAAATGAATGAATGATTTTAGATGACATGAACCTAGTCCAGCATGTAGGTTAGTTATTTACACGGATGTGGGTCAAAATGGTGTCTCCATATAATAAAGCAAATATATCACCTACCAAAAAAATTTCTTTTTTTTTTAGACCTACAGTGTTCATATTTGAAAACTATCATTGGAAACATTTGTTTGGATTTTACCTTTCTTAAAATTTAGAATTAAAAAAAAAACTTAGGAAATAGTATCATTATCCACTGTTCATTGCAGCATTATTCTTAGAATGAAAAAATAAAATATTTTCCGTGGTTGCTTTGTTTGGTCTGCATATCATTGGAAAAAATATATTAAATTCATTGCCAAAATGAGATCTAGGAGATCTGGCAATGTGGGACGCTTAGGATTATAGTATGACATGTTTATTATTCAGGGTTCTTCAGAGAAAGAGAACCAATAGACTGTATATAAATAGGGCAAGAGATTCATTTTAAGAAGTTGGCTCAAACAATTGTGGGGCCTGGCAAGTCTGAAAATCTCAGAGCAAGCCATCGGGCTGGAAAACCAGTGAAGGGCTGATGTTGTACTTTTTAAAATTTTTTATTTTTGACTCAGGGTCTCGCTCTGTTTCCTAGGCTGGAGTGCAGTGGTGCAATCATAGCTCACTGCAGCCTCAAACTCCCATGCTGAAATGATCCTCCTGCCTCAGCCTCCTGAGTAGCTAGGACTACAGGCACATGCCACCATGCCTAATTTTTTTTTTTAATTATACTTTCAGTTCTGGGATACATGTGCAGAGTGCAGGTTTGTTACACAGGTATACATGTACCATGGTGGTTTGCTGCACCCATCAACCCATCATCTACATTAGGTATTTCTCCTAATGCTATCCCTCCCCTTGCCCCCCAACCTCCAACAGGCCCCGGTGTGTGATGGTCCCCTTCCTGTGTCCATGTGTTCTCATTGTTCAACTTCCGCTTATGAGTGAGAACTTGCAGTGTTTGGTTTTCTGTTCCTGTGTTAGTTTGCTGAGAATGATGGTCTCCAGCTTCAACAATGTCCCTGCAAAGGACATGAACTCATTCTTGTTTGTTTGTTTTTTTGAGACCAAGTCTCGATCTGTTGCCCAGGCTGGAGTGCAGTGGCGTGATCTCAGCTCACTGCAACCTCTGCCTCCCAGGTTCAAGTGATTCTTCTGCCTCAGCCTCCCAAGTAGCTGGGATTACAGGTGCCCGCCACCATGCCCGGCTAATTTTTGTATTTTTAGTAGAGACGGGGTTTCACCATGTTGGCCAGGCTGGTCTCAAACTCCTTATCTCAGGTGATCCACCTGCCTCGGCCTCCCAAAGTGCCAGGATTACAGGCATGAGCCACCGCACCCGACCCTGAACTCACTCTTCTTTATGGCTGCATAGTAGTCCATGGTGTATATGTGCTACATTTTCTTTATCCCGTCTATCATTGATGGGCATTTGGGTTGGTTCCAAGTGTTTCCTATTGTGAATAGTGCCGCAATAAACATACGTGTGCATGTGTCTTTATCATAAAATGATTTATAATCCTTTGGGTATATACCCAGTAATGGGATCGCTGGATCAAATGGTATTTCTGGTTCTAGATCCTAGAGGAATCACCACACTGTTTTCCAAAATGGTTGAACTAATTTACACTCCCACCAACAGTGTAAAAGCATTCCTATGTCTCCACATCCTCTCCAGCCTCTGTTGTTTCCTGGCTTTTTAATGATCACCATTCTAACTGGCGTGAGATGGTATCTGACTGTGGTTTTGATTTGCATTTCTCTAATGACCAATGGTGATGAGCTTTTTTTCATATGTTTGTTGGCCACATAAGTGTCTTCTTTTGAGAAGTGTCTGTTCATATCCTTCGCTCATTTTTTGATGAGGTTGTTTTTTTTCTTGTAAATTTGTTTAAGTTCCTTGTAGGTTCTGGATATTAGCCCTTTGTTAGATGGATAGATTGCAAAAATTTTCTCCCAAAAATATGGAATGCTTCACGAATTTGTCTGTCATCCTTGCATAGGAGCCATGCTAATCTTCTCTGTATGGTTCTAATTTTAGTATATGTACCCAAGGTGAGCACTAATTTAAAAAAAAAATAGAGGCAAGGTCTCACTATGTTGCCCAGGCTAGTCTTGAACTCCTGAGCTCAAGCAATCCTGTCGCCTCGACTTCCCAGTGTTGGGATTACAGGTGTGAGCCACCGTACTTAGCAGATGTTGTGGCCTTGAGTCTCAAGATGCAGAATTTCTTCTTCCTTAGGGGATCTCTGTCTTCCACTGATTGGATAAGGTCTACTCATAATTATAGAGGCCGTCTGTTGTGCTCAAAGTCTACTGATTAAACATGTTAATCACAGCAAAAAAAAAAAAAAAACAAAATACCTTCACAGCAACATCTAGATTGCTGTTTGATCAAATATCTCATTACCGTAGCCTAGCCAAGTTGACACATAAAATTAACCATCACACGTGCATTTCAACAATTGACTAGGGCCAGGTAAAAATTACCCTCTCTAAAAGGGGCATGCACTTGCCATTTCACCACACTTTCTATTCCACCTACTTTGTGAATTTAAAGTCATCTTCCTCAACCCTGTAGGTATTTAATTTTATGACCCCAGATGTATGTTGTGATATTACTTATAAAATGGATGTTTGTACACGTATACATATACTCTGGCCCCTGGCTACCTCTCTAACCTTATTTCTTAACATGTTTCTACTCTTGGTTCACTCCAGCCACACTAGGTTCCTTAATAACTCAAATATTCTAGGTGTGCTCCCATCCCAGGGCCCTGCCATGTGTTTTCTCTGCCTGGAGTGTTCTACCCCCGGAATGTCACATGAGTCTGTTCCTTTACTTTGTTCAACTTCCTGCTTCAATGTCACAAGATCACACTATCTAAAATAGTGTACCCTCTTACTACATCACTCTATTTGTTACCCTCCTTTATTATTATTTTTTTTCATAATAGACATGCTTACATGACACTATACTGTATTAGTGGATTGTCCTTTAGGATTTTTTTTTTTAACCGCTGAATCTTATACCTGAATCAGTGCTTGGCATGTCTCTGATGCTCAATAAGTGTTTTGAATGAATGAGTATGTATTAAATATACGTGTATGCTTAAACATTGTGATACATTAGAAACTTAACAGCAGGTTGCCTGGGAAGTGAGACTGAGTCTAGCAGTCAGATTTCTTATATCCATGGTGAGTGAGAGAAGGGGACATTTTAACTTTCATTTCATACCCTAATAAAGTGTTTGAATTTAAAAATTTTTTATGTACATGTATTACTTTTGTATATTATAGCAATGAGTTTTGTAAGTTTTGAAAAGACTCATGCATGGTAACCTGCACAAATTAAGCTTAATGCTTAGAAATGATAATGAAAAACTGATCTATGTTTTGGTATATGTATATTTATGACAATGTGGTTAATTTTTTTAAAATAGATTTTATTAGTGTTGTGCTTTACAAAAGGCAGGATTTATAAGGGAATTAAATTCCAGAGTAGACTTTATTCACCTGTGTTATGGAAAATATACATATAAATGATATCTTCACTTGCATTTTATGTTTGCCAAATATTTTTAACTGTTTTTGAAGGTATTTTACATGGCACTAATTCAAGCAGTTTTTAAAAGTAAAATAAGATGTTAAAAAAAATACTACCAACTTTAAAAGAACTATTAACCTGACATTCTTCTTCCACTTGATACAGAAGCAGGATTCTGTGACTGGTTAGAGATGAAGAGGGTGCCTTTTTAAAATAATTCAATCCTGTGAACACCAGCTATAGTCAGAAATGATAAGGAGAGGAGAGAATTCCTTCATATTTCAATAAATTTCACTCAGTTTAATTAGGTTTATTTAGTATATTTTAATTATAGATGTTTTCTTTTTCTTTCCATGACACATGCATTAGTAAATGAATTAAAGATTTTTATTGAATCTAAACTAGTTAAAAATATTTGGCAAATGAAAATAATAGCTAATAATTGAAGACCTTTGTTCAGGAACATTCTGATTCATTAATTGCAAAAACAATAAATGTTAAACATACAGTACAAGATCTAATAAACTGAGATCTTTAAGCTAGTTTTGATTTCTATAAACTTTCTAATGCCACTGCTGTCATAAAAAGCTTAGTAAATATTGACTGAGGATGATGATGACGATCCGTCAGTATTTTTAAGACTGGGTGGCACTGGCAGTACAGTCAGATATCCGGGACTTAACATTGTTATTTTGCCATGAGGCCCTTCCACCTGGCCCTATCCCAAAATGATGAATGTTTACCTATAGTTAGGTATTTAAATGTGTAAATATTCCAGATTCAATTATATGTGAGGTAGCTAGAGTTTTCATTCCTTAAATCATGAACTAGTTCTCTAAAGTTTAAATGATTTACAAGTCTGCAAGGGTCAAAATTGACTTGACTGAATGTTTTCCCCATAATTCCAAAAACATTATTTTATGAGTTCAGTTCAGTATAAAAATATTATGCCCCACTGACTATTCCAAACCTAAGATGTTTATGAAATGTATGAATTTATTAAGGTTTAATTTACTATTCTGTTTAGTTGTTAAGCTTTAAATGTTGTTGTACAGTATGTCTTGTTCTCTTTAGGCTTAAAAGGGTTTTATGACAATCAGTATTCTATTAATGTAGTTCCAGTTATTCCCCAAAAATATCTTCTAAAACTTCCTGGTTCTGATTGAATCACAACTGAACAATATTCAGTTACTATGTAAAGCAATCAAGAAGTTCAAAAGCCTAGGGATAGGGACTGGCTTTTTAGTTTAGTTTTATTCAATGTTAATCTGATAAAGATTTTCATTTATTTTAACCCATGGAAAGTTTAGTTGTCCTATCAAGCTTGGTTAGTTGTTCTAAACTATAAAAAATAAAAATTTTTGAAAATATTACATGAAAAAAGGTGAAAATTGAGATTTTGTCCTAGAAAGTTGGACGCACTGTTCACTTAAATTATAATTAATAATGAAGAAAACGTCATATATTTCTAAATCTACTTTCATTAGGTCTTCCTTCACCTTTTCACTTGTAAAACTTTTGTTTTCCATTCATTCTTTTGTATGATACAGTGTTTTAATTCAGAGCTAACACCACAGTAAGACAGATGGTGCAGGTTCTGCCTTTCCAGCTGAGTGACCATCAACGGGTAATTAACCTCTCAAAGCCTCAATTTCCTGACCTGCAAAGTAAGAATTGTAATTATACCTGCCTCATATCATTGTTTTAGAATAACCAAATCAAATAATGCATGTACAATGCTTTATACAGTACTTGGGTACACTTAGGAATGTAATGAAGGTAACCCATTATTATTATAATCCCAATGTTGAGTTTTTATTGTTATCATTAGCTCTTTTTTGAGATTCTGTTAATACATTTATAACTTTTTTTTAGCTTTTTAGGCATTAAACGCAATATTTTGTGAACACAATATGCAATCATTTGATTTTTCTTTAGGAACAAGTTTTCGCTGTAGTTAAGATGGTTGATTTTTTTCTTGTGAGGCATTTAAAAAAATATTTTGTGAAAATGGCATGCTTGAACTTAGATTTGGCCCTTTTTGATTAACAGTTTGTTTTCAGGAGTTGTTTATTCACACAGCAACATTTTAGTGTTCAAAAATATATTGAGAAATTCAAATCTAATAATCTTCATCACTTGTCCCCTAACCTATGAAAAACATGTTTTCCAAAGAGTACAAATTCAAAGTATAACATTTTCTTCAATGTTTTGTGTTAAAACTGTTACCCTAGAAAATACAGATATAATTTTTAAAGCTACGTTTGTAATTCCTTCTGTCTTATATCTTGGAGTTCAATACATATGTTATCTTATTTAATCCCTTCAACATCCTTGTAAGGCATCATCCCTTTTTGGAGAGGAGAAAACTGAAACAGAGAGAAAACTAACATCCCCTAGGTTACATTAAGGCCATCGACAGTGGCATAAATATTATCTAATCCTCCTGATAGCTGGGCCTTTTACTTTGCTACTGGACCCCTTCCTCTACTCATGCCTCCCTCAGAAATACAGCTGAAGCAAAACTGGTACTTCAGCATTATTTCCCTAATTTGGATATGCTTGACATGTTTATTGCACAAAACACATCACTGAGACCATGTTAAAGGCAGGTTAACACAGTAAAAGAATCTGACCTGCTTTGGAGTTTAACAGTCTTTGTCTGTGTTCAACCAAACTGCACAAATTACAACCACAGTTGATGTCTGGATTTATAAATACACGCCCTTTGATTTTTTTTGAACCTTTAAGCTCTAGCATTATATCATATGTTAGGCTACAAAAACTAAATACTGTGCCTAACAGCAATTTTATCCATACAATCATAACAGTTTATGTTTATTAGTATGTTGTGGTATTAATATTGTTGTTTTATCTGTGCTGTAGCACAATCACTAACGTAACAACAATCATATTTAGTAGTAACCATTAACCAAATAGCTATTTTGAGTTGTATATGAATTTATTAAGAGCCTACTGTGTACTAAAGACTTTTGTGAAACATAGAGTTAACAGAGGATAAGATGCAATTGCTACCTTCAAATAGATTATAATTAACTGGAGAGAAAAAATATATACTAAAAATGAACATACGTTACTATGTGCTGTTAAATGAAATAATTGGACACTTCCATGGCAAGTCACAGAAGGGAGAGATTCTTCTAAGCTTGAATAAATTTCACAAGATTTTATGGAATACTTGAGAATTGAAGTATATGAACCAATAAGATTCTGATAGAGAGGAGGAGGAAGAGGGCATTCTAGCCTGGAAGAACAGAATAAGCAAAAGTGGAGGTTTAATGAACATATTGTGTTATATTATGCAATTGAGAGAAAATTGCTGGAATTTTATTGTTAACATGTATTTAGTTTTTATTCTGTGTTTCCTGGAGAGCCTTGGGAATATAGAGCTTATTTTTTGAAGCATTAAAAATTAAACTTATACTCAAAAGAAATACTTCAATACTTTATATAAAATTTAAAGCATCTTAAAAGCCTAAATACATTTTTGAAAAGCTTATGGAGAATTTTGGACATATACAACAGCCTACAGAATGAACTCTACACGTACGCATCACTTGCCCCTGAAAACGTCAACCCCTGGTCAATCAAATTTCATCCACAGTCTCGTGCACATACCCCCACTCTCTGGTATTATTTTAAAGTAAATCACATGTACAATGTTACTTTACTTATAAATATTTCAGTAAGTATCATCTAAAAGATGAGGACTCTTATTTTAGCATAACCACAATACCATTAACATACTTAAAAACAATTTAACAATAATGTATTTTATTTAATGAATTTATTTTTTTTGAGACAGGGTCTTCCTCTGTTGCTCAGGCTGGAGTGCAGTGGTGCAGTCACAGCTCACTGCAGCCTCCCCCTCCAAGGGTCAGTCTCCTGAATAGCTGGGACTACAAGCTCACGCCACCATGCCTGGCTAATTTGTTGGGGTCTTTTGTGTGTGAAGACAAGGTCTCACTATGTTATCCTAGCTGGTCTTGAACTCCTGGGCTCAAGTGCTTCTCCCAGCTCAGCTTCCCAAAGTGCTAGGATTACAGGCATGAGCCACTACACCTGGCCTACAAATAATTTCTTAATATCATCAAATATCCACTCAGTGTTAAAACTTCCAATTGTTTCATGTCATAATGTCTAATTTGTTTTAATCAAGATTTAAATAAAATCCACACATTGCAATTGACTTATATACATTTTTATTATATAAACTTATGTGGCACAAGTACAGTTTCATTACATGCGCAAATTAAGTGAGGATCAGATAAGGACTTTTAGGGTATCCATCACCTGAATAATGTACATTGTAGCCATTAAGTAATTTATCATTATCTACCCCCTTTGTACCCCCTCACCTTTCTCAGTCTCTATTGTCTATCATTCCACTCTCTATGTCCATGGGTACACATTTTTTAGCACCCAGTTATGAATGAGAACATGCAGTATTTGTCTTTCTGTGTCTGGCTTCTTTCACTTAAGATAATGACTTCCGGTTCCATTCGTGTTGCTACAAAAAACATGATTTCATTCTTTTTTATAGCTGAGTAGTATTCTATTGTGTATATATGCCCTATTTTCTTTATCCAGTTATCTATGATGGACACATAGGTTGACTCCACATCTTTGCCATTGTGGATTGTGCTGTGATAAACATACGAGTGCAATGTAATGATTTCTTTTCCTTTAGGTAGGTACCAAGTAGTAGTATTGCTGGATCAAATAGTAGTTCTGTCTTAAGTTCTTTGAGAAATCTCCATACTGTTTTCCACAGAGGTTGTCCTAATTTACATTCCCACCAATAGTATATGAGTTCGTTTATGTCTGCCAATTCACCAACATGTTATTTTCTGACTTTCTAATAATGGCCATTCTGAGTGGTGTCAATGAGGATGTCTCATTGAAATTTTAATTTGCATTTCTCTGATGAGTGGTGATGTTGAGCATTTCTTCATATACCTATTGGCTATTTGTGTGTCTTTTGAAAAAATGTCTATTCTTATCAACTGCCACTTTGTAATGGGATTATTTGGTTTTGCTGTTGTTATGTGAGTTTCTTGCCCTTGCCAGATGCATATTTTTCAAATATTTTCTCCCATTCTTCAGGTTGTCTGTTCACTTTGTCAATTATTTATTGTGTTGTGTAGAAGCTTTTTAGTTTAATCAAGTCCCATTTGTCTATGTTGTTGTTGTTGTTTGTGCTTTTGAGATCTTAGTCATGAATTATTTGCCTAGACCAATGAACAGAAGAGTTTTCCCTAGGATTTCTTCTAGGATTTTTATAGTTTTAGGTCTTATATTTAAGTATTTAATCCATCTTAAGTTAATTTTTCTATACGGTGAGAGATAAGGGTTCAGTTTCTTCTGCATATGGCAATCCAATTTTCCCAGCACCATTTATTAAAAAGGGCGTCTCTTCTCCAGTGTATGTTATTGTCAATTTTGTCAAAGATCAGTTGGCTGTAAATATGTGGCTTTCTTTCTGGGTTTTCTATTCTGTTCCATTGATCTGTGTGTCTATTTTTGTACCTGTGGCATGCTGTTTTCGTTACTATAGCCTCGTAGTATAATTTGAAGTCAAGTAACATAATATACTGTAAAAAGCCTCTAGTTTTGTTTTGTTTTCTGTTTTTTGGGGTTTTTTGCTTAGGATTACTTTAGTTATTCATACTCTCTTTTGGTTTCATAAAAATTTTAGGATTGTTTTTCCCAATTCTATGAAAAATGACGTTGGTGTTTTCATAGGGCCTGCTTTGAATCTGCAGATTTCTTTGGGTAGCATGGTCATTTTAATAATATTAATTCTTCTGATCAATGAGCATGGGATGTTTTTCCATTTGTTTCTGTCAGCTACAGTATCTTTAATCTGTGTTTTGTAATTCCCCTTGTAGAGATCTTGACCACCTAATATGCTGGGATTGCAGGTGTGAGCCACCATGCCCCACCACTGTGGATTTTTCATAGATGACCTTTTGTAGGTTGAAAAAGTTTCATTCTCTTTCTACTTTGTTGTGTGTGTGTGTGTGTGTGTGTGTGTGTGTGTGTGTGTGTGTCTATTGTAAATGGAA
Source organism: Homo sapiens (assembly GCF_000001405.40). NCBI lineage: Eukaryota > Metazoa > Chordata > Mammalia > Primates > Hominidae > Homo > Homo sapiens. The sequence continues at coordinate 37,442,147 of NC_000014.9, forward strand.
TTGCATTCTGGAATTGGCTGTCAGCTGAATGTTATTGTTGTACAGAAATGCTACTGATTGTTGTATATTGATTTTGTATCCTGACACTTTAGCGAAGTTGTTTATTACTTCCAGGAGCCTTTTCACAGAGTCTTTAGGGTATTTTAGGTATAAAATCATATTGTCAACAAAGAGAGATGGTTTGACTTCTTCTTTTCCTATTAAAATGTCTTTTGTTTCTTTCTCTTGCCTGATTGCTCTGACTAGGACTTCCAGGACAATGTTGAATAAGAATGATGAGTGGACATCCTTGTGTTGTTCCAGTTTTCAAGGGGAATGATTCCAATTTTTGCCCATTCGGTATGATGTTGGCTGGGGTTTGTCATAGATGGCTCTTATTATCTTGAGTTATGTTCCTTTGATGCCTAGTTTGTTAAGGTTTTTTATCCTGAAGGGATGTTGAATTTTATCAAGAGCTTATTAAACCTGCACATGTACCCCCGAATCTAAAATAAAAGCTGAAATTATAAAAATAAATAAATAAATAAAAAATTTAAAAAATTGTTACTGAAGGTACCATAAAAAAAAGAAGAAAATAACCTTTACAATAGCATCAAAAAGAATAAAATACTTTGGGATAAATGTAAGAAAAGATTATTCCAAGAACTTGCACTTTGAAAATAACAAAACATTGTTAAAGAAATTAAAGAAGATCTAAATAAATGGAAAAACATCTGTGTTCATGGATCAGAAGACTTTATTTATACTGTTAAGATAAGAATCTACAAATTCAACATAATTTCTATCAGAATGCTAGTTAACTTCTTTGTAGAAATTGAATTCTAATTCTCAAATTCATATGGAAATGAAAGAAATCCAGAATAGCCAAACTGATCTTGAAAAAAGAGCAAAGGAGGCAGACTCAAACCTCTTGATTTCACAACTTACTGCAAAGCTACACTAATCAAAACAGTGTGATATTAGCATAAGAATAGACATCTTGAAATTTAGTAGAATTGGGAGTCTAGAAATAAACCCATAGTGGTCATAAAAAGAAATAGAAACTGAACAGTGCAATATCCATTAAAGAAATTGAAGCCGAAAGCAGGAGGAGCTTTAGACCAGGAGTTTGAGACCAGTCTGGGAAACACAGTGAGACCCTATCTCTACTAAAAATTTAAAAATTAGCTAGGCATGGTGGTGTGTACCTATAGTTCCAGCTACTGGGGAGGCTGAAATGGGAGGATTGCCTGAGCCCAAGAGGTTGAGACTACAGTGAGCTATGATTGCACCACTGCACTCCAGCCTGGGTGACAGAGAGACTATCTCACCAAAAAAAAAAAAAAAAAAAAAAAAAAGGAGGAGGAAGAGGAGGAGGAATTGAATTCATAATTTAAAACATTTTGCAGAGAAACTTCAGGCCCAAGTGTCTTCATGGTGAGTCTTGCCAACCATATAAGAAAGACATAATAACAGTCTTAACACAAACATTTTCAGAACATAAAAGAGGATGGAATTCTTCCCAACTCAGTCAATAACATCTGTTTTACATTAGTATGAAAACTAGATGAGGGCATTACAAGAAATGAAAACTCAGGCCAAAGTCCTTCATGATGATAGGCTCAAAAAAAAAAAAAAAAACCTCTACAAAAACTAGCAAACCAAATCCAACAGCATATATAAAGGGTACTGCAGCGCAAAGGGTGGCAATGCAAGGTTGGTTTAACATTTGAAAATCAATGTAATTTACCATGTTAACAGAATAAGGAAGAGAAAATAATCATTTCAGTGGATGCAGAAAAAGCATGTGATGAAATTCAAAACCCATTCAGTTGTTCAGTCTGACTGATAAAGAACATCAGGAGGAAATTTACAGCTATTATATTTAATGACAAAGGCTATGATTTCTATGTAAGATCAAGAACAAAGCAAGGATGATCTTCCCACTTGAACTTTCTGAAGGAACCCATAATTATTAAAAATTGGAAAAATAAAACTGCTTTTATTTGCAGATGATATGTTGTACACAACCTAAGGATTCCTAAGGATTCTTTAAAAGAAACTGAACTTTTAAATTTCATTTTCTAATTGTTCATTGCTAATATATGGAAATACAATTGATTTTTACATATTGATCTGAATTAACTTATTCTAGTAGCTTTTTAAAGGTTGCATACAAAATTATGAGAAATTTAAGGATGAATTTAACACTGTACTCTGAAAACTACAGATTGCTGAAAACAATTATGGAAGACCCATGTAAACGGAGAATTACATAGTGTTCATAAATGGGAACACTCAATATTTCTGTGATATCAATTCTCTCCAAATTGATCTGCAGGCTATATATTACCCTAATAAGAATTACATTTGTCTTTACTGTAGATATTGACAAGGTAATTCTAAAATTTATATAAAAATGCAAATGATTAGAATTGCCAAGGCAGTTTTATAAAAGACACAGTTGGAGGAATACCTGATTTCAAGATATATTCTGTAAAGTCACAGATATCAAGACACTGATATTGGTGAAAGAGTAAATGTATATATAGATCCGGAGGATAAGAGAATCCCAGCAGCACATCAAAAAGCTTATCCACCATGACCAAGTGGGCTTCATCCCTGGGATGCAAGGCTGGTTCAATATACGCAAATCAGTAAATGTAATCCGGCATATAAACAGAACCAAAGACAAAAACCACATGATTATCTCAATAGATGCAGAAAAGGCCTTTGACAAAATTCAACAACGCTTCATGCTAAAAACTCTCAATAAATTCAGTATTGATGGGATGTATCTCAAAATAATAAGAGCTATCTATGACAAACCCACAGCCAATATCATACTGAATGGGCAAAAACTGGAAGCATTCCCTTTGAAAACTGGCACAAGACAGGGATGCCCTCTCTCACCACTCCTATTCATTATAGTGTTGGAAGTTCTGGCCAGGTCAATTAGGCAGGAGAAGACAATAAAGGGTATTCAGTTAGGAAAAAAGGAAGTCAAATTGTCCCTGTTTGCAGATGACATGATTGTATATCTAGAAAACCCCATTGTCTCAGCCCAAAATCTCCTTAAGCTGATAAGCAACTTCAGCAAAGTCTCAGGATACAAAATCAATGTACAAAAATCACAAGCATTCTTATACACCAATAACAGACAGAGAACCAAATCATGAGTGAACTCCCATTCACAATTGCTTCAAAGAGAATAAAATACCTAAGAATCCAACTTACAAGGGACATGAAGGACCTCTTCAAGGAGAACTACAAACCACTGCTCAATGAAATTAAAGAGGATACAAACAAATGGAAGAACATTCCATGCTCATGGGTAGGAAGAATCAATATCATGAAAATGGCCATACTGCCCAAGGTAATTTATAGATTCAATGCCATCCCCATCAAGCTACCAATGACTTTCTTCACAGAATTGGAAAAAACTACTTTAAAGTTCATATGGAACCAAAAAAGAGCCCGCATCGCCAAGTCAATCCTAAGCCAAAAGAACAAAGCTGGAGGCATCACACTACCTAACTTCAAACTATACTACAAGGCTACAGTAACCAAAACAGCATGGTACTGGTACCAAAACAGAGATATAGATCAATGGAACAGAACAGAGCCCTCAGAAATAACACCGCATATCTACAACTGTCTGATCTTTGACAAACCTGAGAAAAACAAGCAATGGGGAAAGGATTCCCTGTTTAATAAATGGTGCTGGGAAAACTGGCTAGCCATATGTAGAAAGCTGAAACTGGATCCCTTCCTTACACCTTATACAGAAATTAATTCAAGATGGATTAAAGACTTAAACGTTAGACCTAAAACCATAAAAACCCTAGAAGAAAACCTAGGCATTACCATTCAGGACATAGGCATGGGCAAGGACTTCATGTCTAAAACACCAAAAGCAATGGCAACAAAAGCCAAAATTGACAAATGGGATCTAATTAAATGAAAGAGCTTCTGCACAGCAAAAGACACTACCATCAGAGTGAACAGGCAACCTACAAAATGGGAGAAAATTTTTGCAACCTACTCATCTGACAAAGGGCTGATATCCAGAATCTACAATGAACTCAAACAAATTTTCAAGAAAAAAGCAAACTACCCCATCAACAAGTGGGCGAAGGATATGAACAGACACTTCTCAAAAGAAGACATTTATGCAGCCAAAAAACACATGAAAAAATGCTCACCATCACTGGCCATCAGAGAAATGCAAATCAAAACCACAGTGAGATACCATCTCACACCAGTTAGAATGGCGATCATTAAAAAGTCAGGAAACAACAGGTGCTGGAGAGGATGTGGAGAAATAGGAACACTTTTACACTGTTGATGGGACTGTAAACTAGTTCAACCATTGTGGAAGTCAGTGTGGCGATTCCTCAGGGATCTAGAACTAGAAATACCATTTGACCCAGCCATCCCATTACTGGGTATATACCCAAAGGATTATAAATCATTCCAGTATAAAGACACATGCACACGTATGTTTATAGCGGCACTATTCACAATAGCAAAGACTTGGAACCAACCCAAATGTCCAACAATGATAGACTGGATTAAGAAAATGTGGCACATATGCACCATGGGATACTATGCAGCCATAAAAAATGATGAGTTCATGTCCTTTGTAGGGACATGGATGAAATTGGAAATCATTATTCTCAGCAAACTATTGCAAGGACAAAAAACCAAACACCGCATGTTCTCACTCATAGGTGGGAATTGAAGAATGAGAACACATGGACACAGGAAGGGGAGCATCACACTCTGGGGACTGTTGTGGGGTGGGGGGAGTGGGGAGGGATAGCATTAGGAGATATACCTAATGCTAAATTACGAGTTAATGGGTGCAGCACACCAGCATGGCACATGTATACATATGTAACTAACCTGCACATTGTGCACATGTACCCTAAAACTTAAAGTATAATAATAATAAAATAAAATAAAATAATAAAAAAAGAGAATCCTGCACATATATGGTCAGTTTATCTTCAACAATGAAGACATGGCAATTCATAGGGAAAAGGCCACCATTCAAGAAGTAGTGATAAAACAAGTGGATATGTAAATAATTATATGTAAAAAATTAACATTAACCCTAACCTCACATCCTTCACAAAAATTACCATGACTGTTGCTTTTTCTTATTTTACTTTTTATTTCTACACCTAATATACTATCTGGCTGATAGTAGGTGCTAAGTAATGGTTTGTATAATAATAAACAACTACACTCTAGTTCTCCTAGTTTCTGAATCTAATTTCAGTGAAAGATGCCCATCACACTTTTAGGAGGCAAACTTTTATGTTTTATCTTCAAAAAGATAGAACCAAATTAGACTGGTTCTAGTTCCCTCATTTTACTGTGTCAATCTGGGTAGCTTTCCAATCATAGCTCCCTGAGGCACTCACCAGGCACTGAAATGCTTTATAGTTTCACAGATATTTCTTTATATCATTGCATTTGTATGTATTATAAGCTGTAAGAATAAGAACATGTTAAATTTAAGTAGAGGAACAAGAGGCAGAACAATGATATGTGACTGGAGGTAATTCAGTGCTATTTGTTGATGGTGCTCATTTGCATTTTACTCCCACTGGCAGCTAGAGTCAACATAACTTCTACATTTATCTTAAATACTTTAATTCCAGTGAGCTGTTTTTTTTAATAATATAGATGTAACGTGACTTTTATTTTGCTCAAAGAACTTAGAGAATATTGGTACCTATCTTTTTAATGTGTGGGTAGATAGGCAGTTATGAATGTTGGTAGGTGAACTAAAGAGATCAAATGACTTGGCCATTGACACAAAAGAGCAAGATTGGAGCCAAAGTTCAGGACTCTTGACTGGTTTTATAAAACAAGCAGAAAGAGTGCATACTTTTGAGTACCTCTCATTACAAGGCTGCAAACTGGATATGCTCTTAAATTAAAGACAAAAATAAATAAAGTCTGATCAACCAAAACGAAAATATTTCTCTCCAAAACTGTTTCATAATTATTACTTCAGTCACTGCACTAGTGAGAGAACCCCAGTTAGGTGCTAATAGTCCTTTATAACCCTTCAATACCTGCCAATCTTCCTTTAAAGGGAGTCTCTGCACTATAGCACTAGCAGCCATAGCCAGTGTGGGCTAATGCAGGAGTGTAGAGATCATTGCAGAAGGCAGCACAGAATCTGAAGTAAGAAACGTGAATCAACATGTCCTGTACATGCTACTTAGTTTGAAACTGGTATTTGTAGTAGTTTATTTATAAAGTGCCCACAGTATCACTAGCAGGAAATCCTGTTTGTTTTCATTGATGTTGTTTTAAATAGGTTCTAATACATAGCAAAATTCTTTTTGCTTGCCAAACTATATTTATTGACTTTTTTCTTCTTGAAGGATTGTTTTATTTGCCAATAAATAATTACAGCTAGCAAAAAAATAAAACTGGCAGTTTTCAAAGACTTAACAGTTCACTGTATTCCATAGCATAAAGTCTGAAAAATCTTTACGAAGAAGTTAATGTCATCGTTTGCTGTGCTGTTGTCTTTTAAAATCAATGAGGTGGGGTTAAGCAAGAGAGTGCAAGGGGAAAGAAAGTTTTAAAGATCTTAGAGAACTAAAAATCTTACTTTATACTGTTAATTATACTAAAAAACAAAACAGAATCTCAAATTTCGAAATCAGTACTCTGCGGACTCTTTCATATGTATGGAGGTCACTCATAGTTTTTGCATTAATCAATATTTTCTAATGAACGTATAATGTGTTCAAATTCCATGACAGACACTTTCTTTTATGTCTTCAAGTTTAAGTTCTTCAGGTATTTATTTTTACACAACTCTTCAAACATTTCTAACTCATTTTTGACTCTGTATCTTCTCAAGAACTACCTTAAAATAATTTCTGGTTTATGCCAACAAAGAAGGGAATGGCAGCAAGATCACATTCTTCCGTCACTTGAGAAGTATTTTTTACATTCCATACATGGGTACTTGATCAGACAGGTTGCTAAAATTTTTGCCGTGTCAAAGTCATTTCTAAGAATCAATAGCTTTTTCCATTTTCTTTTAACCTTCCTGTTAATAAGTTCTGCAGTTGATATTACCATTAAAAAAAAATGGAAGAAATCTTTGGCAGAGACAGTCCACAAAATAATTGCCAAAGTACTTAAATAAAACCTACATACACTCAGATTATAAGTAATTATATTTATGAGTATAAACATTGACATAATGTAGACTTGTAGAAAACATATAAATCTGTAAAGTATTTATATTGTCACAAATAGTTCTAAAAAGTATTCAACAAACTGAATGAAGAATTTGAATTTTATCATTCACCTGTCCTTCAGTGGAATTAGTAATGAAATAATTCGTTGCTTTTATACAAGTTGATGTTAAGATTTGAAAAATAGGAAACAACATTGCTGACCATGCTAACCATGTGGTATTCTAAAATTATGGCTCCTATCCTTTTGATTGAATTTGTCAACCGTGTGCCAAATAGAATGTTCTTTGGATCAAGACAAAAGAATCTTTAAAATACTTAACCAAGTACTTAAAATTGTACCATATTTTGGGCTTCTTTCTTACTTGAGCCATGACTTTCTTGTACCGATTTTGTTTATCCTGCCTTAAATTTCTGATTACATTTATTTATTTATTTATTTATTTATTTACTTAATTTATTTTTTTGAGACAGAGTGTCACTCTGTTGCCCAGGCTGGAGTGCAGTGGTACTGTCTCAGCTCACTGCAACCTTTGCCTCCTGGGTTTAAGTGATTCTCCTGCCTCAGCCTTTCGAGTAGCTGAGACTACAGGTGTGCACCACCACGCCTGGCTAATTTTTGTATTTTTAGTAGAGACAGGGTTTCGCCATACTGGCCAGGCTGGTCTCGAACTCCTGACATCAACTGATCTGCCAGCCTTGGTCTCCCAAAGTGCTGGGATTACAGGCCTGAGCCACCGTGCCTGGCCACCTTTCTTTTTTTTTGGATCTTGTGCATCATTATTTCAGCTCTTCCCATCCTGTCACTCTTAATTTCTGTTTTATGAGGTCTCCCTTTACGCCAGGGCAGTCCATCTCCCTGTTGCTGTCTAGACCTGTGTGTGGCTCTCCAGTTTGCTGCACAGTTTTCATCCTAGGATTTGTCTTCTCTTCTGCATTGGTTTGGCTGTGTCTCAGATTCTGTATCTTCTATCTTGCTTTATTTCCTCTTCAAGTAATTTCCAAACAGAAATTTTCTGAATATAGAATTCATATTTTAACATTACATCCTTTCAAAACTTTTAAGATGTTATTCTTTCTCTTTTCTTGCTTCTAGTAACTGATTTCAGAATGAATCAATCTTTGTAGACGTTTTCTCATGGAAGATAATTTTTTTAATCTCAATTTTTTTTCATTTTTGTATTCTGAAATCTCATAAGGAGGTGTCTAGGAATGGATCTTCCTTCATTTACTGTGATCTCCACTTATAGATGCTTGCAACTTGAAGATCTTTGGCTTTCATCTCTGAGAAATTTTCCTTAATATTATTTGATAGTTTTCTCTTTCGTTTTTCCCCTTGATGTCTCTCTTTCTGGTATCCTAATAGACAGATGTTATACTTTCTGGACAGATTCTTTCATCTTTAAATTTCTGAAACATAGACTTAGAAATTTCTTCAACTTGATTTCAAGTCTTTTTTATCAATGTATTTGAAATATTTATTTGTATAAATATAAAATCGTGTCCACTTCCTCATTGTTTTTAAGTAGCATTTCATTTTCTAGCATAGAAATAAGTTGTCTATGAATAAAAAAATATTTTTAAGAAGCCTTGTACCCTGATAACGTAAAATATTCTGTATTCACTTAAAAATTTAATAAAGTGGTATTACAACTGTATTTATAAAGTTAATGCAGTCATAATATTATAGTTTTTAATAGGAATATTATTTGTTTCCTCTACTCAAATTATTCTAAAAATTTATTTTTAAGATCTATATCACATTTATTCATCAAGATTGATATTTTCTATGGAGTTATTGACACCTCTTCCCAAGGGCAATATTAGCTACTTTGTACAAGTTAATCTTCTTCCTTGTTCACCTGTGTATCACCCCCTACTTCATCTCTGTACCTTATCTCCACTGTCTTGCACATTGATGTAGGTGCTCAACTAACATTTGTGGAAGAGAATGAAGGCAGCTATTGAGATGGCCTTATTAATGTCAGAAGCCAGTGTTTCTTCTACTTGTGTTTTTTTGAGAATTTTTAAAAATAACTTTTTATTTCTAAATGAAAGTCTCAAATATGATAAGGCTTTTTTAGTTTAGAAAAGATTGTACATCAAAAGGTTTCATATTCTTATTATGGACAACACATTCACATGCCATTTCGGGTGGGTCTGTTATTCTTAAACAATGAGCTTTTCTTTGTAGATGGTGATTCTTGTACATGGAAATGGAGCTGATTCTCTCTCATCATAATCATAGGATTGTTTAATGAAGAAATACATTTATGATAGAAAAAGCATTGACATCCAATTGATTTTAAAAATCAAAGCATGAGTTAGTTAAAGGATTATTTTTAAGGGGGAACCTGTAGAAAGTAAATGTTCTGCTGAATTGTATTTGCCAAAATGTATCAAAGAAATCATTGTGAGCCTTAAGGTTCTTTTGTTTATTCTCTCTTTTTTTTTTTTTTTTTTTTTTTTGAGACGGAGTCTCGCTCTGTGGCCCAGGTGGAAGTGCAGTGGCGCAATCTCGGCTCACTGCAAGCTCCGCCTCCCGGGTTCACGCCATTCTCCTGCCTCAGCCTCCCGAGTAGCTGGGACTACAGGCGCCCGCCATCACGCCCGGCTAATTTTTTTGTATTTTTAGTAGAGACGGGGTTTCACCGTGTTAGCCAGGATGGTCTCGATCTCCTGACCTCGTGATCCGCCCGCCTCGGCCTCCCAAAGTGCTGGGATTACAAGCGTGAGCCACCGCGCCCGGCCTGTTTATTCTCTTTGCCTAGCACTTGACCATTAAAGATTTGAGATGAAAAGAAAGAGATATGGCTACTAAAAAGTCTCTCTTTTCAATGCAGTCCTAATAACAAAGTGTGAAATCTGGGACTCAGCCAAGTGTTATTAATATCTTAAAATGATTTTTAAATGTTGCATTTATTAAAATTTAATATAGCAGAAAAGCATCAATTATAGAAATAGTTCTGTGAGTATGAACAACAAATGAAAACTTGATTAAAGTTAGCCATATCAAGCATTCTTCACTTGAAGTATCTTGCCAGCTTCTGAGTAATGCTTTGATTTGGTTTGAACCTTTTGTATGCAACAATTTTTAATGCAAGTTACTACAGTTCTTTCTGAATAATATAGGTCATGAGAAGTTCATTTGTAGGTGGGGCAGCTGTACTACTTTGGGGGACTGTCTTAATAGATCCATTTCATTAATTGTCATGAATTTTTTATTAACAAAACCAGTACATCAGGTTTAGCCAGCTGAAAACTGTTCTCATAGTTGTTATCTTTATTGTCAGAAAGAATATTGTGAAAATAAGGAATTACTGCACATGCTTTAACTCTTGATTAAACAGAAGAATGGCACTATCCATGAAAAATAACTTAGGGGCATATTATCAAGTTGACGTATAGTGTTTTCAGTTTTGCAGCTCCCATTAACTTTAAAGCCTTGTGCTTTAACTTCAGTGTCTTCCAGTTAGGAATAATGCCAGAGCCGTCTGTTAGGTACTCAAGAGTTAATGGGATTAATGTCAAGTAGCAGGATGTTCATTCTCTCTTCCTTAAGCTTTATTCCTTAGGTATTTTTAGATAAATGTCCTTCTAAGGAATTTCTTTTAGAAACCTTAGGCAATGGTATTAAGAAGCAGCAGTAATGGATTGGAAAATGAATGATGTTAGGATGTGCATTTTATTTACCAATGAAAGAAATTTCCTTCAATTCCCATCTGATAATCTTTATTATTAAGTCATACATAGAGCTTTAAAAGTATGATTTTTTTAACTTCAAGAAGTCTCAAGAGATTTCTTAGGCATATGATAGGCCGTTATATTGTTAGCCATATTCTTTGTGTCTTCAAGGCCATAATCACTTTTTACTTCCTACATCTTGTGAGATAATTAGTAGCATGAATTATCTTTATTTAAATGGTTTTAAAAGTGAAACAGGGAGGCGCTTAGTGGTTTTTTTCAGGATCCCATAACTAACCTTTGATACAGTACTTAATAGAACCTGGAATTTATATTTATACTCATTGTATTTGATTAAACATTTGTCTTATAAAATTTTAAGGGTGAAAAAGTCTTGAGAAAATCATGTTTTGAAAAACAAAAGTTATATAGTCTTTGGAAGAAGGTATATTATGGCTGGAATCTTGGCTTTACCCTTTACCTGCTTGACTCTGAGTAATTATTTGACCTGTTTAGCTCCATTTTTTCATTTTAAATGGAATGGTAACTACCTTTCAAAATTATTGTACACATTGAATACCATGTTTATAAGTGCCCAAAAAAGGTACTCACTAAAATAATTCGTGTCATTTTAATATTATCTACACATTTGGAATTAAACCTTAAAAAAATAAGTTAAACAGAATTAGCCAAAGTAACATGGTTTGTTAGTGACAAGCTTGCAATTAGAACCAAAGCATCCTAATCAAAACCAATATTCTTTGCAGATGCATTCTTTTATTTATTGAAATTATCTAGGCTATTTAGTCAGTTACTCATTAGTGAAAACCACACTGTCCAGTATCATCACTTTTCTTTTTTCATCTCCCAAATTCAAGATTTGAATGGTTGTCATTTAGGCCACAATTCCAGAAGTTTTTCCATGTGTGCGATTTAAATAATCTGGTCATTTTTAGAGGGATACTATCAAGCTGTTTTATAATCAGAAGTTTTTCAACAGCTATTTATGAGACTCTGCAAAGTGGATCTGGTTAGCCATGACCTGGAATAAATAAGGAATTGACACACTATGTCATACATTTGCCCCAGTGTCAATATCTGCTGATTCATGGAGTCGTGTTTTATATACTAGCTCTGCTCATGACCTGTGTGCCCTCTGACCAGAGCTATGCTCATGGCTCCAGATTCCTTACTCCAACTGGATTACAGGCCTCAGGGTGCTCCCTGAGTTTGGTCTTCTCTGAGGCCAATCTTAATTGGCAGTCTTGATGTGGATCTTCTAACCCTCAATTTCCCATACTGCCTAGGCAGTCTACCACAGAAGGTGTAGTGATAGTGTTAGCTAACACTTACATAGACCTTATTTTTGGCAGTCCTTTTATATTTATAATTTGAGCTGATGCTCATAACAGCTGTGTGAAATAAGCAGTATTATCTGTCTTACAATTGAGAAATCTAAAATTCAGTTAAGTAATTTCCCCAAAGTCATAGTGATATTGAATGAAACAGCCCAAGTTTTTACTACAAATCCCATATTGTTTTCAACTTTCAATCATGGTTCATGATCCTGCTGCTGACAGTTGATAATAAAAGTATCCTATTATAAAAACAGAATGAAAATATATAAAGTGCCTATTGTGATATGAGAGTTTTCATCATATGAAGCATAAAGAAGCATGTATGTATAAATCCATGTGGTAAATAAAGTATTGTCAAAGTATTAACTAGGTAATAAATTTTACTTCTCTCGTTTTTCTCTCAGTACTGAGCACATGGGAGGTAGCTGATAATTGTTTCTGATTATTTCATTTAGAATACCAGAAAAAGGGCAATATCGATTATAAAAAATTCTTACTGTGATATATTGTAACCATCTTATAGGAATTTTTTTCACTGTTTGTGATAATAATTATCATATGTCTTTTCCTTGAACTGCCTCTACATACTCCTCTGGATTTTTTAACCCCAACCTGTATGCTGATGACTCCCAAATGCAGAAGCCACATCTCTCTCTCTTTAGTTTCAGTTTGTACATCAAAACTATCTGCTGGACATTTTCAGTTGATATTTCATGGTAAACCCAATTCAGAATGTATAAAATGGAAGGCAGCAATGTCCTTTTTAAAACTGCTCTTTCTTCTGAATTACTATGAGTCAACAAATTGCATCAATTTTACTTCTTAAATATTTGTTGAATATGTTTTCTCTTTTAATCGTTAATACTAATATCCTATTCAGATCTTCATTATATATCACTTGAAACTACAGAAATAGCTCCCTAAATAATTTCTCTACACCTGATTTTGTTCTCTTCAAATTCATTCCTCACTCTTTCTTGACTGCCATTTACCTTAAAACCATTCAATAATAGTCTTCCATTTCCACAGGATAATATTATAGTTTTAAAGCCTTCTCATTATCTAACCCATGACTGCCTCTTTGTCTTCATCTTTTGCTCTTGTCGTGTACTTGAGGCCAAACTGCTTTAGTTATCTGTATACTGTTATTTTTCTCACCAGTATACTTTTGCTCATGCTGCCTCATGCTTTTTTTCAGGAACTGTTCTCTTGTAAATAACTTACTGCCACTCTCCCCTCTCATTCACCAGTCAAATTAGGTGTGCTGCTTCTCTGCTCCCAAATTCGATTATTATCTGCCTTCTCAAGTTGCACTTTGAGTTTCTTAAGGCAAGGATGCTCTTACTGAGTTTATAACTCTAGGGCAACTAATGTGTTTATATTATAGATATGAATTTTTTTCTTCATGCACTTTCAGAAATTTGGTGGTGTTCTGTGAAAATTACGTGATTTTAATTTTTTAAATGTGTTTCATTGTGATGTCAATAATCTCCTTAATAGCTCAGATTTAGTAAGTCTATGTTTACCAAATGGGATTTATTATATTTATATGTTATTTTCCCATTAAATTAATTATTTGTTATATTCTGTTATTCAATTGTGTTTCAATAAATTGCAAAAATATAGGATGTGCTGACAGCGTTATTGTAGAATCCTTGGTCTTATCAATATCACGTAGAAGAAGGTTTCTTCTACGTGATATTAATATTGGTAACTTTTTTGTGAAGTTATCATACTCGTTGCAGGAATAAAATAAATAAGACATAGGTCAGTTTTCAGTCCTTTGCCTATCCAAATTAGTCTTCTTTCATATATTCCATAATTGAATCTATCTTTTAAATAATGTATATTTTCTTGAATAGTTAACAAGTCAGATACATATTCCTCAACCTAAATAAATGTTGCTAAATGATACCTGTCCATAGTATATTCCCCAGATGAAGAACAAATTATAGCCTGGGACCCTGTTCATACTTATATTATGGGTAAGTTCTACACAAAGCCATAATAGACACGTATTAAATGAAAAACAAGCATATTGTACCTATGAATTTTTCAGATAAAGGAAATACAATTTTTATTAGTGAAAAGACCCTAACATTCTTTGTAAGCTCAGCATCATTGCTATCTTGCCGTAATCCACTATTTCAATCCCAAGCCAGGTAAATATGGAATTATAAGGGCAATAAACATTACCCTGCTAAATTAAAATTTAATTTAATTTAAATTTGCTTGTTAGATTGGCTTATGTGTGTTTATTATTGACTTGTTTCAAAGAGATCTCGTAGTTGTATTTGTCACTTCCAAAAGTAAATTTCATATAGGCAGTGATTACCAGAAGGTAGACAGAGATATTGAAGTACTACAAAATCTAGTGTTTACATTTCAGACCTTTTCTTAATATGAAAAAAGCTCATTGTAATTTTATTTTCTTATAAAAATATAGAATCTTTTGGAATAAAGTATGAACATATGAAAACTCACTCTACAGACAACCTTCAAGGAATTGTTTTTACAGTTGACTAGTTCTTGAAAATTGTAACTAATATCCTTTTTAATATTTGCATAATAATTGGATATATCTTTACTATTGAAAAGGACATATTGCAGCAATATATACTTTGTTGATAATTTATTTTAGAGCTATACATAATGTAAAAAGACTCGTCATGAAAAGATAAAATTTGAAATAAAGCATTTGTTATAAAGAATTGGCATCTGGGGACTTTGGTGTAGAGTATACAGTAGAAAATTCATGAGAGATAAGAGCCTCTTAGACCAGGGCTGTAGGTGAGCTCTCCAGAAAGGGACTTTACCTACAAGTGGGTGTTTCCTAAATCTGGATAAAATCTTCATTCTGAAAGTACCACAAAAGTAGGTTCTTGATCTTTCTCATTCATTGCTCTTTCCTTAGTGCCTTGAACAGTCTGGCACAAAGTAGGTGCTCTGAATAAATGAGAATAGACATGGCTTCAACCAGACTCAAAAGTTTCCACACACTGGGTTTCCAGCAATCAGAAAATGGGTTATTATTTTCTTGGTTTCACAAAACACTTGGCAGTAGTGAGATGAGGACACTATCCTTTCCTCAGGATAATCTTCTCTCCCTCACTCACCTTACTCTACAAGTTGGTACTTGTGCTCTACTCTGCAAGTTTCTATTTAGCACTAGCCATATTTGTAATCCCATAATGAACTAAATATTTTCAGCAAAGATTTTCTCATACCACCATGCTGATACACATGACCTTTTCTACCTGAAACACCCTTTATTTTTCCTTGTTTAACTCTTACTCCTTTTTCAAGACTTAATCTGGGTTAAGTGCTCCTTGTATGTATTCCTATATGTCCTTGTTCTTGTCTTTTGTAATTACCCAAATCAGACAATTTCTGAGGAAACATATAACTAAATCACCTGTAGTATCACACCACAAATTATTTGGGTTCACAAGTTACCTGGCTGAAGCATTTGCTGCCTGCAAGAAACCCACCTCATGGATAGACACTCATACACTTAAACATGGGTTGAAAACCCCATGTTTTTCATGGGTAGACACTCATACACTCAGACATGGGTTGAAAAAGATATACCATACAGATGGAAAACAAAAATGAGCAAGAGTAGCTATACTTATATCAGATAAAACAGACATTAATCAAAAACAGTAAAAAAAAAAGATAAAGTCATTATATAATAATAAAGAGTTCAACTCAACAAAAAGATGTAACTATCCTAAATATATATGCACCCAGAGTTGTAAAACAAATACTCCTAGACCTACAAAAAGAGATAAACAGCAATACAATAATAGTGGAAGACTTCAACATCCCAATGCCAGCATTAGATAGATCACTGAGGCAGAAAATCAACAAAGAAATTCTGGGCTTAAGCTAAGCTCTAGACCAAATGAAACTAATAGACATTCTCAGAACATTCTATCCAACAATGGCAGAATATACATTTTTCTCATTTGTACATGGATCATTTTACACAATAGATAATATGTTGGGCCATAAAACAAGTCTTAATAAATTCAACAGAATGGACATCATACCAAGTATTTTCTTCTTGGACCACAGTGGAATAAAACTAGAAATCAATACCAAGAGGAACTATCAAAACTATGTAAATACACTGAAGCCAGTCACAGTGGCTCATGCCTGTAATGCCAGGAGGCTAAAGTGAGAGGATCACTTGAAGTCAGGAGTTTGAGACCAGCCTGGCAAACATGGGGAAACCCCGTCTCTACTAAAAAAAAAATACACACACACACATACACACAGACACACACACACTTAGCTGGGCATAGTGGCACATGCCTGTAGTCCCAGCTACTTAGGACGCTGAGGCAGGAGAATCACTTGAACCCTGGGAGACAGAGGTTGCAGTGAGCCGAGATTGTGCCGCTGCACTCCAGCCTGGGCAACAGAGAGAGACTGTCAATAAATAAATAAATAAATAAATAAATAAATAAATAAATAGAAAATAAACAGTTTGTTTCTGAATGATCCTTGGATAAATGACAAAATTCAGGGAGAAACTTAAAAGTTATTGAAACAAATGAAAATAGAGACACAACATACCAAATCTGGGATACAGCAAAAGCAGTGCTAAGAGGAAAGTTTATAGCATTGAATGTCTACATCAAAAAGATAAAAAGGTCTTGAATTAACAACCTAATGCCACACCTCACCCCTAGGAACTAGAAAAACAAGAAGAAACTAAATCCAAAGCTAGCAGAAGAAAAGAAATAACAAAGCTCAGAGCAGAACTAAATGACACTGAGATGAAAAAAATGAATCAAAGAATCAACAAAATGAAGAGTTGGTTATTTGAAAAGAAAAACAAAATTGATAAACGACTAGCTAGAATAACCAATAACAAAAGAGAGAAGATTCACATAAGTAAAATCAGAAATGATAATGGTGACAATACAACTGATATCAAAAAAGTACAAAAGATCATCAGAAATACTGAGTGCCTCTGTGCACACAAACTAGAAAACCTAGAGGAAATGGATATATTCCTGGAAACATACAACCTCCCCAGATTGAACCACGAAGAAATAGAAACCCTGATCAGACCTGTAATGAGTAATAAAATTGAAACAGTAATGAAAATTTTTCCAACAACAACAAAAAGCCTAGTACCAGAAGGATTCACAGACAAATTTTAGTACATGTACAAAGAAGAGCTGGTACCAATCTTCTTGAAACTGTTCTAAAAAATTGAAGAGGAGGGATTTCTCCCTAACCCGTTCTATGAAACCATCATCACCCTAATAGCAAAGCCAGGGAAGGACACATACACACAAAGAAAACTACAGGCCAACATCCCTAAAAAGCATAGATGTAAAAATCTGCTACAAAATTTTAGCAAACAGGCTGGGTGGGCGTGGTGGCTCATGCCTATAATCCCAGCACTTTAGGAGGCCGGGGTGGGCAGATAAGTTGAGGTCAGGAGTTTGAGACCAGCCTGGCCGACATGGTGAAACCCTGTCTCTACTAAAAATACAAAAATTAGCCGGGCATGGTGGCTGGCAGGTGCCTGTAACCGCAGCTACTCAGGAGGCTGAGGCAAGAGAATTGCTTGAACCTGGGAGGCAGAGGTTTCAGTGAGCTGAGATTGTGCCACTGCACTCCAGCCTGGATGACAGCAAGACTCCATCTCAAAATAATAGTAAAATAATAATAATAATAATAATAATAATAAAATTCTAGCAAAGCAAATCCAATAGCACATCAAGAAGTTAATACACCACAATCAAATGGGTTTCATTCCAGGGAGGCAAAGATGGTTCAACATATGCAAATCAACAAATGTAATTCACTACATAAACAGAATTAAAGACAAAAACCTTATGATCATCTCAATAGGTGAAGAAAAAGCATTTGATGAAATCCAACATCTCTTCATGATAAAAACCTTCAACAAACTAGGCCTTGAAGGAGCATACCTCAAAATAATAAGAGCCATATACAACAGACCCACAGCCAATATCTTACTGAATGGGAAAAAGTTGAAAGCATTTCCCCTAAGAACCAGAACAAGACACCCACTTTCACCCCTCCCATTAAACATAATACTGGAAATTCTAGCCAAAGCAATCAGGCAAGAGAAAGAAATAGAAGGCATCCAAATTGGAAAAGAGGAAATTAAATTATCCCTGTTCACTGATGACATGATCTTACACCTAGAAAACCCTGATGGCACCTCCCAAAGACTCCTAGATTTGATAAATGACTTCAGTAAAGTTTCGGGATACAAAGACAATGTATAAAATCAGTAGCATTTCCATATACCAATAACATTCAAGCTGAGAACCAAATCAAGAACTCAGTCCCATTTACAATAGCCACACAAGAAATAAAATCCTAGGAATATGCTTAACCAAGAAGGTGAAAGACCTCTACAAGGAGAACTACAAAACACTGAAGAAAGAAATTCTAGGTGACGCAAATGGAAAAACATGCCATGTTCATGGATCAAAGAAATCAATATCATTAAAATGATCATATTCCCCAAAGGAATATACAGATTCAACATAATTCCTATCAAATTACCAGCATCATATTTCACAGAATTAGAAAAAAATACTCCTAAAATTCACTTGCAACCAAAAAAGAGCCTGGATAACCAAAGCAATTTTAAGCAAAAAGGACAAAGCTGGTGGAGGCATCACATTACCTGACTTCAAATTATACTACAAGGCTATAGTAAACAAAACAGTATGGTACTTGTATTAGTCTGTTTTCACACTGCTGATAAAGACATACCTGAGACTGGGCAATTTACAAAAGAAAGAGGTTTTTGGACTTACAGTTCCACATGGCTGGGGAGGCCTCACAATCATGGCAGAAGGCAAGGAGGAGCAAGTCAAATCTTATGTGGATGTCAGTGGGCAAAGAGAGAGCTTGTGCAAGGGAACTCTCATTTTTAAAACCATCAGATCACATGAGACCCATTCACTATCATAAGAACAGCACAGGAAAGACCCTCCCCTATAATTCAGTCATCTCCCACCAGGTCCCTCCTACAACCCATGGGAATTACGTGAGGTACAGGATGAGATTTTGGTAGGGACACAGAGCCAAACTATATCATTCTGCCCCTGGCCCCCTCCCAAATCTCATATCTTCACATTTCAAAACCAATCATGCCTTCAGAACAGTCCCCCAAACAGTCTGCTTATGAGCTGGTAAAATCAAAAGCAGGTTAGTTACTTCCTAGATACAATGGGGGTTCAGGCATTGGGTAAATACAGCCATTTCAAATGGGAGAAATTGGCCAAAACAAAGGGGCTATAGGACCCATGCAAGTCCAAAATCCAGTGAGGCAGTCACATCTTAAAGCTCCAAAATGATCTCCTTTGACTCCATGTTTCACATCCAGGTCATGCTGATGCAAGAGGTAGGTTCCCAGAGTCTCAGGCAGCTCCACCCTGTGACTTTGCAGGGTACAGCTTCCCTCCCAACTGCCTTCATGGGCTGGTGTTGAGTGTCTGCAACTTTTCTAGGCACACAGTGCAAGCTGTCAGTAGATCTACCATTCTGGGGTCTGGAAGACAGTGGCCCTCTTCTCACAGCTCCACTAGATGGTGCCCTAGTAGAGACTCTGTGTAGGGGCTCCCACCCCACATTTCCCTTCTGCACTGCCCTAGCAGAGGTTCTCCATGAGGACCCCATCCCTACAGCAGACTTCTGCCTGGGCATCCAGGCATTTCCATACATCTTCTGAAATCTAGGCAGAGGTTCCCAAACCTCAATTCTTGACTTCTGTGCACTCACAGGCTTAACACCACGTGGAAGCTGCCAAGGCTTGAGGCTTGCACCCTCTGAAGCCATGGCCTGAGCTCTACATTGGCCCCTTTCAGCCACAGCTGGAGTGGCTGGGATGCAGGGCACCAAGTCCCTAGGCTGCACACAGCACGGGGACCCTGGGGCTGGCCCACAAAACCACTTTTTCCTCCTAGGCCTGTGGGCCTGTGATGGGAGGGGCTGCTGTGAAGACCTCTGACATGTCCTGGAGACATTTCTCCATTGTCTTGGGGATTAACATTTGGTTCCAAGCTACTTATGCAAATTTCTGCAACTGGCTTCAATTTCTTCTCAGAAAATGGGATTTTCTTTTCTATTGAACTGTCAGGCTGCAAATTTTCTAAACTTTTATGCTCTGTTTCCTTTCTGAAACTGAATGCCTTTAACAGCACCCAAGTCACCTCTGGAATGCTTTGCTGCTTAGAAATTTCTTCCACCAGATACCCTAAATCATGTCTCTCAAGTTCAAAGTTCTACAAATCTCTAGGGCAGGGACAAAATGCTGCCAGTCGCTTTATTAAAACATAACAGGAGTGACCTTTTCTCCAGTTCCCAACAAGTTTCTCTTCTCCATTTGAGACCACCTCAGCCTGTACCTTATTGTTCATACCACTATCAGCATTTTTGTCCAAGCCCTTTAACAAGTCTCTAGGAAGTTCCAAACTTTCCCATATTTTCCTGTCTTCTTCTGAGCCCTCCAAACTGTTCCATCCCCTGCCTGTTACCTTATTCCAAAGTCACTTCCACATTTTCGGGTATCTTTTCAGCAATGCCCCATTCTACTGGTACCAAATTACTGTATTAGTCTGTTTTCATGCTGCTGATAAAGACATACCTGAGACTGGGCAATTTACAAAAGAAGTAGGTTTATTGCACTTAGCGTTTCACATGTCTGGGGAGGCCTCACAATCATGGCAGAAGGCAAGGAGGAGCAAGTCACATCTTATGTGGATGTCAGCAGGCTAAGAGAGAGCTTGTGTAAGCAAACTCCCATTTTTAAAACCATCAGATCTCATGAGACCCACTCACTCACTGTCAGAAGAACAGCACAGGAAAGACCCACCCCCGTAACTTAATCATGTCCAACCGGGTCCCTCCCACAACACATGGGAATTATGTGGGCTACAGGATGAGATTTGGGTGGGGACACAGAGCCAAATTATATCAGTACAGATAGAAAAATAGACATATAGATCAATGGAACAGAACAAAGAACCCAAAAATAAAGCTGCATGCCTACAACCAACTGATCTTTGACGGAGTTGATAAAAATATACAGTGGAGAAAGGACACACTATTCAATACATGGTGTTGGAAAAATTGGATAGCCATATGCAGAATAGTTAAACTGGACCCCTCTCTCTCACCATATACAGGAATTAACTCAAGATGGATTAAAGATTTAAACATAAGATCTGAAACTATGAAAATCCTACAGTAAAACTCAGAAAAACTCTTCCGGACATCAGCCTAAGCAAAGATTTTATAACTAAGACCTCAAAAGCAAATGTGACAAAAACAAAAATAAACAAATGGGACTCAATTAAACTAAAAAGCTTCTTGACAGCAAAAGGAATAATCAACACATTAAACTGACAACCTACAGAAGAGAGGAGATATTTGCTGTAAACTATGCATTGAACAAAGGACTAACACCAAGAATCTACAAGAAACTCAAATAGCTCAACAACAACAAAAACAACCCAATTAAAAATTGGGAAAAGGACATAAACAGATATTTCCCAAAGGATGACATACATGTGGCCAACAAACATATGAAAACAATACTCAAATCACTAAACAGAAGAAGAACGCAAATTAAAACCACTATAAGATACCATCTCACACCAGTCAGAATTGCTATTATAAAATGTCAGAAAACAAAGATGGTAGCAAAGATGTGGAGGAAAGGAACCACTATACACTTTTCGTGGGAATGTAAATTAGTACAACCTCTATGGAAAACAGTATGGAGATTTCTCAAAGAAATAAAAATGGAACTACCATTCAGCACAGCAATTCCACTACTGGATAATCTACCCAAAGAAAAAGACACCTGCACTTGTGCATTTATCTCAACACTAGTAGAGCCGTGGACTGAACCTAAGTGTTCATCCAGTGGATGACTGGATAAAGAAAATGTGGTATATATACACTATGGAATAGTACACAGCCATGAAAAAGAATGAAAATATGTCATTTGGAGCAACATAGATGGATCTCGAGGTCATTATCCTAAGAGAAATAACTCAGAAACAGAAAATCAATTACTCTGTGTTCTCATAACTTATAAGTGGGAGCTAAACAATGGATACACGTGGAAATACAGAGGAGAATAATAGACACTGGGGATTCCAAAGTGGGGTAGGAGGAAGAAGGAGGTGAGGGTTGAAAAATTGCCTGTTGGGTACAATGTTCACTATTTGGGTGGTGGCTGTACTAAAAGCCCAGACTTCACCACTATGCAATGTATCCATGTAACAGAACTACCCATGTATCCTCTGAATCCATAAAAATAAAAATGAATTTTTAAAAAGCTGGCTGGTAAAGGTTAGTTAATGCAACTTATCTTTTCACATATAAGCAATTGTGTTTCAGTGCCAGAAAAAAATTTTAATTTCCTGTTAAAGTGCCTATTTTAGCATCAGTGTAACAAATTTTTGTTTTTTTATTTCCATGAGTAATTGGTTACCTGTGCAGCCTGAGTTAACTAGCATCATATTTTCAACTTATTTCAGTGAAGTTTTGTTATCATTTTAGATTGAAGCCCCAGACATGTATCTGCTGGCCTCTCCCTTGTTCTGATCTGACGTTGATCTCTGGCCAAAATTTGAGAAGTAGGAAAATAACTTTATAATAAACATTTCAGAGATCAAAATCAATATAGACATGTCTTCAGGAGGCATAAACCAGAAATACTAATTTAAAAACATGAATATTCCATGCTGCCTTTCCGAACTTTGATATACTGTGGTCAGCAATGTACAAAATGAAACTCCTTGAAGTTGGAACATGGTGGAACATGGTGCCTTACTCTTTCAAAGTGATACAATACTGAAATAATCTTTAGACAGGATTTTAGGAACAATTACATTACACTTAGACCATCAACAGCATCTTAAAAACTAACTTAATATGTCACTAATAGTAGGAAACTATTTCTCTTCCATACACCAGCTATGCAGGCAAAAACATATATAAATATTCCTTTCAGACCAACACAAGGTAAAATAAGCAGGTCTTCCTAGTGTTGAGAAATGCACCATTATCACCTCAAATCTGGCAAATTTGTAATATTTGTTCATTCTGAAAACTGAACTTTAATGATTTTATTCTAATAATTTTTTCTTTATTTTTTCAATTTTAACCCTTTTGATATTGGATGCATCTTGTAGAGTCATTAATTCAATGTAGTATTTTCAGTCACCAGAACTTATTTCATACTTAGGAATGTAATTTGTGACTTTCTACAATTAGGCTATTAAAATTCCCACCTCGTAAGTCAGTCAATCTTTAGTAAGTGTCTTAAATTTTAGATTGAAATACATTTAAACTATTTCTCCTGCCAGAATAATAATAAAAAGTACTACTAACTCCCTTCCCAATCTGTAAGCATTAAATTAGTGTAAATTTAAAGAAATTAGACTCATTTCTAGACAGGACCTAAGCAATTATCAAGTATTCTAATAAAACTTAAATCTTAGGATATTTGTTTTATTTATTTAAAGAATAAAACTGCTAGTTTTTTTGCTTAGCTAGGAGTTAAATTAGATAAAACAAGGGGCTCAACAGATAATTTAAAAAGTCAATAGGCAAAGCCCAACCTGTACTATGTTGAATAAAAAGCAAAAATCCAAATGTCTTCTGATTTTTCCAGAGTGTCTTGCAACAGAAATTTTATAACATTTCCTTATGACAGCAGCTGTACAACAGGTTTTGAACCAGTCTAGTGTAGTGTTTAGTAAAGTGAAAGGGGTTGGGTTGTTTTATTCTTTTTAAGTTGGCATTTTACCAAAAGAGAAGTTTGGTGGTTGTTATTTTTCCCTCTTATGTTTAAGTGACAAAGTACTTGATTAAAGTGAACATGATTTTATATTAATTCTGATTTGTTCTTTTTCTGAGGAAGATAATAAAATGAAATAATCCAAATGCTTTTACACCTACACAGTATATTGCTGAGCAAATTATTTATGGAATGGAAGGCAAGATAAAGTTGCTTTTAAGAATCCTTTAACATATCAGTTTGATAACTAGCAAAACACCTTTACAGCCATTAAATATTTACCAAGACTTGGCTTTGGACAGGGGGGCAGTTTAGTGCACCAAATTTCACTCTATGCAATGCCATTGATTAGCTATCAGGAGGACATAGTTAATAAGTAACTTCAGGTATTACATGTAGAGCACTCTACATTCTTGTCAAATCTTTTCGCTGAAGATGACCTGAAAAAAAGTCAGTTACAACCAGCATTCACCCCACCAATGATTGCACAAGCACAACTTTGAAAGAAATAAAGGCCAGGCAAATCAGTTGAGCAGTACTTAGGCAATCTTTCCTAGCAACTGTTGTCATTGCTGCTGGACTTTAGAACTGAACATGTTTACATTTAATTAGAAAGGACACATAGTTTACAGCACAGTAGCTATCAATATCAGATCAGAATTGATTTCCGCTTTCTCCCCAGTGATTGCTTCCTTCAAGCTAATTAAAAAAGGCATATAATCAAATGGCTCACATAAATTTTAAAGTAAAGTAAACAATATTTCCTGGTGATCAAAACAAAAGTAAATGACATTCATCCTTATCATTAGCTACATTTTTTGAAATAATTCTGTTGCTTATAAATGTGATATAAAGCATGTTTAACATTATCAGACTGCAAAGAAGAAACCTCAATGAATGTTTTACTAAGTGCTTTAGCTCTCAAAGAAACAATAACCTTAATTTTATCTTTATAACCCTAAAACCTGTAGATAAAGCAATCTGATAGTACCTTGAGTTGACTTTGTTCAACTGTTCAATTTTCACATATTGTACAGAAAAACTGCTGAAAAATATAATGAAATAAATAACAACTTGGTTTTCTTTTAAATAAAGTGCATACAGCACTTGCATAATTTGCTTAAATTAGGGATCATCTTGGTGTAAATGATTAACACTTCTCTATAATTACTGTAGGCAAAATCATCAACAAAATTATGATAAATATCATTTTTTATAACTCCCTGTCTATTCTCTATAAAGAAACCTTCAAATTTCACAGGCTAACATTGTGGCAATTATAATAAGTTGTGGTGAAGTGATTTTAATATAGGAAATGTAAACGGAAGTAGAAGTTACCTTCGGGAGAATCACAGCCTTTCTTCCTTATCTATGGGATCTGCTATGCAATAGCACATCTAGAATGGAAGGCCATCAAGACTTAAGGAAATACAGATTGTGAGCAGGTCTTAAGAAACATTAATTAACTAATTCACAAATATTAAGCAGTCTTTGAGGTGCTAAAGATAAAATGGTGAGTAAAACCTCTATAAGGTTAGAGATTTTTGGCCGGGTGCGGTGGCTCATGCCTATAATCCCAGCACTTTGGGAGGCTGAGGTGGCGGATCACCTGAGGTCAGGAGTTGAAGACCAGCCTGGCCAACATGGTGAAAAGCCGTCTCTACTAAAAATACAAAAATTAGCCAGGTGTGGTGGTGTGCGCCTGTAATCCCAGCTACTCAGGAGGCTGAGGCAGGAGAATCACTTCAACCCGGCAGGCAGAGGTTGTAGTGAGCCGAGATCATGCCACTGCGCTCCAGCCTGGGTGACAGAGTGAGTCTCCATCTCAAAAAAAAAAAAAAAAAGAGAGATCAGAGATTTTGATCGGCTTTGTTTACTGTTGTATCCCCAAGCATTTTCTATGTGACAATATAGTATATAAACATATGTTTACATATACGTGTGTGTGTGTGTGTGTGCAATTGTGTGTGTGTAGTTGCTCAATAAATGTTTATTGAATAAATGCCGCTTTCAGGAATTATTTCACCACAAGTAAATGTTTACTTAACTGCCAGGGGGCTTCCAGTAGCACTTCTTTTCAGCATTCCAGGAAAACCACTGAAATCCACAATGATATTATAGTAATGAGAGTCAATGTAACATCCCCTTCCAGGATACATTAATTCATGAAGTTAGTTTTGCTTACTTTTCTTTCTTTCATTTCCTTTTGAAATCTTGGGGTATTTTTAAATTATTCTTAGTGTCCAGAAAGTAATTAGTCTGTAATCCACATTGGTTAACGATAGACTAGTCCTAAATATCCATACCTTATCTTCTGCAGGGCATATGCAAATCACAGATTCTTGTCATCCACTAAAACATAAAAAATTAAGAACAACATGAAACAGGTTTAAGCAACAAGTTATTAATTTATCTATTTCACAAATATTAAACCCTTTTCTAGGTAGTAGACAGAAATTAAATGGTGAAAAGACAGTTTCTCATGGGGTTTACTCTTTATCCGGTTGAAAGGTCTGAGTACTATGGGAGAACATGAGGGGATGACCTAAGCTGGACACTAGGTCAGATTTCTTGGAGACTCTCCTATCCAAGCTGAGATCCAAAGGATATGTAGGAGCTAGTTAAGTAAAGGGAGGTAGTGTCAGTGTTCTAGGGGACTTGAAGGTTATTCATCCTGACTGGAGTGTAGAGGTAAATAGGTGAATGATGAGAAATGAGCTATAAAGAGAGGCAAGAAAAGCTTTGTAAATGAGGTTTAAGAAATTTGGACTTTATCCTAGGAACAGTGAGGAGCCATCAAAGTGTTTTAATCCAGGGAGTGATATATTCATATTTGTGCTTTAGAAAACTCACTCAAGGCAAAGAACAACTGAAAAGACTATTGTGGTTTATTAGTCCATTCTTGCATTGCTATAAAGAGATACCTGAGACTGGGTAATTTATAAAAAAAGGAGGTTTAATTGACTCACAGTTCTGCAGGCTGTGTAGGAAGCATAGTGGCATCTGCTTCTGGAGAGGCAACAGGAAGTTTCCAATCATGGCAAAGGCAAAGGGGGAGCAGATATGTCACATAGCTAGAGCAGGAGGAAGAGAGAGAGAGAGCAGGGGGGTGCTACATACTTTTAAACAACCAGATCTGGTGAGAACTCACTCACTATCACAAGAACAGCACCAAGGAGTGGTACTAAACCATTCATGAGAAACCACCCCCATTATCTAATCACCTCCCACCAGACCCCACTTGCAACACTGGGATTACAATTTGACATGAGATTTGGGCAGGGACACAGATGCAAACCATATCATGTGGTAATTCACTTGAAAGAATAATGGCGGTCACTCTAAATTAAGATGGTGATAATGGGGCTTGCTATGGTTTGAATGTGTCCCCCAGAAGTTTATGGATTGGAAATTATTGCCACTATAACAATATTAAGAGGTGGGCCTTTAATAGGTGATCCAGCCATGAGGGCTCTGCCCTCATGAATTGCTTAATGCCATTATCATAGAAGAAGGTTAATTATCTTAGCAGTGCACTCCTAAAAAAAAGGATAAGGTCAGCCCCCATTTTCTCTCTCTTGTGTGTCCACCTTCCACCATGGGATGACCCTCACCAGATGCCAGTGCCATGCTCTTGGACTTTCCAGCTTCCAGAGCTAAATGAACTTCTATTATTTGTAAACTACCCAGTCTGTAGTTTTCTGTTATAGCCACAGAAAATGGACTAAGATGGGGATGGAAAGAAATTGAAAGATGCAAAGGAGATTTATGTGTAAAACAGCATAATTAGATTGTGAGGTGAGAGATAAATATTAAGGATGATGTATAGGTTTCTGCATGAACAACTGAGTAGATGGTGATGCCTAAGGAAAGGAGGAAGAAGAGAAAGAGCCAATTTGCAGAGGGGTATGAAATGAGATCATGAGTTCAATTTTAGACATTGAATTAAGATATTTGAAGAATGGTCACGTGGAGATGTTTATGAGGTGGTTATGAGGATCTGTTGCTTAGGATAGAAATCTGAGCTGGAGAGAAATACCTCAGAGTAAAAGGTCATTAGTTATATAGATGATCAAGTGAAGCCACCTGATATGGCTTGGATTTGTGTCCCCGCCCAAATCTCATGTTGAATCGTGATCCCCAGTGTTACGGGAGGGGCCTGGCGGGAGGTGATTGGATCATGGGGACGGATTTCCCCCTTGCTGTTCTCGTAATAGTGAGTTCTCATGACACCTGTTTGTTTTAAAGTATGTATCACCTCCTCTTCCTCTCTCTCTCCTGCTCTGCCATGTGAAGATGTGCCTGCTTTCCCTTCACCTTTCGTCATGCTTGTAAGTTTTCTGAGGCCTCCCCAGCCATGCTTCCTGCACAGCCTGCAGAACTGTGAGCCAATTAAACCCCTTTTCTTACAAATTACCCAGTCTCAGGTAGTTCTTTATAGTAACGTGATAACAGACTAATACACCGTCAGCGTGGGTTGCAATCAGGAGAGAGTAGGTAGAATGAGAAGACACAAGTTAAAGGTTGAGTAGAGGACGAGAAGCCCCCAAAGAAGACTGAAGAGCATCAAGGAAAGTAAGCAGAAACCAGAAGTGTATTGTCATGGAAATCAGGGAAAAAAGGCATTTCTAGAAAGAATTGGTCTCAGGTCAAATAAGATACTTGTAAAGTGTCTTTTAATGCAAAAGAGAGTAATAGACACTGGCAACTCCAAAATGAGGGATGTTGGGAGGTGGGTGAGGGTTGAAAATTTACCTATTGGTTATAGTGTTCACTGTTTCGGTAATGGGTATACTAAAAGCCCAGAATTCACCACTA
This sequence comes from Homo sapiens, assembly GCF_000001405.40. Classification (NCBI taxonomy): domain Eukaryota; kingdom Metazoa; phylum Chordata; class Mammalia; order Primates; family Hominidae; genus Homo; species Homo sapiens. The sequence continues at coordinate 37,471,045 of NC_000014.9, forward strand.
CACAATGTATCCATGTAGCAAAACTGCACATGTACTCACTGAATCTATACAAATAAATTTTTAAGTGTCTTTTGTATTTAGTAACATCATTGGAACACTTGGGGACAGAGAAGATTATAGACCCTTGAATTGAAGTTGAGAAGATAAAGACAGCAAACATAGACAATTTGATTCTAAATGAGATGATCCCAAACCAGGTCCAAGAGAAATCCCATCTTTTAGAATAAACAGGAATATTTTCATAATTTAGTGAGTCAAAATCCTTGACAGAAAACGACAACAAAATCTTCTAAGTAGTATGTCTGGTCCAATTAACTAAAAAAGTAAGTTCCTGGACTTTGTTATATTTCCCGGATTTGAGCCTCAGTATATCTCCATGTTCTCTTAGAATTCCAAAGCTATCCTACTCAGAGGAGGGTGAGGTGAGGCTTAACAGTTAGAGATCTGGTGTCTTATTAGAGAATGGGAACACTTGTAGCTATACAAACTGCTCCCTAGCCAGAGCAATTTTTTTGAAAGGCAAATATTCTTATGCTTTCTTTAAAATCCTTTAGTAGTTTCTCATTTGCCCTATGATAAAGACCAAAATATTCTATATTTCAGGAAGATTCTATGTGATCTGATCCCAACCACTTTTTTTTAATGCTCTCTGAACACTGCCTAACTGGGATTCATTTAGCTCTTCAGCCATCCTTTCTCTTACCATAGGCCTTTGTACGTGTTCCTCCCTGTACCTGAAAAATTTTCATCCACCCTCCTTCAAATTAATACCTACTTTTATCTTTAAATCTCAACTCAAATGTCACCTCCTTTGCTTTGTAGCATTTATAATAATTTGAAACATGTGTTTAGTCAGTACTCATCTCTAGCCCTAGCAAAGCGCCCAGCACATAGTAGTCACTCATTTATAGGAGGAAGGGAAGCAGGGCCTGAGGTATCTCAATGCAGTGACCCAATTCCAAGTAAAACAAAGCATATGCTTACAGTAGGCATGTACCAGCTGAACCCTATATTCAGCAATTCAATTAATCAAGTAGCTATTTAGAAACAGCTGTGTACAAGCACTGTGCATTTGTAGTAGTCTCATAAAATGAGTTTATTTAGACCTCATATCTGAAATCAGCATCAGTGCTTGTCCCTAAGCTGTATATAATGTAAAATAAAACTATGTATTTAACAAGACTTGATTTACTTTTCCTAAGGGAGTTGGGATCATTAATAAAATTGAAAAATATTGGCCCTATGTAAGAACAATTGATTATTTGCTATTATTAGGCTGGTGCAAAAGTAATTTTTGCAAAAGTAAAATTACTTTTGTACCAGCCTATACATTTTTAGTATAAAAATATATTCATGTTGATGTTATAGGGCATAATTTCCAATTATGGAGAAACTAACTAGTGAGAGTGTGCAGAGCACCTCAAAAATTCTTTTGGCTAGAACTGACCCTTATGCAGATGGCACTATTCTTTTCTGACTAAGTACCCCCATCTAAGTAGAATTAGGATGAAAAATGATATGATAGCTTATTTTTAACTAAGTGTCTTCACTGAAAAATCTTGTAAAGATAATTTTATCTAGCCTTCAATACTAGGCAGGAATACATCAACATAGTGAGAACATCTTATTTTTTTTTGTAAGGCATCAACATCCTATTGTACAATTCTAATAAGTCCTATTCTGAGCTGGATTATGTTACCCTCTGAAGCAACACAGAATTCTGTAAACTGCCTCTTCAAATACTTGAAGAGATTTATCATAGACCTTTAATTTCTTCTCACTTCCTGCCCAGTATGTTTTCTCAGCAGTTTTCCATAAAACCCAATATGTTTTACAGACCACTCACTACCTAGTAAGCCCGCCTATGGAGGTGCTTCAATGTATCCCTATTATAAATTGTAACAGGCATAACTGAATTCAGGTCTGATTAGGTCCAATTTAGACACTGCTGTAGCTTGGCTGTTTGGCCCCTACAAGCCTCATGTTGAAATTTAATCACCAGTGTGGTGGTGCTGGGAGGTGGAGCCTAGTGGGAGGTGTTGGGGTTATGGGAGCAGATCCTGCGTGATCGACTTGGTGCCTTTCTCATGGTAATGAGTGAGTTCTCACTCTATTAGTTACCACTCTATTTGTTCTTTCTCGATTAAAGATAGTTGTTAAAAGCATCCCACACCTCCCGCCTCTTTCTCCTGCTTCCTTTCTCACCATGTGATCTGTGTACAAGCCAGCTCCACCATGGGCAGAGGCAGCCTGAGGCCCTCACCAGAAGCCCAATTTTGAACTTGTCCAGACATAAGAACTGTGAGCCAAATAAACCTTTTTTTTTTCTTTAAAACGACCCCGCCTCAGGTATTATTTTATAGCAACACAAAGCAAATGAACACAGACACTATACTATTGCTGGCCATGTTTGACTGTTCCTTTGTATCTTGTCTAGTTTCACTCCTACTGAATTTGGTTAGCCAAATTCAGTTTTCACTCCTACTCTGTGTGTGTGAATGGGAGTAGGAGTGGAGCAGGGAATTCAATTAATAGACTTTCTTTATTAGAACAGTTTAGACTCACGGCACAATTAAGGAAGTAGCACAGAGTTCCCACATAACCTCCCCAGCACACAGTTTCCCCTTTTATTAATGTCTTGTATTGATGTGGCACATTTGTTAAAACTACTGAAAACATACTGATGTATTATCATTAGCTAAAGTCCATAGTTTACATTAAAGTTCACTCATTATATTGTACAGTTCTATGGCTTTGAAAAATGCAAAATGTCACATATTCATTATTACAGTATCATAGAGAGTTTCACCATACTAAAATACTAAAATACTAAAGCACATACTAAAATGTGCTTTTTATGCATGCCCATACTTTTTATTTGTCTCCCTTCCTCTGAATCCCTAGCAACTACTGATCTTTTTAATGTCTCTATAGTTTAGTTTATTCCACAATGTCATATTGTTGGAATCACACAGTATGTAGCCTTTTGAGACTGTCTTCTTTCACTAAGCAATATGCATTTTAAGTTCCTCCATGTATGTTCATGGCTCGATAGTTCTTTTTTATCATTAAAAAATATTCCATTGTACAGACACATTATAGTTTGTTTATATATTCACCTATTGAAAGACATCTTGGTTGTTTCCAATCTAGGGAAATTATGAATAAAACTAGTATAAACATACTTGTGCAGGTTTTTGTATGGACGTAGGTTTTTATTGGGTAAAAACCTTGGAGCATGATTGCTAGATCATATGGTGACATTCTTTGGCTGTGTCCCCACCCAAATCTCATCCAGAATTGTAGCTCCCGTAATCCCCATGTGTCGTGGGAGGGGAGGGACCCGGTGGGAGGTAATTGAATCATGGGAGCGGATTTTTACCATGGTGTTCTCGTGATAGTGAATAAGTCTCATGAGATCTAATGGTTTTATAAAGGGCAGTTCCCCTACATAGTCTCTTGTCTGCCACCATGTAAGACATGCCTTTGCTCCTCATTCACCTTCAGCCATGATTATGAGGTCTCCCTAGCCATGTGTAACTGTGAGTCTATTAAACCTCTTGTTCTTTATAAATTACCCAGTCTCAGGTATATCTTTATTAGCAGTGCAAGAACAGACTAATACATATGGTAAGGCTATATTTAGCTTTGAAAGAATCTGTCAAACTATCTTTCAAAGTGGTTATACTATTTTGCATCCCCACCAGCAATGAATGAGATGGATGAGGATGTTGTACAACAATTGGTATTTTTAGGTTTTTGGATTTTTGCCATTCTAATAATTAGTGTGGTAGTATATCATTGTTGTTTCAATTTACAATTCTCTGATGACATGTTGAGCCTCTTATATGCTTACTTAACCATCTATATATTTTCTTTGCTTAAGTGTCTGTTGAGATCCTTTACTCATTTATTTTTATTTTTATTTTTATTTTTTTTTGAGACAGAGTCACTGTGTCACCCAGGCTGGAATGCAGTGGCGTGATCTCGGCTCACTGCAGTCTCCACCTCCCGGGTTCAAGCGATACGCCTGCCTCAGCGTCCTGAGTAGCTGGGACTACAGGCATGCACCATCAGGCCTGGCTAATTTTTGCATTTTTAGTAGAGACAGGGTTTCACCATGTGGGCCAGGCTAGTCTTGAACTCCTGACCTCAAGTGGTCCACCCGCTTCTGCCTCCCAAAGTGCTGGGATCACAGGCTTACTCATTTTTAAAATTAAGTTATTTATTTTCTTATTGTTGATTTTAAAGAGTTCTTTGTGTATTTTGAATACCAGTCCTTTATTAGTATGTGTTTTGCAAGGATGTTCTCCTATTTTGTGAATTGTCTTTTCATTCTCTTAACAGTGCCTTTTGTAGCACAGAAATTTTTACTTTTAATGATGTCCAACTTACCTGTTTTTTTCTTTCATAGATCATGTTTTTGGTGATACATCTAACAACTGATCATCAAGCCCAAGGTCACCTAGATTTTCTCTTGTTTTCTTTAAGAAGTTGTATAATTTTTTGTTTTGCTGTTATAGTCCTGTGGTCCATCTTGAGTTACGTTTTGTGAAAAGTGCAAGGTCTTTGTCTAGATTCATTTTTTCATGTGGATATCCAATTGTTCCAGCACTATTTGTTGAAAAAAAAAGAAACTATTCTTTGTCCATTTGGTTGCTTATGCTACTTTGTCAAAGATCAGTTGACAGTATTTGTGTGGATCTGTTTCTGGGCTCTCTTCTCTTCCATTGATCGATTTTTCTATTCTTTTGCAACACAATGCTGTCTTGATTACCATAGCGGTATAGTAAGTCTTGAAGTTAGGTGGTGTCAGTCCTCCAATATTGTTCTCCTTATATACTGAGTTGACTATTTGGGGTCTTTTGCCTCCCCACATAAGCTTTAAAAATCAGTTTGTCAATACAAAATAATTTGCTGGAATTTTTATTGGGATTGTGTTGCATGCACAGATCAATTGGTAAGAACTGGCATCTTAACAATACTGAGTTATCTTATCCAAGACTCAGTTTATTTACACCTTTGATTTCTTTCATCAGAGTTGTATAGGTTTCCTCATATAGATCTTGTAAATATTTTATTGGATGTATACCTAAGTATTTCTCTTTTCGGCATTAATGTAATCTCAAATTAAAATTGTTCATTGTTGCTATATAGGAAAGCAATTGACCTTAAAATAATCTTATGTCCTGCAATCTTACTATAATCACTAATTATTACTAGTTCCAGGAGTTGTTTTATTTGTTTGTTTGGTTGGTTGGTTGATTGGATGGTCTGGAATGTTTTTTTTCAATTTCATGGGATTTTCTACATAGCCAATCATGTCATCTGCAGAAAAAGACAGTTTTAATTCTTCCTTCCCAATCTTTATACCTTTCACTTTCTTTTCTTGTCTTACTGCATTAGCTAGGACTTCTAGTGCGATGTTGAATAGAAGTAGTGAGAGGGCACTTCTTACCTTTCTCTTGATCGTAGGGGTAAAGCATCTAATATCCTACCATTAAGTATGATAACCATATGGTTTTTATAGATGTTCTGTATAAAATTGAGATAGCTCCTCCCTATTTCTAGGTTGCTGAGAGGTTTTTATCATGAATGAGCATTGGATTTTGTCAGATGCTTCTAATTCTTTTTTATATGATTAATGATTTTTAGTCTTTAGACTATTTTGTGATGGAGTACATTAATTGATTTTTGAATGTTAAACCAGGTTTGCATACCTGGAATAAGTCTCACTTGGTCTTAGTGTGTAATTCCTTATATATTTTGTTGGATTTAATTTGCTAATATTTTGTTTAGGGTTTTTGTATCTATGTTTACTGGTTTGTAAGTTTTACTTTCTTGTAATGTCTTTTTTTTTTTTTTTTTTTTTTTGAGACGGAGACTTTCTCTGTCACCCAGGCTGGAGTGCAGTGGCGTGATCTCAGCTCACTGCAGCCTCCTCCTCCCAGGTTCCAGCAATTCTCCTGCCTCAGCCTCCTGGGTAGCCGAGATTACAGGCGTGTACCACACGTCCAGGTAATTTTTGTATTTTTGACAGAGACAGGGTTTCACCATGTTGGCCAGGCTGGTCTTGAACTTTTGATCTCAGGTTATCCACCCACCTTGGCCTCCCAAAGTGCTAGGATTACAGGCGTGAGCCACTGCACCCGGCCTCTTAACTTGGTTTTGGTATTAGGGTAATACTAGCCTCATTAATTGAATTAGATGGCGTTTCCTCTGCTTGTATTTTTTTGGATGAGATCGTAGAGAATTGACATCATTTCTTTCTTAAATATTGAGTAGAATTCACCAGTGGGCCTGGTGCTTCCATTTTTGGAATGTTATTGATTATTTTATTGAATCTGTTTAATACATAAATGTTTATTCGAATTATTTATTTCTCCTTGTATGAGTTTTGGTAGTTTGTGTCTTTCACAGAATTGATCTCTTTCATGTAAGTTATTAAATTTACAGGCATGGAGTTGTTCATAACGTTTTTCTATTATGCTTTTAATGTCCCTGAGATCAGTACAGATTGTGCATCCCTAATCTGAAAATTCAAAGTGTAAAACTTTTTGAGTGCTGACATGACATCACAAGTATAAAATAACACACCTGACCTCATGTGACAAGTCACATTCAAAATGCAGGGACACAACACACAGTTTATTCAGCATCCTCAAGAGAAAAAGACCCTCCCAGCCCATTCAGCTGCAATATATCTTTTCTGTGCGTACCCAGATTCCCCTACACAAGCACACCTACAAAGTGTAATAAAGTGGCATGTGTGCAGGCTGGATGCATGAACAGCAGGTCACTGTAATGCCCCACATGGGGCCAGGATTTACATACATTGATCACTGCGTGTTTTTGTTTTCTATTGCTTTGCTTATTCTCTGCTCTGTGGTATAAAGATATTGTTGAAAATGTCTAAATGGTCTGCAGATGCCCCATTGGGAACAATGATAAGAAAAAGAAGAAGCGTTTATGTTTATCTGTAGCTCAGAAAGTCATGCTATTGGAGAAACTGGACAGCAGTGTAAGTGTGAAATGTCTTGCAAAAGAGTATGGTGCTAGAATGACTACCATATATGACCTGTGTCACAGAAGGATAAGCCATTGAAATTCCGTGCTTAAAGTGATGAAAAATAGAATACTACATAAAGCTAAAAATGAAGACCTCAATCATGTATTGAAAGAGTAGATCCATCAGTGTTGAAGTGAATATATGACATGTAATAGTGTACTGGTCATGAAACAAGCAAAGATCTAGCACAATGAACTGAAAATTGAAAAACTGCAAATATTCAACAGGCTGGTTGCAGAAACAGAAAAAGAATGGTATTAAATTTTTAAAGATTTGTGGTGATAAAACATCTGATCACAAAGCAGCAGAGAAATTCATTGACAAATTTGCCAAGGACATTACTGATGAAAATCTGATGCCATCAAACTAAAAAGGAAGATAGCAAGAGATACCACAAAGTATCAACAAAACCACCAGAAAACAATTAGCAAAATGGCAGTAGTCTTTACTATCAATAATTACCATGAATTTAAATGGATTAAATAATCTTTAAAGAGGACATAGAGTGGCTGAATGAAAAAAAAACCAAGACCCAACTATATGCTATCTACAAGAGACTAACTTTACTTTTAAGGACACATAGACTGAAAGTGAAAGGATAGAAAAAGATATTCCACGTAAATGGATACCAAAAGATAGCGGGGGTAGCTATTCTTAGACAATTTAATTCAAAAGCTGTAAAAAATAGGAAATTATAATAATGATAGAGGAGAGGGTTTATCAAGAGAATGTAACAGTTGTAAATATTGTTTTAGACAATATAGACTTTAAGTCAAAAACTGTAAAAAAAAAGACAAAGAGGACATTATATAATGGTAAAGAGATCCATTTATCAAGAGGTTATAACAATTACAAATATATATGCATGCAACATCAGAATACCTAAATATATAAAACAGATATTAAAGGATCAGTGGAGAGATAAATTGCAACATAATAATAGCAGGGGACGTCAATATACCACTTTATTTTTTTTTGTTTCCAGTGGGGTTGGAGAATACCCCCACTTTAAACAATGGACAGATTATACAGACAGAAAATTAATAAAATATTGGACATGAACAACACTTTAGCCCAAATGGAGCTAAGAGAAATACACAGAACATTCAGTCCAACAGGAACACAATACACATTCTTCTCAAGCACACATGGAACATTCTCCAGGATAGATCACCTGTTGGAGCACAAAACAAGCCTTAGCAAATTTAAGAATATTGAAATCATATCAAGTATTTTTTTGACCACGTTAGTATGAACCCTAGAAATCAAGAACAAGAGGAATTTTAGGAAATTCACAACTACATGGCAATTAACATGCTCCTGAACAACCAATGCATATTGAAGAAATTAAAAGAAATATTTAAAAATATCTTGAGACAAATGAAAATTGAAACACAACATACCAAAGCTTATGGTGTAGAGGAAAGGCACTTCTAAGGAAATTTTACAGCAATAAATGCCCATATCAAAAAAGAAGACATATTTCAAATAAGTAACAAGATTTCTCCTCAAGGAACTAGGAAAAGAATAACAAACTAAGCCCAAAATTAGCAGAAGGAAGGAAATAATAAAGCTCAGAGCAGAAGAAAAATTAAGTACAGACTAGAAAAACAGTACAAAAGATCAATGAAACTAAGAATTGGTTTTTTAAAAAGATAAACAAAATCTACAAACCCTTATCTAGACTAAGAAAAAGAGAGGGAAGACTCAAATAATTAAAAATCAGAAATGAAAGAGGAGACCGTACAACTGCTAACACAGAAATACAAAGTAACATAAGGGACTATTATGAATAAATATATGCCAATAAATTGAATAACCTGGAAGAAATGGATGAATTCTTAGATAACAGAACCTACCAACACTGAATCATGAAAAAGTAGAAAATCTAAACAGACCAGTAATGACTATAAAGAGGTTAAATCAGAAATAAAAAAAATTTCATAAAAAGTTGCCCAGGACCTGACAACTTCACTGCTGAATTCAACCAAACATTTAATGAAGAACTAATCCTTCTCTAATCCTTCTACTAATCCTTCTCTAACTCTTCCCAAAAATTAAAGAGGAGAGAATACTTCCAAACTCTTTTTGCAAGGCCACCATTACCCTGATCCCAGAGTCAGACCAGGACATCACAAGAAAAGAAAATTACAGGCCACTATTCTTGATAACATAGATGTAAAAATTCTCAACAAAATGCTATCAAACCAAATTCAACAACACATTATAAATCCACCATTATCGAGTGGGATTTATTCTTGGGATGCAAGGATGGTGAAACGTATGCAAATCAATACATTTGATACATCACATTAACAGAATGAAAAACAAAAGCCATGTGGTTATCTCATTAGATGCAGAAAAAAACATTTGACAAAATTCAACATCCTTTCATGATTAAAAAAAAAAAACTCTCACCAAACTCGGTATAGAAAGAATGTACCTCAATAAAATAAAGGCCATATGAGAAGCCCACAGCTAACATTACACTCAGCTGTAAACAATTAAAAGCCTCTCCTCTAAGATCTGGGATCAGACAAGGATGCCAGCTCTCACCATTTCTTTTCCACATAGTACTGGAAATTCTTGCCAGAGCAATTAGGCAAGAGAAAGAAATAAAAGTCATTCAAATAGGAAAGAAAGAAGTGAAATTGTCATTGTTTGCTGAGAACAGGATCATAAACCCTGAAGACTCCACAAAAAAACAAACAAACAAAAAAAACCTCTTAGAACTAATAAAACAGGCTGGGTGCAGTGGTTCATGTCTGTAATACCAGCACTTTGGGAGGCCAAAGCAGGAGGATCACATGAAGCCAGGAGTTCAAGACCAGCCTGGGCAAAATAGTGAGACTTCGTCTCTATTTAAAAATTTAAAAAAATAGCCAGGCATGTTGGCACATGCCTGTAGTCCTAGCTATTTGGAAGGCTGACACAGGAGGATTGCTTGAGCCCAGGAGTACAAGGTTACAGTGAACTATGATTGCACCACTGGACTCCAGCCTGGGTGGCAGACAAAGATCCTCTAAAAGAGCAAAAACACAAAAAACAAATACAGTAAAGTTGTAGGATACAAAATCAACACCCCGAAATCCATAGCACTTCTATGCACTAACAACAAACTATCTGAACCAGAAATCAAGAGAACAATCCCATTTGCAATAGCTACCCCCTAAAAAAATTAAACCTTGGGAATAAATTTACCAAAAGGAGATGTAAGACCTGCACAATGAAAACTCTAAAATGTCAATGAAAGAGATTGAAGAGGACACAAATAAGTGGAAGGATATCTCATGTTCATGAATTAGAAGAGTTAATACTGTTAAAATGTCACACCAAATGATCTACCCAAAATGATATACAGATTCAGTGCAATAATTATCAGAATTCTAATGTCATTGTTAAAAGAAATAGAAAAAACTATCATGGAACTCATATGGACCCCCCCCAACACACACACACACACACACACACACACACACACACACACACACACACACACCGAAACCACATAGCCAAGGGAATCATGAGCAAAAAGAACAAAGCTAGAGGAATCACAATAGCTGATTTCAAATAATACAACAGAGCTGTAGCAATTAAAACAGCATGATACTGCCAAAAAATATACCTATTGACCAATGCAACAGAATAGAGAGCCCAGAAATGAACGCTCATATATATCATCAATTGATTTTTGACAAATGTGCCAAGAATACACAATGGGAAAAGGATAGTCTTTTCAATAAATAATGCTTAGAAAACTTGATATTTACATGCAGAAAAATGCAGTTGGACCCTTACCTCTCACCACACACAAAAGTCAACTCAAAATGGTTAAGGACTTAAATGAAAGGCCAGAAACTATAAAACTACTAGAAGAAAACATAGGAGGGGAAACTATATTATGTTGGTTTATTGGATCTGACCCCAAAAAGCATAGGCAACAAAAGAAAAAAATAGACAGATGAGATTACATGAAACTAAAAAGCTTCTGTACATCAAAGAAAACAATTAACAGTATGATGAGACAGCCTATGGATTGGGAGAAAATACTTGGAAACCATACATCTGATAAAGGGTTAATATCCAAAATATGTAAGGCACTCAACTCAATAGCAAGAAAACAAAACACCCAGTTTAAAAATGGGCAAGGGATTTGAATAGACACTTCTCAAAAGAAGGCATACAGATAGCCAGTAGATATATGAAAAAATGTTTAATTGCTAATTATAGGGAAATGCAAATTAAAACCACAATAAGATATCTTACACCAGTCAGCATGGCTGTTGTATTAGTCCATTTTCACACTGCTGTCAAGAACTGCCCAAGACTGGGTATTTTATAAAGAAAAGAGGTTTAATTGACTCACAGTTCCACATGGCTGAGGGGGGCCTCAGGAAATTTGCAATCATGGCAAAAGGTAAAGGGGAAGCAAGGACCTTCTTCACATGGTGGCAGGAGAGAGAAGTGCAAGCAGGGGAAATTCCAGACACTTATAAAACCATGAGATCTCCTGAGAATTCACTCACTATCATGAGAACAGCACTGGGGAAACCACCCCCATGAACTAGTCACCTCTCACCAGGTTCCTCCCTCGACACCTGAATTGCAATTCAAGATGAGATTTGGGTGGGGACACAAAGCCTAACCATATCAGCTGTTTTCAAAAAGACAAAAGTTAACAAGTGTCAGTGAGGATATGGAGAAAAGGGAACCCTTGTATACTCTCAGTGGGAACATAAATTAATTCAGCTGTCCCTCAGTATCTGTTAGGGGATTGGTATCAGCACCCCATGTGGATAGCAAAACCCATGGATAGTCAAATCCCTTGTGTAAAATGTTGTAGTGTTTGCACATAACCTATGCACATCCTCCTATATACCTTAAATCATCTCTAGCTTATACCTAACACAATGTAAATGCTATGCAAATAGTTGTTATACTATATGTTTAGGGAATAATCACTACAAAAAAAATCTGCACATGTTCAGTATAGACACAACCTTTTTTTTTTTTTTTTAAGACCAAGTCTCGTTCTGTTGCCCAGGCTTCAGTGCAGTGGCATGATCCTGACTCACTCCAACCTCCGCCTCCTGGGTTCAAGCGATTCTCCTGTCTCAGCCTCCCGAGTAGCTGGGATTATGGGCTTATGCCACCACGCCTGGCTAATTTTTTGTATTTTTTAGTAGAGATGAGGTCTTGCCACGTTGACCAGACTGGTCTCAAACTCCTGGGCTCAAGCGATCGAACTGCCCTGGCCTCCCAAAGTGCTGGAATTATAAGTGTGAGCCACCATGCACAGCCAACAACAATCCTTCTTTCCTTAAAGAAAAAAATATTTTTCATCCATGGTTGGTTGAATCCACAATTGCAGAATCCATGTATTCTAGGGCCAACTGTATGTCCATATATTCAGAGGGCCAACTGTATAGCCATTATGGATGACTGAAAGCAGGTTCCTCCAAAAACTAAAAATAGAATTATATGATCCAGCAATTTCACTTCTGGATATTTACCCAAAAGATTTGAAATGTTTTTTTTTAAGGGCAGAGTCTTGCTCTGTGGCCCAAGCTGGAGTGCAGTGGCATGACTGTAGCTCACTGCAGCCTCAAACTCAGGGGCTCAAGCAATCCTCCTGCCTCAGCCTCCCGAGTACCTGGACTACGAGTGTATGCCTCCACACCTGACTGATTTTTTAAAAATTTTGTAGAGGCAGGGTTTCACTATGTTGCGCAAGCTGGCCTTGATCTCCTGGCCTCAAGCAGTCCTCCCACCTCAGTTTTCCAAAGTGCTGACTTCACAGGTGTGAGCCGCCACAACTGTCCTGAAATTATTTTTTCAAAGAAATGTCTGCATTTCCATGTTCATTGCAACACTGTTCACAATAGCCAAGTTATGGAATCAACCTAAGTATCAGTACCATCAACAGATGAACAGATAAAGAAAATGTAGTATATATATCCAATGCAATACTAGTCAACCTTGGAAAAGAAGCTATGAGTTCTGTCATTTGTCTTTGGCGTTAGTTTTTTGAAGTTTAATTGTGATGTGTCTTTGAATTCATTTATGTGGGTTTTCCCCATTTGGAGTTTTCTCAACTTCTTGTAGGTTTCTGTGTCTTGCCACATTTCAAAGTTTTCAGCCATTGTTTCTTTAAGTACTTGTTTTTTTAGCTCTATCCTCTTCCATTTCTCCTTCCATGACTTTGATGACCCAAATGTTAGATCTTTTTTTTTTTTTTTTTTTGAGACGGAGTCTCGCTCTGTCACCAGGCTGGAGTGCAGTGGTGTAATCTTGGCTTACTGCAACCTCCGCCTCCCGGATTCAAGCAATTCTCCTGACTCAGTCTCCTGAGTAGCTGGGACTACAGGAGTGTCCTACCGCGCCCAGCACATTTTTGTATTTTTAGTAGAGATGAGGTTTCACCATGTTGTCCAGGATGGTCTCAATCTCTTGACCTCGTGATCCGCCCCCCTCAGCCTCCCAAAGTGCTGGGATTACAGTCGTGGGCCACCACACCCAGCCGTTAGATCTTTTATTATAGTCCACAGGTCCCTGAAGTTGTGATAGTTTTTTTCAGTCTATGTCTCAGTTATTCATATTGAATCATTTTTATTGTTCTCTCTTCCAGTTCTCTTATTCTTTCTCTGTCCCTTCAATTCTGCTATTTAGCCTATCCTCTGGGCTTTTCATTTCAGTTATTGTATTTTCACTTCTAAAATTTCCATTTGTTTCTTTTTTACTATTATTGTACTTTAAGTTCTGGGGTACATGTGCAGAATGTGCAGTTTTGTTACATAGGTATATACATGCCATGGTGGTTTGCTGCACCCATCAACCCGTTACCTACATTAGGTATTTCTCCTAATGCTATCCTCCCCTTCCCCTCCACCCCCTGACAAGCCCCATAGTGTGATGCTGCCTTCCCTGTGTCCATGTGTTCTCATTGTTCAATTCCCTTTTATGGGTGAGAACATGCGGTGTTTGGTTTTCTGTTCTTGTGTTAGTTTGCTGAGAATGATGGTTTCCAGCTTCATCCACGTCCCTGCAAAGGACATGAACTCATCGTTTTTTATATTCCATGGTGTATATGTGCCACATTTTCTTTATCCAGTCTATCACTGATGGGCATTTGGGTTGATTCCAAGTCTTTGCTATTGTGAACAGTGCCGCAGTAAACATACGTGTGCATGTGTCTTTATACTGGAATGATTTATAATCCTTTGGGTATATACCCAGTAATGGTATTGCTGGGTCAAATGCTATTTCTGGTTCTAGATCCTTGAGGAATTGCTACACTGTCTTCCACAATGGCTGAACTAATTTACACTCCCACCAACAGTGTAAAAGCATTCCTATTTCTCCACATCCTCTCCAGCATCTGTTGTTTCCTGATTTTTTAATGATCACCATTCTAACTGGCGTGAGATGGTATCTCATTGTGGTTTTCATTTGCATTTATCTAATGACCAGTGATGATGAGATTTTTTTCATGTTTGTTGGCTGCATTAATGTCTTCTTTTGAGAAGTTTCTGTTCATATCCTTTGCCCACTTTTTGATGGGGTTGTTTGTTTTTTTCTTGTAAATTTGTCTAAGTTCTTTGTAGGTTCTGGATATTAGCCCTTTGTCAGATGGATAGATTGCAAAAATTTTCTCCCATTCTGTAGATTGCCTGTTTATTCTGATGATAGTTTCTTTTGCTGTACAGAAGCTCTTTAGTTCAATTAGATCCCATTTGTCAATTTTGGCTTTTGTTGCCATTGCTTTAGTTGTTTTAGTCATGAAGTCTTTGCCCATGCCTGTGTCCTGAATGATATTGCCCAAGTTTTCTTCTAGGGTTTTTATGGTTTTAGGTCTTATGTTTAAGTCTTTAATTCATCTTAAGTGAATTTTTGTATAAGATGTAAGGAAGGGATCCAGTTTTAGTTTTCTTCATATGGCTAGCCAGTTTTCTTAAAACCATTTATTAAATAGGGAATTATTTCCCCATTGCTTGTTTTTGTCAAGTTTGTCAAAGATCAGATGGTTGTAAATGTGTGGTGTTATTTCTGAGGCCTCTGTTTGTTCTGTTTCATTCGTCTATATATCTGTTTTGCTACCAGTACCATGCTGTTTTGGTTACTATAGCCTTGTAGTACAATTTGAAGTCAGGTAGTGTGATGTCTCCAGCTTTGTTCTTTTTGCTTAGGATTGTCTTGGCAATGCAGATCTTTTTTGGTTCCAAATGAAATTTAAAGTAGGTTTTTTCAATTTTTTAAGAAAGTCAATGGTAGCTTGATAGGAGCATTGAATCTGTGAATTACTTTGGGCAGTATGGCCATTTTCAAGATATAGATTCTTCCTATCCATGAGCATGGAATGTTTTTCCATTTATTTGTGTCCTCTCTTATTTCCTTGAGCAATGGTTTGTAGTTCTTCTTGAAGAGATCCTTCACATCCCTTGTGAATCGTATTCCTAGATATTTTATTCTCTTTGTAGCATTTGTGAATGGGAGTTCACTCATGATTTGTCTGTTTGTCTGTTATTGGTGTATAGGAATGCTTGTGATTTTTGCTCATTGATTTTGTATCCTGAGACTTTGCTGAAGTTGCTTATCAGCTTAAGGAGGTTTTGGGCTGAGACGATGGGGTTTTCTAAATATACAATCATGTCATCTGCAAACAGACAATTTGACTTCCTCTCTTCTTATTGAATACTCTTTATTGCTTTCTCTTGCCTGATTGTCCTGGCTAGAACTTCCAATAACACCAATAATATGTTGAATGGGAGTGGGTATGAGAGGGCATCCTTGTCTTGTGCCAGTTTTCAAAGGGAATTCTTCCAGTTTTTGCCCATTCAGTATGATATTGACTGTGGGTTTGTCATGAATAGCTTTTACTATTTTGAGATATGTTCCATCAATACCTAGTTTATTGAGAGTTTTTAGCATTAAGGGGTGTTGAATTTTGTTGAAGGCCTTTTCTGCATCTAATGAGATAATCATGTGTTTTTTGTCATTGGTTCTGTTTATATGATGGATTACATTTATTGATTTGCATATGTTGAACCATCCTTGCATCCCAGGGATGAAGCCGACTTGATCGTGGTGGATAAGCTTTTTGATATGCTGCTGGATTCAGTTTGCAAGTATTTTATTGAAGATTTTTGCATCAATGTTTATCAAGGATATTTGCCTGAAATTTTCTTTTTGTTTTGTTTGTCTCTGCCACGTTTTGGTATCAGGATAATGCTGGCCTCATAAAATGAGTTAGGGAAGATTCCCTCTTTTTCTGTTCTTTGCAATAGTTTCAGAAGGAATGGTACCAGCTCTTCTTTGTACCTCTGGGAGAATTTGGCTGTGAATCCATCTGGTCCTGGACTTTTTTTGGTTGGTAGGCTATTAATTACTGACTCAATTTCAGAACTTGTTATTGGTCTATTCAGGGATTTGACTTCTTCCTGGTTTAGACTTGGAAAGGTGTATGTGTGCAGAAATTTATCCAATTCTTCTAGATTTTCTAGTTTATTTGTGTAGAGGTGTTTATAGTATTCTCTGATGGTAGTTTGTATTTCTGTGGGATCAGTGGTGATATCCCCTTTATCACTTTTTATTGCATCTATTTGTTTCTTCTCTTTTTTCTTCTTTATTAGTCTGGCTAGCGGTCTATTTTGTTCATCTTTTCAAAAAACCAGCTCCTGGATTCATTGATTTTTTGAAGGGCTTTCTGTGTCTCTATCTCCTTCAGTCTGCTCTGATCTTAGTTATTTCTTGCCTTGTGCTGTCTTTTGAATTTGTTTGCTCTTGCTTCTCTAGTTCTTTCAATTGTGTTGTTAGGGTGTGAATTTTAGATCTTTCCTGCTTTCTCTTGTGGGCATTTAGTGCTATAAATTTCCCCCTAGACACTGCTTTAAATGTGTCCCAGAGTTTCTGGTACATTGTATCTTTGTTCTCATTGGTTTCAAAGAACATCTTTATTTCTGCCTTCATTTCATTATTTACTCAGTAGTCATTCAGGAGCAGGTTGTTCAGATTCCATGTAGTTGTGCAGTTTTCTTAATCCTGAGTTCTAATTTGATTGCAGTGTGGTTGGAGTGACTGTTTGCTATGATTTCCATTCTTTTGCATTTCCTGAGCAGTGTTTCACTTGCAATTATGTGATCAGATTTAGAATAAGTGCAATAGGTGCTGAGAAGAATGTATATTCTCTCAATTTAGGGTGGAGAGTTCTGTAGATGTCTATTAGGTCCGCTTGGTGCAGAGCTGAATTGAATTCCTGAATGTTCTTATTAATTTTCTGTCGTTGATCTGTCTAATATGGACAATGGGGTGTTAAAGTCTCCCACTATTATTGTGTGGGAGTCTAAGTCTCTTTGTGGGTCTCTAAGAACTTGCTTTATAAATCTGGGTGCTCCTGTGTTGAGTGCATATAGGTTTAGGACAGTTAGCCCTTCTTGTTGCATTGATCCCTTTACCATTGTATCATGCCCTTCTTTGTCCTGTACAAGTGCTTCGTACAGGAGCTCTTGTGAGGCACACCTGGTGATGACAAAAATCTCTCAGCATTTGCTTGTCTGTAAAGGATTTTATTTCTCCTTTGCTTATGAAACTTCATTTGGCTGGATATGAAATTCTGGGTTGAAAATTCTTTTCTTTAAAAATGTTGAATATTGGCCCCCACTCTCTTCTGGCTTGTAGGTTTTCTCCCGAGAGATCTGCTGTTAGTCTGATGGGCTTCCCTTTGTGGGTAACCTGACCTTTCTCTCTGGGTGCCCTTAACATTTTTTCCTTCATTTCAACCCTGGTGAATCTGATGATTATGTGTCTTGGGGTTGCTCTTCTCAAGGAATATCTTTGTGGTGTTCTCTGTATTTTTTGAATTTGAATGTTGGACTGTCTTGCTAGGTTGGGGAATTTCTCCTCGATAATATCCTAAAGAGTGTTTTCCAACTGAGTTCCATTCTCCGCATCACTTTCAAGTACACCAATCACTTTCAAGTACACCAATCAAAAGTAGATTTTGTCTTTTCACATAGTCCCATTTATCTTGGAGGCTTTGTTTGTTCCTTTTCATTCTTTTTTCTCTAATCTTGTCGTCACACTTTATTTCATTAAGGTGATCTTCAGTCTCTGATATCCTTTCTTCCGCTTGATCAACTCAGCTATTGATACTTGTGTATGTATCACGTGCTGTGTTTTTCAGCTTCATCAGGTCATTTATGTTCTTCTCTAAACTGGTTATTCTAGTTAGCATTTCCTCTAACCTTTTTTCAAGGTTCTTAGCTTCCTTGCATTGGGTTAGAACATGCTCCTTTAGCTCAGAGGAGTTTGTTATTACCCACCTACTAAAGCCTACTTCTGTCAGTTCATCAAACTCCTCCATCTAGTTTTATTCCCTTGCTGGCAATGAGCTGTGATCCTTTGGAGGAGAAGAGACATTCTGGTTTTTGGAATTTTCAGTCTTTTTCTGCTGGTTTCTCCCCATCTTCATGGATTTATCTACTTTTGGTCTTTCATGTTGGTGACCTTCGGATTGGGTCTCTGACTGGACGTCCTTTTTGTTGATGTTGATGCTATCCCTTTCTGTTTTTTGGTTTTCCTTCTAACAGTCAGGCCCCTCTGCTGCAGGTCTGCTGGAGTTTGCTGGAGGTCCACTCTAGACCCTGTTTGCCTGGGTATCACCAGCAGAAGTTGCAGAATAGCAGTAATTGCTGCCTGTTCCCTCCTCTGGAAGCTTCGTCCTAGAGGGGCACCCACCAGATGCCAGCCAGAGCTCTCCTGTATGAGGTGTCTGTCAGCCCCTACTTGGAGGTGTCTCCAAGTCAGGATACACAGGGGTCAGGGACCTACTTGAGGAGGCAGTCTGACCCTTAGCATAGCTTGAACGCTGTGCTGCGAGATCTGCTGGTCTCTTCAGAGCCATCAGGCAGGGATGTTTAAGTCTGCTGAAGCTGTGCCCACAGCCACCCCTTCCCCAGGTGCTCTGTCCCAGGGAGATGGGGGTTTTATCTATAAGCCCCTGACTGGTGCTGCTGCCTTTTTTTCCAGAGATGCCCTGCCCAGAGAGGAAGACTCTAGAGAGGCAGTCTGGCCACAGTGGCCTTGCTGAGCTGCAGTGGGCTCCACCCAGTTCGAACTTCCCTGTGGCTTTGTTTACACTGTGAGAGTAAAACTGCCTACTCAAGCCTCGGCAATGGTGAACCCCCCTCCCCATACCAAGCTGGTGCATCCGAGGTCGACCTCATACTCCTGTACTGGCAATGAGAATTTCAAGCCAGTGGATCTTAACTTGCTGGGCTCCGTGGGGGTGTGACCTGCCAGCCAGACCACTTGGCTCCCTGGCTTCAGCCCCCTTTCCAGGGGAGTGAACGGTCTGTCTTGCTGACATTCCAGGTGCCACCGGGGTATAGA